>NC_000011.10:51120733-51420733 GCF_000001405.40 Homo sapiens | reverse complement strand
AAGATTGTTTACAACCTGCTCTATCTATAGGAATGTTCAACTCTGTGAGTCGAATGCAATCATCACAAAGTAGTTTCTGAGAATGCTTCCATCTAGTTTTTATGTGAAGATTTTCCTTTTCCACCACAGGCCTCAAAGCCCTCCAAATGTCCACTTGCAGATTCTAGAAAAAGAGGGTTTCAGAGCTGCTCTGTCAAGAGGAAAGTTCAATTCTTGAAGTGGAACACAAACATCACAAAGCAGTTTCTGAGAATGCTCCTGTTTAGTTTTTCTGTGAAGATGAACCCGTTTCCAACGAAATCTTCACAGAGGTCCACATATCCACTTGCAGAATCCAAAGAAAGAGAGTTTCAAAACTGCTCCATCAGAAGGATTATTCACCTCTGTGAGTTGAATGCAGTCATCACAGGAAACATTCTGAGAATGCTTCTGTCTAGGTTTGATGTGAAGATATACCCGTTTCGAAGGAAGGCCACAAAGTGGTCCAAATATCCACTTGCAGATTCTACAAAAAGAGTGTTTGAAAGCTGAACTATGAAAGCAAGGTTCAACTCTGTGAGTTGAATGCAAACATCACAAAGAAGTTTCTCACAATGCTTCCGTGTAGTTCTGGGAAGTTTATCCCGTTTCCAACGAAATCCTCAGAGAGGTCCAAATATCCACTTGCAGATTCTACAGAAAGTGTGTTTGGAAACTGCGCCATCTAAAGGAATGTTCAGCTCTGTTAGTTCAATGCAATGATCACTAAGGATTGTCTGTGAATGCTTCCGTTTGGTTTTTAGATGAAGTTATTTCCTTTACTACAGTAGGCCTCAAAGCAGTCCAAATCTCCAATCGCAGATTCTACAAAAAGATTGTTTACAACCTGCTCTATCTATAGGAATGTTCAACTCTGTGAGTCGAATGCAATCATCACAAAGTAGTTTCTGAGAATGCTTCCATCTAGTTTTTATGTGAAGATTTTCCTTTTCCACCACAGGCCTCAAAGCCCTCCAAATGTCCACTTGCAGATTCTAGAATAAGAGGGTTTCAGAGCTGCTCTGTCAAGAGGAAAGTTCAATTCCTGAAGTGGAACACAAACATCACAAAGCAGTTTCTGAGAATGCTTCTGTTTAGTTTTTCTGTGAAGATGAACCCGTTTCCAACGAAATCTTCACAGAGGTCCACATATCCACTTGCAGAATCCAAAGAAAGAGAGTTTCAAAACTGCTCCATCAGCAGGATTGTTCACCTCTGTGAGTTGAATGCAGTCATCACAGGAAACATTCTGAGAATGCTTCTGTCTAGGTTTGATGTGAAGATATACCCGTTTCGAAGGAAGGCCACAAAGTGGTCCAAATATCCACTTGCAGATTCTACAAAAAGAGTGTTTGAAAGCTGAACTATGAAAGCAAGGTTCAACTCTGTGAGTTGAATGCAAACATCACAAAGAAGTTTCTCAGAATGCTTCCGTGTAGTTCTGGGAAGTTTATCCCGTTTCCAACGAAATCCTCAGAGAGGTCCAAATATCCACTTGCAGATTCTACAGAAAGTGTGTTTGGAAACTGCTCCATCTAAAGGAATGTTCAGCTCTGTTAGTTCAATGCAATGATCACTAAGAATTGTCTGTGAATGCTTCCGTTTGGTTTTTAGATGAAGTTATTTCCTTTACTACAGTAGGCCTCAAAGCAGTCCAAATCTCCAATCGCAGATTCTACAAAAAGATTGTTTACAACCTGCTCTATCTATAGGAATGTTCAACTCTGTGAGTCGAATGCAATCATCACAAAGTAGTTTCTGAGAATGCTTCCATCTAGTTTTTATGTGAAGATTTTCCTTTTCCACCACAGGCCTCAAAGCCCTCCAAATGTCCACTTGCAGATTCTAGAATAAGAGGGTTTCAGAGCTGCTCTGTCAAGAGGAAAGTTCAATTCCTGAAGTGGAACACAAACATCACAAAGCAGTTTCTGAGAATACTTCTGTTTAGTTTTTCTGTGAAGATGAACTCGTTTCCAACGAAATCTTCACAGAGGTCCACATATCCACTTGCAGAATCCAAAGAAAGAGAGTTTCAAAACTGCTCCATCAGCAGGATTGTTCACCTCTGTGAGTTGAATGCAGTCATCACAGGAAACATTCTGAGAATGCTTCTGTCTAGGTTTGATGTGAAGATATACCCGTTTCGAAGGAAGGCCACAAAGTGGTCCAAATATCCACTTGCAGATTCTACAAAAAGAGTGTTTGAAAGCTGAACTATGAAAGCAAGGTTCAACTCTGTGAGTTGAATGCAAACATCACAAAGAAGTTTCTCAGAATGCTTCCGTGTAGTTCTGGGAAGTTTATCCCGTTTCCAGCGAAATCCTCAGAGAGGTCCAAATATCCACTTGCAGATTCTACAGAAAGTGTGTTTGGAAACTGCGCCATCTAAAGGAATGTTCAGCTCTGTTAGTTCAATGCAATGATCACTAAGAATTGTACTGTGAATGCTTCCGTTTGGTTTTTAGATGAAGTTATTTCCTTTACTACAGTAGGCCTCAAAGCAGTCCAAATCTCCAATCGCAGATTCTACAAAAAGATTGTTTACAACCTGCTCTATCTATAGGAATGTTCAACTCTGTGAGTCGAATGCAATCATCACAAAGTAGTTTCTGAGAATGCTTCCATCTAGTTTTTATGTGAAGATATTCCTTTTCCACCACAGTCCTCAAAGCCCTCCAAATGTCCACTTGCAGATTCTAGAAAAAGAGGGTTTCAGAGCTGCTCTGTCAAGAGGAAAGTTCAATTCTTGAAGTGGAACACAAACATCACAAAGTAGTTTCTGAGAATGCTTCTGTTTAGTTTTTCTGTGAAGATGAACCCGTTTCCAACGAAATCTTCACAGAGGTCCACATATCAACTTGCAGAATCCAAAGAAAGAGAGTTTCAAAAGTGCTCCATCAACAGGATTGTTCACCTCTGTGAGTTGAATGCAGTCATCACAGGAAACATTCTGAGAATGCTTCTGTCTAGGTTTGAAGTGAAGATATACCCGTTTCGAAGGAAGGCCACAAAGTGGTCCAAATATCCACTTGCAGATTCTACAAAAAGAGTGTTTGAAAGCTGAACTATGAAAGCAAGGTTCAACTCTGTGAGTTGAATGCAAACATCACAAAGAAGTTTCTCAGCATGCTTCCGTGTAGTTCTGGGAATTTTATCCCGTTTCCAACGAAATCCTCAGAGAGGTCCAAATATCCACTTGCAGATTCTACAGAAAGTGTGTTTGGAAACTGCTCCATCTAAAGCAATGTTCAGCTCTGTTAGTTCAATGCAATGATCACTAAGAATTGTCCTGTGAATGCTTCCGTTTGGTTTTTAGATGAAGTTATTTCCTTTACTACAGTAGGCCTCAAAGCAGTCCAAATCTCCAATCGCAGATTCTACAAAAAGATTGTTTACAACCTGCTCTATCTATAGGAATGTTCAACTCTGTGAGTCGAATGCAATCATCACAAAGTAGTTTCTGAGAATGCTTCCATCTAGTTTTTATGTGAAGATTTTCCTTTTCCACCACAGGCCTCAAAGCCCTCCAAATGTCCACTTGCAGATTCTAGAAAAAGAGGGTTTCAGAGCTGCTCTGTCAAGAGGAAAGTTCAATTCTTGAAGTGGAACACAAACATCACAAAGTAGTTTCTGAGAATGCCTCTGTTTAGTTTTTCTGTGAAGATGAACCCGTTTCCAACGAAATCTTCGCAGAGGTCCACATATCAACTTGCAGAATCCAAAGAAAGAGAGTTTCAAAAGTGCTCCGTCAACAGGATTGTTCACCTCTGTGAGTTGAATGCAGTCATCACAGGAAACATTCTGAGAATGCTTCTGTCTAGGTTTGATGTGAAGATATACCCGTTTCGAAGGAAGGCCACAAAGTGGTCCAAATATCCACTTGCAGATTCTACAAAAAGAGTGTTTGAAAGCTGAACTATGAAAGCAAGGTTCAACTCTGTGAGTTGAATGCAAACATCACAAAGAAGTTTCTCAGAATGCTTCCGTGTAGTTCTGGGAAGTTTATCCCGTTTCCAACGAAATCCTCAGAGAGGTCCAAATATCCACTTGCAGATTCTACAGAAAGTGTGTTTGGAAACTGCTCCATCTAAAGGAATGTTCAGCTCTGTTAGTTCAATCCAATGATCACTAAGAATTGTCTGTGAATGCTTCCGTTTGGTTTTTAGATGAAGTTATTTCCTTTACTACAGTAGGCCTCAAAGCAGTCCAAATCTCCAATCGCAGATTCTACAAAAAGATTGTTTTCAACCTGCTCTATCTATAGGAATGTTCAAATCTGTGAGTCGAATGCAATCATCACAAAGTAGTTTCTGAGAATGCTTCCATCTAGTTTTTATGTGAAGATTTTCCTTTTCCACCACAGGCCTCAAAGCCCTCCAAATGTCCACTTGCAGATTCTAGAAAAAGAGGGTTTCAGAGCTGCTCTGTCAAGAGGAAAGTTCAATTCTTGAAGTGGAACACAAACATCACAAAGCAGTTTCTGAGAATGTTTCTGTTTAGTTTTTCTGTGAAGATGAACCCGTTTCCAACGAAATCTTCACAGAGGTCCTCATATCCACTTGCAGAATCCAAAGAAGGAGAGTTTCAAAACTGCTCCATCAACAGGATTGTTCACCTCTGTGAGTTGAATGCACTCATCACAGGAAACATTCTGAGAATGCTTCTGTCTAGGTTTGATGTGAAGATATACCCGTTTCGAAGGAAGGCCACAAAGTGGTCCAAATATCCACTTGCAGATTCTACAAAAAGAGTGTTTGAAAGCTGAACTAAGAAAGCAAGGTTCAACTCTGTGAGTTGAATGCAAACATCACAAAGAAGTTTCTCAGCATGCTTCCGTGTAGTTCTGGGAATTTTATCCCGTTTCCAACGAAATCCTCAGAGAGGTCCAAATATCCACTTGCAGATTCTACAGAAAGTGTGTTTGGAAACTGCTCCATCTAAAGCAATATTCAGCTCTGTTAGTTCAATGCAATGATCACTAAGAATTGTCTGTGAATGCTTCCCGTTTGGTTTTTAGATGAAGTTATTTCCTTTACTACAGTAGGCCTCAATGCAGTCCAAATCTCCAATCGCAGATTCTACAAAAAGATTGTTTACAACCTGCTCTATCTATAGGAATGTTCAACTCTGTGAGTCGAATGCAATCATCACAAAGTAGTTTCTGAGAATGCTTCCATCTAGTTTTTATGTGAAGATTTTCCTTTTCCACCACAGGCCTCAAAGCCCTCCAAATGTCCACTTGCAGATTCTAGAAAAAGAGGGTTTCAGAGCTGCTCTGTCAAGAGGAAAGTTCAATTCTTGAAGTGGAACACAAACATCACAAAGTAGTTTCTGAGAATGCTTCTGTTTAGTTTTTCTGTGAAGATGAACCCGTTTCCAACGAAATCTTCACAGAGGTCCACATATCAACTTGCAGAATCCAAAGAAAGAGAGTTTCAAAAGTGCTCCATCAACAGGATTGTTCACCTCTGTGAGTTGAATGCAGTCATCACAGGAAACATTCTGAGAATGCTTCTGTCTAGGTTTGATGTGAAGATATACCCGTTTCGAAGGAAGGCCACAAAGTGGTCCAAATATCCACTTGCAGATTCTACAAAAAGAGTGTTTGAAAGCTGAACTATGAAAACAAGGTTCAACTCTGTGAGTTGAATGCAAACATCACAAAGAAGTTTCTCAGAATGCTTCCGTGTAGTTCTGTGAAGTTTATCCCGTTTCCAACGAAATCCTCAGAGAAGTCCAAATATCCACTTGCAGATTCTACAGAAAGTGTGTTTGGAAACTGCTCTATCTAAAGGAATGTTCAGCTCTGTTAGTTCAATCCAATGATCACTAAGAATTGTCTGTGAATGCTTTCCGTTTGGTTTTTAGATGAAGTAATTTCCTTTACTACAGTAGGCCTCAAAGCAGTCCAAATCTCCAATCGCAGATTCTACAAAAAGATTGTTTACAACCTGCTCTATCTATAGGAATGTTCAACTCTGTGAGTCGAATGCAATCATCACAAAGTAGTTTCTGAGAATGCTTCCATCTAGTTTTTATGTGAAGATTTTCCTTTTCCACCACAGGCCTCAAAGCCCTCCAAATGTCCACTTGCAGATTCTAGAATAAGAGGGTTTCAGAGCTGCTCTGTCAAGAGGAAAGTTCAATTCCTGAAGTGGAACACAAACATCACAAAGCAGTTTCTGAGAATGCTTCTGTTTAGTTTTTCTGTGAAGATGAACCCGTTTCCAACGAAATCTTCACAGAGGTCCACATATCCACTTGCAGAATCCAAAGAAAGAGAGTTTCAAAACTGCTCCATCAGCAGGATTGTTCACCTCTGTGAGTTGAATGCAGTCATCACAGGAAACATTCTGAGAATGCTTCTGTCTAGGTTTGATGTGAAGATATACCCGTTTCGAAGGAAGGCCACAAAGTGGTCCAAATATCCACTTGCAGATTCTACAAAAAGAGTGTTTGAAAGCTGAACTATGAAAGCAAGGTTCAACTCTGTGAGTTGAATGCAAACATCACAAAGAAGTTTCTCAGCATGCTTCCGTGTAGTTCTGGGAATTTTATCCCGTTTCCAACGAAATCCTCAGGGAGGTCCAAATATCCACTTGCAGATTCTACAGAAAGTGTGTTTGGAAACTGCGCCATCTAAAGGAATGTTCAGCTCTGTTAGTTCAATGCAGTGATCACTAAGAATTGTCTGTGAATGCTTCCGTTTGGTTTTTAGATGAAGTTATTTCCTTTACTACAGTAGGACTCAAAGCAGTCCAAATCTCCAATCGCAGATTCTACAAAAAGATTGTTTACAACCTGCTCTATCTATAGGAATGTTCAACTCTGTGAGTCGAATGCAATCATCACAAAGTAGTTTCTGAGAATGCTTCCATCTAGTTTTTATGTGAAGATTTTCCTTTTCCACCACAGGCCTCAAAGCCCTCCAAATGTCCACTTGCAGATTCTAGAATAAGAGGGTTTCAGAGCTGCTCTGTCAAGAGGAAAGTTCAATTCTTGAAGTGGAACACAAACATCACAAAGCAGTTTCTGAGAATGCTCCTGTTTAGTTTTTCTGTGAAGATGAACCCGTTTCCAACGAAATCTTCACAGAGGTCCACATATCCACTTGCAGAATCCAAAGAAAGAGAGTTTCAAAACTGCTCCAACAGCAGGATTGTTCACCTCTGTGACTTGAATGCAGTCATCACAGGAAACATTCTGAGAATGCTTCTGTCTAGGTTTGATGTGAAGATATACCCGTTTCGAAGGAAGGCCACAAAGTGGTCCAAATATCCACTTGCAGATTCTACAAAAAGAGTGTTTGAAAGCTGAACTATGAAAGCAAGGTTCAACCCTGTGAGTTGAATACAAACATCACAAAGAAGTTTCTCACAATGCTTCCGTGTAGTTCTGGGAATTTATCCCGTTTCCAACGAAATCCTCAGAGAAGTCCAAATATCCACTTGCAGATTCTACAGAAAGTGGGTTTGGAAACTGCTCCATCTAAAGGAATGTTCAGCTCTGTTAGTTCAATCCAATGATCACTAAGAATTGTCTGTGAATGCTTCCGTTTGGTTTTTAGATGAAGTTATTTCCTTTACTACAGTAGGCCTCAAAGCAGTCCAAATCTCCAATCGCAGATTCTACAAAAAGATTGTTTACAACCTGCTCTATCTATAGGAATGTTCAACTCTGTGAGTCGAATGCAATCATCACAAAGTAGTTTCTGAGAATGCTTCCATCTAGTATTTATGTGAAGATTTTCCATTTCCACCACAGGCCTCAAAGCCCTCCAAATGTCCACTTGCAGATTCTAGAAAAAGAGGGTTTCAGAGCTGCTCTGTCAAGAGGAAAGTTCAATTCCTGAAGTGGAACACAAATATCACAAAGCAGTTTCTGAGAATGCTTCTGTTTAGTTTTTCTGTGAAGATGAACCCGTTTCCAACGAAATCTTCACAGAGGTCCACATATCCACTTGCAGAATCCAAAGAAAGAGAGTTTCAAAACTGCTCCATCAGCAGGATTGTTCACCTCTGTGAGTTGAATGCAGTCATCACAGGAAACATTCTGAGAATGCTTCTGTCTAGGTTTGATGTGAAGATATACCCGTTTCGAAGGAAGGCCACAAAGTGGTCCAAATATCCACTTGCAGATTCTACAAAAAGAGTGTTTGAAAGCTGAACTATGAAAGCAAGGTTCAACACTGTGAGTTGAATGCAAACATCACAAAGAAGTTTCTCAGAATGCTTCCCTGTAGTTCTGGGAAGTTTATCCCGTTTCCAACGAAATCCTCAGAGAAGTCCAAATATCCACTTGCAGATTCTACAGAAAGTGTGTTTGGAAACTGCTCCATCTAAAGGAATGTTCAGCTCTGTTAGTTCAATCCAATGATCACTAAGAATTGTCTGTGAATGCTTCCGTTTGGTTTTTAGATGAAGTTATTTCCTTTACTACAGTAGGCCTCAAAGCAGTCCAAATCTCCAATCGCAGATTCTACAAAAAGATTGTTTACAACCTGCTCTATGTATAGGAATGTTCAACTCTGTGAGTCGAATGCAATCATCACAAAGTAGTTTCTGAGAATGCTTCCATCTAGTTTTTATGTGAAGATTTTCCTTTTCCACCACAGGCCTCAAAGCCCTCCAAATGTCCACTTGCAGATTCTAGAATAAGAGGGTTTTAGAGCTGCTCTGTCAAGAGGAAAGTTCAATTCCTGAAGTGGAACACAAACATCACAAAGCAGTTTCTGAGAATGCTCCTGTTTAGTTTTTCTGTGAAGATGAACCCGTTTCCAACGAAATCTTCACAGAGGTCCACATATCCACTTGCAGAATCCAAAGAAAGAGAGTTTCAAAACTGCTCCATCAGCAGGATTGTTCACCTCTGTGAGTTGAATGCAGTCATCACAGGAAACATTCTGAGAATGCTTCTGTCTAGGTTTGATGTGAAGATGTACCCTTTTCAAAGGAAGGCCACAAAGTGGTCCAAATATCCACTTGCAGATTCTACAAAAAGAGTGTTTGAAAGCTGAACTATGAAAGCAAGGTTCAACTCTGTGAGTTGAATGCAAACATCAGAAAGATGATTCTCACAATGCTTCCGTGTAGTTCTGGGAAGTTTATCCCATTTCCAACGAAATCCTCAGAGAAGTCCAAATATCCACTTGCAGATTCTGCAGAAAGTGTGTTTGGAAACTGCTCCATCTAAAGGAATGTTCAGCTCTGTTAGTTCAATCCAATGATCACTAAGAATTGTCTGTGAATGCTTCCGTTTGGTTTTTAGATGAAGTTATTTCCTTTACTACAGTAGGCCTCAAAGCAGTCCAAATCTCCAATCGCAGATTCTACAAAAACATTGTTTACAACCTGCTCTATCTATAGGAATGTTCAACTCTGTGAGTCGAATGCAATCATCACAAAGTAGTTTCTGAGAATGCTTCCATCTAGTTTTTATGGGAAGATTTTCCTTTTCCACCACAGGCCTCAAAGCCCTCCAAATGTCCACTTGCAGATTCCAGAAAAAGAGGGTTTCAGAGCTGCTCTGTCAAGAGGAAAGTTCAATTCTTGAAGTGGAACACAAACATCACAAAGCAGTTTCTGAGAATGCTCCTGTTTAGTTTTTCTGTGAAGATGAACACGTTTCCAACGAAATCTTCACAGAGGTCCACATATCCACTTGCAGAATCCAAGAAAGAGAGTTTCAAAACTGCTCCATCAGCAGGATTGTTCACCTCTGTGAGTTGAATGCAGTCATCACAGGAAACATTCTGAGAATGCTTCTGTCTAGGTTTGATGTGAAGATATACCCGTTTCGAAGGAAGGCCACAAAGTGGTCCAAATATCCACTTGCAGATTCTACAAAAAGAGTGTTTGAAAGCTGAACTATGAAAGCAAGGTTCAACTCTGTGAGTTGAATGCAAACATCACAAAGAAGTTTCTCACAATGCTTCCCTGTAGTTCTGGGAAGTTTATCCCGTTTCCAACGAAATCCTCAGAGAAGTCCAAATATCCACTTGCAGATTCTACAGAAAGTGTGTTTGGAAACTGCGCCATCTACAGGAATGTTCAGCTCTGTTAGTTCAATGCAATGATCACTAAGAATTGTCTGTGAATGCTTCCGTTTGGTTTTTAGATGAAGTTATTTCCTTTACTACAGTAGGCCTCAAAGCAGTCCAAATCTCCAATCGCAGATTCTACAAAAAGATTGTTTACAACCTGCTCTATCTATAGGAATGTTCAACTCTGTGAGTCGAATGCAATCATCACAAAGTAGTTTCTGAGAATGCTTCCATCTAGTTTTTATGTGAAGATTTTCCTTTTCCACCACAGGCCTCAAAGCCCTCCAAATGTCCACTTGCAGATTCTAGAAAAAGAGGGTTTCAGAGCTGCTCTGTCAAGAGGAAAGTTCAATTCTTGAAGTGGAACACAAACATCACAAAGCAGTTTCTGAGAATGTTTCTGTTTAGTTTTTCTGTGAAGATGAACCCGTTTCCAACGAAATCTTCACAGAGGTCCACATATCCACTTGCAGAATCCAAAGAAAGAGAGTTTCAAAACTGCTCCATCAGCAGGATTGTTCACCTCTGTGAGTTGAATGCAGTCATCACAGGAAACATTCTGAGAATGCTTCTGTCTAGGTTTGATGTGAAGATATACCCGTTTCGAAGGAAGGCCACAAAGTGGTCCAAATATCCACTTGCAGATTCTACAAAAAGAGTGTTTGAAAGCTGAACTATGAAAGCAAGGTTCAACTCTGTGAGTTGAATGCAAACATCACAAAGAAGTTTCTCACAATGCTTCCGTGTAGTTCTGGGAAGTTTATCCCGTTTCCAACGAAATCCTCAGAGAAGTCCAAATATCCACTTGCAGATTCTACAGAAAGTGTGTTTGGAAACTGCGCCATCTAAAGGAATGTTCAGCTCTGTTAGTTCAATCCAATGATCACTAAGAATTGTCTGTGAATGCTTCCGTTTGGTTTTTAGATGAAGTTATTTCCTTTACTACAGTAGGCCTCAAAGCAGTCCAAATCTCCAATCGCAGATTCTACAAAAAGATTGTTTACAACCTGCTCTATCTATAGGAATGTTCAACTCTGTGAGTCGAATGCAATCATCACAAAGTAGTTTCTGAGAATGCTTCCATCTAGTTTTTATGTGAAGATTTTCCTTTTCCACCACAGGCCTCAAAGCCCTCCAAATGTCCACTTGCAGACTCTAGAAAAAGAGGGTTTCAGAGCTGCTCTGTCAAGAGGAAAGTTCAATTCTTGAAGTGGAACACAAACATCACAAAGCAGTTTCTGAGAATGCTCCTGTTTAGTTTTTCTGTGAAGATGAACCCGTTTCCAACGAAATCTTCACAGAGGTCCACATATCCACTTGCAGAATCCAAAGAAAGGGAGTTTCAAAACTGCTCCATCAGCAGGATTGTTCACCTCTGTGAGTTGAATGCAGTCATCACAGGAAACATTCTGAGAATGCTTCTGTCTAGGTTTGATGTGAAGATATACCCGTTTCGAAGGAAGGCCACAAAGTGGTCCAAATATCCACTTGCAGATTCTACAAAAAGAGTGTTTGAAAGCTGAACTATGAAAGCAAGGTTCAACTCTGTGAGTTGAATGCAAACATCACAAAGAAGTTTCTCAGAATGCTTCCGTGTAGTTCTGGGAAGTTTATCCCGTTTCCAACGAAATCCTCAGAGAGGTCCAAATATCCACTTGCAGATTCTACAGAAAGTGTGTTTGGAAACTGCGCCATCTAAAGGAATGTTCAGCTCTGTTAGTTCAATGCAATGATCACTAAGAATTGTCTGTGAATGCTTCCGTTTGGTTTTTAGATGAAGTTATTTCCTTTACTACAGTAGGCCTCAAAGCAGTCCAAATCTCCAATCGCAGATTCTACAAAAAGATTGTTTACAACCTGCTCTATCTATAGGAATGTTCAACTCTGTGAGTCGAATGCAATCATCACAAAGTAGTTTCTGAGAATGCTTGCATCTAGTTTTTATGTGAAGATTTTCCTTTTCCACCACAGGCCTCAAAGCCCTCCAAATGTCCACTTGCAGATTCTAGAAAAAGAGGGTTTCAGAGCTGCTCTGTCAAGAGGAAAGTTCAATTCTTGAAGTGGAACACAAACATCACAATGCAGTTTCTGAGAATGCTTCTGTTTAGTTTTTCTGTGAAGATGAACCCGTTTCCAACGAAATCTTCACAGAGGTCCACATATCCACTTGCAGAATCCAAAGAAAGAGAGTTTCAAAACTGCTCCATCAACAGGATTGTTCGCCTCTGTGAGTTGAATGCAGTCATCACAGGAAACATTCTGAGAATGCTTCTGTCTAGGTTTGATGTGAAGATATACCCGTTTTCGAAGGAAGGCCACAAAGTGGTCCAAATATCCACTTGCAGATTCTACAAAAAGAGTGTTTGAAAGCTGAACTATGAAAGCAAGGTTCAACTCTGTGAGTTGAATGCAAACATCACAAAGAAGTTTCTCAGCATGCTTCCGTGTAGTTCTGGGAAGTTTATCCCGTTTCCAACGAAATCCTCAGAGAAGTCCAAATATCCACTTGCAGATTCTACAGAAAGTGGTGTTTGAAAACTGCTCCATCTAAAGGAATGTTCAGCTCTGTTAGTTCAATCCAATGATCACTAAGAATTGTCTGTGAATGCTTCCGTTTGGTTTTTAGATGAAGTTATTTCCTTTACTACAGTAGGCCTCAAAGCAGTCCAAATCTCCAATCGCAGATTCTACAAAAAGATTGTTTACAACCTGCTCTATGTATAGGAATGTTCAACTCTGTGAGTCGAATGCAATCATCACAAAGTAGTTTCTGAGAATGCTTCCATCTAGTTTTTATGTGAAGATTTTCCTTTTCCACCACAGGCCTCAAAGCCCTCCAAATGTCCACTTGCAGATTCTAGAATAAGAGGGTTTCAGAGCTGCTCTGTCAAGAGGAAAGTTCAATTCCTGAAGTGGAACACAAACATCACAAAGCAGTTTCTGAGAATGCTTCTGTTTAGTTTTTCTGTGAAGATGAACCCGTTTCCAACGAAATCTTCACAGAGGTCCACATATCCACTTGCAGAATCCAAAGAAAGAGAGTTTCAAAACTGCTCCATCAGCAGGATTGTTCACCTCTGTGAGTTGAATGCAGTCATCACAGGAAACATTCTGAGAATGCTTCTGTCTAGGTTTGATGTGAAGATATACCCGTTTCGAAGGAAGGCCACAAAGTGGTCCAAATATCCACTTCCAGATTCTACAAAAAGAGTGTTTGAAAGCTGAACTATGAAAGCAAGGTTCAACTCTGTGAGTTGAATGCAAACATCACAAAGAAGTTTCTCACAATGCTTCCTTGCAGTTCTGGGAAGTTTATCCCGTTTCCAACGAAATCCTCAGAGAGGTCCAAATATCCACTTGCAGATTCTACAGAAAGTGTGTTTGGAAACTGCGCCATCTAAAGGAATGTTCAGCTCTGTTAGTTCAATGCAATGATCACTAAGAATTGTCTGTGAATGCTTCCGTTTGGTTTTTAGATGAAGTTATTTCCTTTACTACAGTAGGCCTCAAAGCAGTCCAAATCTCCAATCGCAGATTCTACAAAAACATTGTTTACAACCTGCTCTATCTATAGGAATGTTCAACTCTGTGAGTCGAATGCAATCATCACAAAGTAGTTTCTGAGAATGCTTCCATCTAGTTTTTATGGGAAGATTTTCCTTTTCCACCACAGGCCTCAAAGCCCTCCAAATGTCCACTTGCAGATTCTAGAAAAAGAGGGTTTCAGAGCTGCTCTGTCAAGAGGAAAGTTCAATTCTTGAAGTGGAACACAAACATCACAAAGCAGTTTCTGAGAATGCTCCTGTTTAGTTTTTCTGTGAAGATGAACACGTTTCCAACGAAATCTTCACAGAGGTCCACATATCCACTTGCAGAATCCAAAGAAAGAGAGTTTCAAAACTGCTCCATCAGCAGGATTGTTCACCTCTGTGAGTTGAATGCAGTCATCACAGGAAACATTCTGAGAATGCTTCTGTCTAGGTTTGATGTGAAGATATACCCGTTTCGAAGGAAGGCCACAAAGTGGTCCAAATATCCACTTGCAGATTCTACAAAAAGAGTGTTTGAAAGCTGAACTATGAAAGCAAGGTTCAACTCTGTGAGTTGAATGCAAACATCACAAAGAAGTTTCTCACAATGCTTCCGTGTAGTTCTGGGAAGTTTATCCCGTTTCCAACGAAATCCTCAGAGAAGTCCAAATATCCACTTGCAGATTCTACAGAAAGTGTGTTTGGAAACTGCTCCATCTAAAGGAATGTTCAGCTCTGTTAGTTCAATCCAATGATCACTAAGAATTGTCTGTGAATGCTTCCGTTTGGTTTTTAGATGAAAGTTATTTCCTTTACTACAGTAGGCCTCAAAGCAGTCCAAATCTCCAATCGCAGATTCTACAAAAACATTGTTTACAACCTGCTCTATCTATAGTAATGTTCAACTCTGTGAGTCGAATGCAATCATCACAAAGTAGTTTCTGAGAATGCTTCCATCTAGTTTTTATGGGAAGATTTTCCTTTTCCACCACAGGCCTCAAAGCCCTCCAAATGTCCACTTGCAGATTCTAGAAAAAGAGGGTTTCAGAGCTGCTCTGTCAAGAGGAAAGTTCAATTCTTGAAGTGGAACACAAACATCACAAAGCAGTTTCTGAGAATGCTTCTGTTTAGTTTTTCTGTGAAGATGAACCCGTTTCCAACGAAATCTTCACAGAGGTCCACATATCCACTTGCAGAATCCAAAGAAAGAGAGTTTCAAAACTGCTCCATCAGCAGGATTGTTCACCTCTGTGAGTTGAATGCAGTCATCACAGGAAACATTCTGAGAATGCTTCTGTCTAGGTTTGATGTGAAGATATACCCGTTTCGAAGGAAGGCCACAAAGTGGTCCCAATATCCAATTGCAGATTCTACAAAAAGAGTGTTTGAAAGCTGAACTATGAAAGCAAGGTTCAACTCTGTGAGTTGAATGCAAACATCACAAAGAAGTTTCTCAGAATGCTTCCCTGTAGTTCTGGGAAGTTTATGCCGTTTCCAACGAAATCCTCAGAGAAGTCCAAATATCCACTTGCAGATTCTACAGAAAGTGTGTTTGGAAACTGCTCCATCTAAAGGAATGTTCAGCTCTGTTAGTTCAATCCAATGATCACTAAGATTTGTCTGTGAATGCTTCCGTTTGGTTTTTAGATGAAGTTATTTCCTTTACTACAGTAGGCCTCAAAGCAGTCCAAATCTCCAATCGCAGATTCTACAAAAAGATTGTTTACAACCTGCTCTACCTATAGGAATGTTCAACTCTGTGAGTCGAATGCAATCATCACAAAGTAGTTTCTGAGAATGCTTCCATCTAGTTTTCATGTGAAGATTTTCCTTTTCCACCACAGGCCTCAAAGCCCTCCAAATGTCCACTTGCAGATTCTAGAAAAAGAGGGTTTCAGAGCTGCTCTGTCAAGAGGAAAGTTCAATTCTTGAAGTGGAACACAAACATCACAAAGCAGTTTCTGAGAATGCTCCTGTTTAGTTTTTCTGTGAAGATGAACCCGTTTCCAACGAAATCTTCACAGAGGTCCACATATCCACTTGCAGAATCCAAAGAAAGAGAGTTTCAAAACTGCTCCATCAGCAGGATTGTTCACCTCTGTGAGTTGAATGCAGTCATCACAGGAAACATTCTGAGAATGCTTCTGTCTAGGTTTGATGTGAAGATATACCCGTTTCGAAGGAAGGCCACAAAGTGGTCCAAATATCCACTTGCAGATTCTACAAAAAGAGTGTTTGAAAGCTGAACTATGAAAGCAAGGTTCAACTCTGTGAGTTGAATGCAAACATCACAAAGAAGTTTCTCAGAATGCTTCCGTGTAGTTCTGGGAAGTTTATCCCGTTTCCAACGAAATCCTCAGAGAGGTCCAAATATCCACTTGCAGATTCTACAGAAAGTGTGTTTGGAAACTGCTCCATCTAAAGGAATGTTCAGCTCTGTTAGTTCAATCCAATGATCACTAAGAATTGTCTGTGAATGCTTCCGTTTGGTTTTTAGATGAAGTTATTTCCTTTACTACAGTAGGCCTCAAAGCAGTCCAAATCTCCAATCGCAGATTCTACAAAAAGATTGTTTACAACCTGCTCTATCTATAGGAATGTTCAACTCTGTGAGTCGAATGCAATCATCACAAAGTAGTTTCTGAGAATGCTTCCATCTAGTTTTTATGTGAAGATTTTCCTTTTCCACCACAGGCCTCAAAGCCCTCCAAATGTCCACTTGCAGATTCTAGAAAAAGAGGGTTTCAGAGCTGCTCTGTCAAGAGGAAAGTTCAATTCCTGAAGTGGAACACAAACATCACAAAGCAGTTTCTGAGAATGCTCCTGTTTAGTTTTTCTGTGAAGATGAACCCGTTTCCAACGAAATCTTCCCAGAGGTCCATATATCCACTTGCAGAATCCAAAGAAAGAGAGATTCAAAAGTGCTCCATCAACAGGATTGTTCACCTCTGTGAGTTGAATGCAGTCATCACAGGAAACATTCTGAGAATGCTTCTGTCTAGGTTTGATGTGAAGATATACCCGTTTCGAAGGAAGGCCACAAAGTGGTCCAAATATCCACTTGCAGATTCTACAAAAAGAGTGTTTGAAAGCTGAACTATGAAAGCAAGGTTCAACTCTGTGAGTTGAATGCAAACATCACAAAGAAGTTTCTCAGAATGCTTCCGTGTAGTTCTGGGAAGTTTATCCCGTTTCCAACGAAATCCTCAGAGAAGTCCAAATATCCACTTGCAGATTCTACAGAAAGTGTGTTTGGAAACTGCGCCATCTAAAGGAATGTTCAGCTCTGTTAGTTCAATGCAATGATCACTAAGAATTGTCTGTGAATGCTTCCGTTTGGTTTTTAGATGAAGTTATTTCCTTTACTACAGTAGGCCTCAAAGCAGTCCAAATTTCCAATCGCAGATTCTACAAAAAGATTGTTTACAACCTGCTCTATCTATAGGAATGTTCAACTCTGTGAGTCGAATGCAATCATCACAAAGTAGTTTCTGAGAATGCTTCCATCTAGTTTTTATGTGAAGATTTTCCTTTTCCACCACAGGCCTCAAAGCCCTCCAAATGTCCACTTGCAGATTCTAGAATAAGAGGGTTTCAGAGCTGCTCTGTCAAGAGGAAAGTTCAATTCCTGAAGTGGAACACAAACATCACAAAGCAGTTTCTGAGAATGCTCCTGTTTAGTTTTTCTGTGAAGATGTACCCGTTTCCAACGAAATCTTCACAGAGGTCCACATATCCACTTGCAGAATCCAAAGAAAGAGAGTTTCAAAACTGCTCCATCAACAGGATGGTTCACCTCTGTGAGTTGAATGCAGTCATCACAGGAAACATTCTGAGAATGCTTCTGTCTAGGTTTGATGTGAAGATATACCCGTTTCGAAGGAAGGCCACAAAGTGGTCCAAATATCCACTTGCAGATTCTACAAAAAGAGTGTTTGAAAGCTGAACTATGAAAGCAAGGTTCAACTCTGTGAGTTGAATGCAAACATCACAAAGAAGTTTCTCAGAATGCTTCCGTGTAGTTCTGGGAAGTTTATCCCGTTTCCAACGAAATCCTCAGAGAAGTCCAAATATCCACTTGCAGATTCTACAGAAAGTGTGTTTGGAAACTGCTCCATCTAAAGGAATGTTCAGCTCTGTTAGTTCAATGCAATGATCACTAAGAATTGTCTGTGAATGCTTCCGTTTGGTTTTTAGATGAAGTTATTTCCTTTACTACAGTAGGCCTCAAAGCAGTCCAAATCTCCAATCGCAGATTCTACAAAAAGATTGTTTACAACCTGCTCTATCTATAGGAATGTTCAACTCTGTGAGTCGAATGCAATCATCACAAAGTAGTTTCTGAGAATGCTTCCATCTAGTTTTTATGTGAAGATTTTCCTTTTCCACCACAGGCCTCAAAGCCCTCCAAATGTCCACTTGCAGATTCTAGAATAAGAGGGTTTCAGAGCTGCTCTGTCAAGAGGAAAGTTCAATTCCTGAAGTGGAACACAAACATCACAAAGCAGTTTCTGAGAATGCTTCTGTTTAGTTTTTCTGTGAAGATGAACCCGTTTCCAACGAAATCTTCACAGAGGTCCACATATCCACTTGCAGAATCCAAAGAAAGAGAGTTTCAAAACTGCTCCATCAGCAGGATTGTTCACCTCGGTGAGTTGAATGCAGTCATCACAGGAAACATTCTGAGAATGCTTCTGTCTAGGTTTGATGTGAAGATATACCCGTTTCGAAGGAAGGCCACAAAGTGGTCCAAATATCCACTTGCAGATTCTACAAAAAGAGTGTTTGAAAGCTGAACTATGAAAGCAAGGTTCAACTCTGTGAGTTGAATGCAAACATCACAAAGAAGTTTCTCAGAATGCTTCCGTGTAGTTCTGGGAAGTTTATCCCGTTTCCAACGAAATCCTCAGAGAGGTCCAAATATCCACTTGCAGATTCTACAGAAAGTGTGTTTGGAAACTGCTCCATCTAAAGGAATGTTCAGCTCTGTTAGTTCAATCCAATGATCACTAAGAATTGTCTGTGAATGCTTCCGTTTGGTTTTTAGATGAAGTTATTTCCTTTACTACAGTAGGCCTCAAAGCAGTCCAAATCTCCAATCGCAGATTCTACAAAAAGATTGTTTACAACCTGCTCTATCTATAGGAATGTTCAACTCTGTGAGTCGAATGCAATCATCACAAAGTAGTTTCTGAGAATGCTTCCATCTAGTTTTTATGTGAAGATTTTCCTTTTCCACCACAGGCCTCAAAGCCCTCCAAATGTCCACTTGCAGATTCTAGAAAAAGAGGGTTTCAGAGCTGCTCTGTCAAGAGGAAAGTTCAATTCCTGAAGTGGAACACAAACATCACAAAGCAGTTTCTGAGAATGCTCCTGTTTAGTTTTTCTGTGAAGATGAACCCGTTTCCAACGAAATCTTCACAGAGGTCCACATATCCACTTGCAGAATCCAAAGAAAGAGAGTTTCAAAACTGCTCCATCAGCAGGATTGTTCACCTCTGTGAGTTGAATGCAGTCATCACAGGAAACATTCTGAGAATGCTTCTGTCTAGGTTTGATGTGAAGATATACCCGTTTCGAAGGAAGGCCACAAAGTGGTCCAAATATCCACTTGCAGATTCTACAAAAAGAGTGTTTGAAAGCTGAACTATGAAAGCAAGGTTCAACTCTGTGAGTTGAATGCAAACATCACAAAGAAGTTTCTCAGAATGCTTCCGTGTAGTTCTGGGAAGTTTATCCCGTTTCCAACGAAATCCTCAGAGAAGTCCAAATATCCACTTGCAGATTCTACAGAAAGTGTGTTTGGAAACTGCTCCATCTAAAGGAATGTTCAGCTCTGTTAGTTCAATCCAATGATCACTAAGAATTGTCTGTGAATGCTTCCGTTTGGTTTTTAGATGAAGTTATTTCCTTTACTACAGTAGGCCTCAAAGCAGTCCAAATCTCCAATCGCAGATTCTACAAAAAGATTGTTTACAACCTGCTCTATCTATAGGAATGTTCAACTCTGTGAGTCGAATGCAATCATCACAAAGTAGTTTCTGAGAATGCTTCCATCTAGTTTTTATGTGAAGATTTTCCTTTTCCACCACAGGCCTCAAAGCCCTCCAAATGTCCACTTGCAGATTCTAGAAAAAGAGGGTTTCAGAGCTGCTCTGTCAAGAGGAAAGTTCAATTCTTGAAGTGGAACACAAACATCACAAAGCAGTTTCTGAGAATGTTCCTGTTTAGTTTTTCTGTGAAGATGAACCCGTTTCCAACGAAATCTTCACAGAGGTCCACATATCCACTTGCAGAATCCAAAGAAAGAGAGTTTCAAAACTGCTCCATCAGCAGGATTGTTCACCTCTGTGAGTTGAATGCAGTCATCACAGGAAACATTCTGAGAATGCTTCTGTCTAGGTTTGATGTGAGGATATACCCGTTTCCAAGGAAGGCCACAAAGTGGTCCAAATATCCACTTGCAGATTCTACAAAAAGAGTGTTTGAAAGCTGAACTATGAAAGCAAGGTTCAACTCTGTGAGTTGAATGCAAACATCCAAAGAAGTTTCTCAGAATGCTTCCGTGTAGTTCTGGGAAGTTTATCCCGTTTCCAACGAAATCCTCAGAGAAGTCCAAATATCCACTTGCAGATTCTACAGAAAGTGTGTTTGGAAACTGCGCCATCTAAAGGAATGTTCAGCTCTGTTAGTTCAATGCAATGATCACTAAGAATTGTCTGTGAATGCTTCCGTTTGGTTTTTAGATGAAGTTATTTCCTTTACTACAGTAGGCCTCAAAGCAGTCCAAATCTCCAATCGCAGATTCTACAAAAAGATTGTTTACAACCTGCTCTATCTATAGGAATGTTCAACTCTGTGAGTCGAATGCAATCATCACAAAGTAGTTTCTGAGAATGCTTCCATCTAGTTTTTATGTGAAGATTTTCCTTTTCCACCACAGGCCTCAAAGCCCTCCAAATGTCCACTTGCAGATTCTAGAAAAAGAGGGTTTCAGAGCTGCTCTGTCAAGAGGAAAGTTCAATTCTTGAAGTGGAACACAAACATCACATAGCAGTTTCTGAGAATGCTCCTGTTTAGTTTTTCTGTGAAGATGAACCCGTTTCCAACGAAATCTTCACAGAGGTCCACATATCCACTTGCAGAATCCAAAGAAAGAGAGTTTCAAAACTGCACCATCAGCAGGATTGTTCACCTCTGTGAGTTGAATGCAGTCATCACAGGAAACATTCTGAGAATGCTTCTGTCTAGGTTTGATGTGAAGATATACCCGTTTCGAAGGAAGGCCACAAAGTGGTCCAAATATCCACTTGCAGATTCTACAAAAAGAGTGTTTGAAAGCTGAACTATGAAAGCAAGGTTCAACTCTGTGAGTTGAATGCAAACATCACAAAGAAGTTTCTCAGAATGCTTCCGTGTATTTCTGGGAAGTTTATCCCGTTTCCAACGAAATCCTCAGAGAGGTCCAAATATCCACTTGCAGATTCTACAGAAAGTGTGTTTGGAAACTGCGCCATCTAAAGGAATGTTCAGCTCTGTTAGTTCAATGCAATGATCACTAGGAATTGTCTGTGAATGCTTCCGTTTGGTTTTTAGATGAAGTTATTTCCTTTACTACAGTAGGCCTCAAAGCAGTCCAAATCTCCAATCGCAGATTCTACAAAAAGATTGTTTACAACCTGCTCTATCTATAGGAATGTTCAACTCTGTGAGTCGAATGCAATCATCACAAAGTAGTTTCTGAGAATGCTTCCATCTAGTTTTTATGTGAAGATTTTCCTTTTGCACCACAGGCCTCAAAGCCCTCCAAATGTCCACTTGCAGATTCTAGAAAAAGAGGGTTTCAGAGCTGCTCTGTCAAGAGGAAAGTTCAATTCTTGAAGTGGAACACAAACATCACAAAGCAGTTTCTGAGAATGCTTCTGTTTAGTTTTTCTGTGAAGATGAACCCTTTTCCAACGAAATCTTCACAGAGGTCCACATATCAACTTGCAGAATCCAAAGAAAGAGAGTTTCAAAACTGCTCCATCAACAGGATTGTTCACCTCTGTGAGTTGAATGCAGTCATCACAGGAAACATTCTGAGAATGCTTCTGTCTAGGTTTGATGTGAAGATATACCCGTTTCGAAGGAAGGCCACAAAGTGGTCCAAATATCCACTTGCAGATTCTACAAAAAGAGTGTTTGAAAGCTGAACTATGAAAGCAAGGTTCAACTCTGTGAGTTGAATGCAAACATCACAAAGAAGTTTCTCACAATGCTTCCGTGTAGTTCTGGGAAGTTTATCCCGTTTCCAACGAAATCCTCAGAGAGGTCCAAATATCCACTTGCAGATTCTACAGAAAGTGTGTTTGGAAACTGCGCCATCTAAAGGAATGTTCAGCTCTGTTAGTTCAATGCAATGATCACTAAGAATTGTCTGTGAATGCTTCCGTTTGGTTTTTAGATGAAGTTATTTCCTTTACTACAGTAGGCCTCAAAGCAGTCCAAATCTCCAATCGCAGATTCTACAAAAAGATTGTTTACAACCTGCTCTATCTATAGGAATGTTCAACTCTGTGAGTCGAATGCAATCATCACAAAGTAGTTTCTGAGAATGCTTCCATCTGGTTTTTATGTGAAGATTTTCCTTTTCCAACACAGGCCTCAAAGCCCTCCAAATGTCCACTTGCAGATTCTAGAAAAAGAGGGTTTCAGAGCTGCTCTGTCAAGAGGAAAGTTCAATTCCTGAAGTGGAACACAAACATCACAAAGCAGTTTCTGAGAATGCTTCTGTTTAGTTTTTCTGTGAAGATGAACCCGTTTCCAACGAAATCTTCACAGAGGTCCACATATCCACTTGCAGAATCCAAAGAAAGAGAGTTTCAAAACTGCTCCATCAGCAGGATTGTTCACCTCTGTGAGTTGAATGCAGTCATCACAGGAAACATTCTGAGAATGCTTCTGTCTAGGTTTGATGTGAAGATATACCCGTTTCGAAGGAAGGCCACAAAGTGGTCCAAATATCCACTTGCAGATTCTACAAAAAGAGTGTTTGAAAGCTGAACTATGAAAGCAAGGTTCAACTCTGTGAGTTGAATGCAAACATCACAAAGAAGTTTCTCAGAATGCTTCCGTGTAGTTCTGGGAAGTTTATCCCGTTTCCAACGAAATCCTCAGAGAAGTCCAAATATCCACTTGCAGATTCTACAGAAAGTGTGTTTGGAAACTGCGCCATCTAAAGGAATGTTCAGCTCTGTTAGTTCAACGCAATGATCACTAAGAATTGTCTGTGAATGCTTCCGTTTGGTTTTTAGATGAAGTTATTTCCTTTACTACAGTAGGCCTCAAAGCAGTCCAAATCTCCAATCGCAGATTCTACAAAAAGATTGTTTACAACCTGCTCTATCTATAGGAATGTTCAACTCTGTGAGTCGAATGCAATCATCACAAAGTAGTTTCTGAGAATGCTTCCATCTAGTTTGTATGTGAAGATTTTCCTTTTCCACCACAGGCCTCAAAGCCCTCCAAATGTCCACTTGCAGATTCTAGAATAAGAGGGTTTCAGAGCTGCTCTGTCAAGAGGAAAGTTCAATTCCTGAAGTGGAACACAAACATCACAAAGCAGTTTCTGAGAATGCTTCTGTTTAGTTTTTCTGTGAAGATGAACCCGTTTCCAACGAAATCTTCACAGAGGTCCAGATATCCACTTGCAGAATCCAAAGAAAGAGAGTTTCAAAACTACTCCATCAGCAGGATTGTTCACCTCTGTGAGTTGAATGCAGTCATCACAGGAAACATTCTGAGAATGCTTCTGTCTAGGTTTGATGTGAAGATATACCCGTTTCGAAGGAAGGCCACAAAGTGGTCCAAATATCCACTTGCAGATTCTACAAAAAGAGTGTTTGAAAGCTGAACTATGAAAGCAAGGTTCAACTCTGTGAGTTGAATGCAAACATCACAAAGAAGTTTCTCAGAATGCTTCCGTGTAGTTCTGGGAAGTTTATCCCGTTTCCAACGAAATCCTCAGAGAAGTCCAAATATCCACTTTCAGATTCTACAGAAAGTGTGTTTGGAAACTGCTCCATCTAAAGGAATGTTCAGCTCTGTTAGTTCAATCCAATGATCACTAAGAATTGTCTGTGAATGCTTCCGTTTGGTTTTTAGATGAAGTTATTTCCTTTACTACAGTAGGCCTCAAAGCAGTCCAAATCTCCAATCGCAGATTCTACAAAAAGATTGTTTACAACCTGCTCTATCTATAGGAATGTTCAACTCTGTGAGTCGAATGCAATCATCACAAAGTAGTTTCTGAGAATGCTTCCATCTAGTTTTTATGTGAAGATTTTCCTTTTCCACCACAGGCCTCAAAGCCCTCCAAATGTCCACTTGCAGATTCTAGAATAAGAGGGTTTCAGAGCTGCTCTGTCAAGAGGAAAGTTCAATTCCTGAAGTCGAACACAAACATCACAAAGCAGTTTCTGAGAATGCTTCTGTTTAGTTTTTCTGTGAAGATGAACCCGTTTCCAACGAAATCTTCACAGAGGTCCACATATCAACTTGCAGAATCCAAAGAAAGAGAGTTTCAAAAGTGCTCCATCAACAGGATTGTTCACCTCTGTGAGTTGAATGCAGTCATCACAGGAAACATTCTGAGAATGCTTCTGTCTAGGTTTGATGTGAAGATATACCCGTTTCGAAGGAAGGCCACAAAGTGGTCCAAATATCCACTTGCAGATTCTACAAAAAGAGTGTTTGAAAGCTGAACTATGAAAGCAAGGTTCAACTCTGTGAGTTGAATGCAAACATCACAAAGAAGTTTCTCAGCATGCTTCCGTGTAGTTCTGGGAAGTTTATCCCGTTTCCAACGAAATCCTCAGAGAAGTCCAAATATCCACTTGCAGATTCTACAGAAAGTGTGTTTGGAAACTGCTCCATCTAAAGGAATGTTCAGCTCTGTTAGTTCAATGCAATGATCACTAAGAATTGTCTGTGAATGCTTCCGTTTGGTTTTTAGATGAAGTTATTTCCTTTACTACAGTAGGCCTCAAAGCAGTCCAAATCTCCAATCGCAGATTCTACAAAAAGATTGTTTACAACCTGCTCTATGTATAGGAATGTTCAACTCTGTGAGTCGAATGCAATCATCACAAAGTAGTTTCTGAGAATGCTTCCATCTAGTTTTTATGTGAAGATTTTCCTTTTCCACCACAGGCCTCAAAGCCCTCCAAATGTCCACTTGCAGATTCTAGAATAAGAGGGTTTTAGAGCTGCTCTGTCAAGAGGAAAGTTCAATTCCTGAAGTGGAACACAAACATCACAAAGCAGTTTCTGAGAATGCTTCTGTTTAGTTTTTCTGTGAAGATGAACCCGTTTCCAACGAAATCTTCACAGAGGTCCACATATCAACTTGCAGAATCCAAAGAAAGAGAGTTTCAAAAGTGCTCCATCAACAGGATTGTTCACCTCTGTGAGTTGAATGCAGTCATCACAGGAAACATTCTGAGAATGCTTCTGTCTAGGTTTGATGTGAAGATATACCCGTTTCGAAGGAAGGCCACAAAGTGGTCCAAATATCCACTTGCAGATTCTACAAAAAGAGTGTTTGAAAGCTGAACTATGAAAGCAAGTTTCAACTCTGTGAGTTGAATGCAAACATCACAAAGAAGTTTCTCAGCATGCTTCCGTGTAGTTCTGGGAAGTTTATCCCGTTTCCAACGAAATCCTCAGAGAGGTCCAAATATCCACTTGCAGATTCTACATAAAGTGTGTTTGGAAACTGCTCCATCTAAAGGAATGTTCAGCTCTGTTAGTTCAATCCAATGATCACTAAGAATTGTCTGTGAATGCTTCCGTTTGGTTTTTAGATGAAGTTATTTCCTTTACTACAGTAGGCCTCAAAGCAGTCCAAATCTCCAATCGCAGATTCTACAAAAAGTTTGTTTACATCCTGCTCTATCTATAGGAATGTTCAACTCTGTGAGTCGAATGCAATCATCACAAAGTAGTTTCTGAGAATGCTTCCATCTAGTTTTATGTGAAGATTTTCCTTTTCCACCACAGGCCTCAAAGCCCTCCAAATGTCCACTTGCAGATTCTAGAAAAAGAGGGTTTCAGAGCTGCTCTGTCAAGAGGAAAGTTCAATTCTTGAAGTGGAACACAAACATCACAAAGCAGTTTCTGAGAATGCTTCTGTTTAGTTTTTCTGTGAAGATGAACCCGTTTCCAACGAAATCTTCACAGAGGTCCACATATCCACTTGCAGAATCCAAAGAAAGAGAGTTTCAAAACTGCTCCATCAGCAGGATTGTTCACCTCTGTGAGTTGAATGCAGTCATCACAGGAAACATTCTGAGAATGCTTCTGTCTAGGTTTGATGTGAAGATATACCCGTTTCGAAGGAAGGCCACAAAGTGGTCCAAATATCCACTTGCAGATTCCACAAAAAGAGTGTTTGAAAGCTGAACTATGAAAGCAAGGTTCAACTCTGTGAGTTGAATGCAAACATCACAAAGAAGTTTCTCACAATGCTTCCGTGTAGTTCTGGGAAGTTTATCCCGTTTCCAACGAAATCCTCAGAGAAGTCCAAATATCCACTTGCAGATTCTACAGAAAGTGGGTTTGGAAACTGCTCCATCTAAAGGAATGTTCAGCTCTGTTAGTTCAATCCAATGATCACTAAGAATTGTCTGTGAATGCTTCCGTTTGGTTTTTAGATGAAGTTATTTCCTTTACTACAGTAGGCCTCAAAGCAGTCCAAATCTCCAATCGCAGATTCTACAAAAAGATTGTTTACAACCTGATGTATCCATAGGAATATTCAACTCTGTGAGTCGAATGCAATCATCACAAAGTAGTTTCTGAGAATGCTTCCATCTAGTTTTTATGTGAAGATTTTCCTTTTCCACCACAGGCCTCAAAGCCCTCCAAATGTCCACTTGCAGATTCTAGAAAAAGAGGGTTTCAGAGCTGCTCTGTCAAGAGGAAAGTTCAGTTCCTGAAGTGGAACACAAACATCACAAAGCAGTTTCTGAGAATGCTTCTGTTTAGTTTTTCTGTGAAGATGAACCCGTTTCCAACGAAATCTTCACAGAGGTCCACATATCCACTTGCAGAATCCAAAGAAAGAGAGTTTCAAAAGTGCTCCATGAACAGGATTGTTCACCTCTGTGAGTTGAATGCAGTCATCACAGGAAACATTCTGAGAATGCTTCTGTCTAGGTTTGATGTGAAGATATACCCGTTTCGAAGGAAGGCCACAAAGTGGTCCAAATATCCACTTGCAGATTCTACAAAAAGAGTGCTTGAAAGCTGAACTATGAAAACAAGGTTCAACTCTGTGAGTTGAATGCAAACATCACAAAGAAGTTTCTCACAATGCTTCCGTGTAGTTCTGGGAAGTTTATCCCGTTTCCAACGAAATCCTCAGAGAAGTCCAAATATCCACTTGCAGATTCTACAGAAAGTGGGTTTGGAAACTGCTCCATCTAAAGGAATGTTCAGCTCTGTTAGTTCAATCCAATGATCACTAAGAATTGTCTGTGAATGCTTCCGTTTGGTTTTTAGATGAAGTAATTTCCTTTACTACAGTAGGCTTCAAAGCAGTCCAAATCTCCAATCGCAGATTCTACAAAAAGATTGTTTACAACCTGCTCTATCTATAGGAATGTTGAACTCTGTGAGTCGAATGCAATCATCACAAAGTAGTTTCTGAGAATGCTTCCATCTAGTTTTTATGTGAAGATTTTCCTTTTCCACCACAGGCCTCAAAGCCCTCCAAATGTCCACTTGCAGATTCTAGAATAAGAGGGTTTCAGAGCTGCTCTGTCAAGAGGAAAGTTCAATTCCTGAAGTGGAACACAAACATCACAAAGCAGTTTCTGAGAATGCTTCTGTTTAGTTTTTCTGTGAAGATGAACCCGTTTCCAACGAAATCTTCACAGAGGTCCACATATCCACTTGCAGAATCCAAAGAAAGAGAGTTTCAAAACTGCTCCATCAGCAGGATTGTTCACCTCTGTGAGTTGAATGCAGTCATCACAGGAAACATTCTGAGAATGCTTCTGTCTAGGTTTGATGTGAAGATATACCCGTTTCGAAGGAAGGCCACAAAGTGGTCCAAATATCCACTTGCAGATTCTACAAAAAGAGTGTTTGAAAGCTGAACTATGAAAGCAAGGTTCAACTCTGTGAGTTGAATGCAAACATCACAAAGAAGTTTCTCACAATGCTTCCCTGTAGTTCTGGGAAGTTTATCCCTTTTCCAACGATATCCTCAGAAAAGTCCAAATATCCACTTGCAGATTCTACAGAAAGTGTGTTTGGAAACTGCTCCATCTAAAGGAATGTTCAGCTCTGTTAGTTCAATGCAATGATCACTAAGAATTGTCTGTGAATGCTTCCGTTTGGTTTTTAGATTAAGTTATTTCCTTTACTACAGTAGGCCTCAAAGCAGTCCAAATCTCCAATCGCAGATTCTACAAAAAGATTGTTTACAACCTGCTCTATCTATAGGAATGTTCAACTCTGTGAGTCGAATGCAATCATCACAAAGTAGTTTCTGAGAATGCTTCCATCTAGTTTTTATGTGAAGATTTTCCTTTTCCACCACAGGCCTCAAAGCTCTCCAAATGTCCACTTGCAGATTCTAGAATAAGAGGGTTTCAGAGCTGCTCTGTCAAGAGGAAAGTTCAATTCCTGAAGTGGAACACAAACATCACAAAGCAGTTTCTGAGAATGCTTCTGTTTAGTTTTTCTGTGAAGATGAACCCGTTTCCAACGAAATCTTCACAGAGGTCCACATATCCACTTGCAGAATCCAAAGAAAGAGAGTTTCAAAACTGCTCCATCAGCAGGATTGTTCACCTCTGTGAGTTGAATGCAGTCATCACAGGAAACATTCTGAGAATGCTTCTGTCTAGGTTTGATGTGAAGATATACCCGTTTCCAAGGAAGGCCACAAAGTGGTCCAAATATCCACTTGCAGATTCTACAAAAGGAGTGTTTGAAAGCTGAACTATGAAAGCAAGGTTCAACTCTGTGAGTTGAATGCAAACATCACAAAGAAGTTTCTCACAATGCTTCCGTGTAGTTCTGGGAAGTTTATCCCGTTTCCAACGAAATCCTCAGAGAAGTCCAAATATCCACTTGCAGATTCTACAGAAAGTGTGTTTGGAAACTGCGCCATCTAAAGGAATGTTCAGCTCTGTTAGTTCAATGCAATGATCACTAAGAATTGTCTGTGAATGCTTCCGTTTGGTTTTTAGATGAAGTTATTTCCTTTACTACAGTAGGCCTCAAAGCAGTCCAAATCTCCAATCGCAGATTCTACAAAAAGATTGTTTACAACCTGCTCTATCTATAGGAATGTTCAACTCTGTGAGTCGAATGCAATCATCACAAAGTAGTTTCTGAGAATGCTTCCATCTAGTTTTTATGTGAAGATTTTCCTTTTCCACCACAGGCCTCAAAGCCCTCCAAATGTCCACTTGCAGATTCTAGAAAAAGAGGGTTTCAGAGCTGCTCTGTCAAGAGGAAAGTTCAATTCTTGAAGTGGAACACAAACATCACAAAGCAGTTTCTGAGAATGTTTCTGTTTAGTTTTTCTGTGAAGATGAACCCGTTTCCAACGAAATCTTCACAGAGGTCCACATATCCACTTGCAGAATCCAAAGAAAGAGAGTTTCAAAACTGCTCCATCAGCAGGATTGTTCACCTCTGTGAGTTGAATGCAGTCATCACAGGAAACATTCTGAGAATGCTTCTGTCTAGGTTTGATGTGAAGATATACCCTTTTCAAAGGAAGGCCACAAAGTGGTCCAAATATCCACTTGCAGATTCTACAAAAAGAGTGTTTGAAAGCTGAACTATGAAAGCAAGGTTCAACTCTGTGAGTTGAATGCAAACATCACAAAGAAGTTTCTCACAATGCTTCCGTGTAGTTCTGGGAAGTTTATCCCGTTTCCAACGAAATCCTCAGAGAGGTCCAAATATCCACTTGCAGATTCTACAGAAAGTGTGTTTGGAAACTGCGCCATCTAAAGGAATGTTCAGCTCTGTTAGTTCAATCCAATGATCACTAAGAATTGTCTGTGAATGCTTCCGTTTAGTTTTTAGATGAAGTTATTTCCTTTACTACAGTAGGCCTCAAAGCAGTCCAAATTTCCAATCGCAGATTCTACAAAAAGATTGTTTACAACCTGCTCTATCTATAGGAATGTTCAACTCTGTGAGTCGAATGCAATCATCACAAAGTAGTTTCTGAGAATGCTTCCATCTAGTTTTTATGTGAAGATTTTCCTTTTCCACCACAGGCCTCAAAGCCCTCCAAATGTCCACTTGCAGATTCTAGAAAAAGAGGGTTTCAGAGCTGCTCTGTCAAGAGGAAAGTTCAATTCTTGAAGTGGAACACAAACATCACAAAGCAGTTTCTGAGAATGCTCCTGTTTAGTTTTTCTGTGAAGATGAACCCGTTTCCAACGAAATCTTCACAGAGGTCCACATATCCACTTGTAGAATCCAAAGAAAGAGAGTTTCAAAACTGCTCCATCAGCAGGATTGTTCACCTCTGTGATTTGAATGCAGTCATCACAGGAAACATTCTGAGAATGCTTCTATCTAGGTTTGATGTGAAGATATACCCGTTTCGAAGGAAGGCCACAAAGTGGTCCAAATATCCACTTGCAGATTCTACAAAAAGAGTGTTTGAAAGCTGAACTATGAAAGCAAGGTTCAACTCTGTGAGTTGAATGCAAACATCACAAAGAAGTTTCTCACAATGCATCCGTGTAGTTCTGGGAAGTTTATCCCGTTTCCAACGAACTCCTCAGAGAGGTCCAAATATCCACTTGCAGATTCTACAGAAAGTGTGTTTGGACACTGCTCCATCTAAAGGAATGTTCAGCTCTGTTAGTTCAATCCAATGATCACTAAGAATTGTCTGTGAATGCTTCCGTTTGGTTTTTAGATGAAGTTATTTCCTTTACTACAGTAGGCCTCAAAGCAGTCCAAATCTCCAATCGCAGATTCTACAAAAAGATTGTTTACAACCTGCTCTATCTATAGGAATGTTCAACTCTGTGAGTCGAATGCAATCATCACAAAGTAGTTTCTGAGAATGCTTCCATCTAGTTTTTATGTGAAGATTTTCCTTTTCCACCACAGGCCTCAAAGCCCTCCAAATGTCCACTTGCAGATTCTAGAAAAAGAGGGTTTCAGAGCTGCTCTGTCAAGAGGAAAGTTCAATTCTTGAAGTGGAACACAAACATCACAAAGTAGTTTCTGAGAATGCTTCTGTTTAGTTTTTCTGTGAAGATGAACCCGTTTCCAACGAAATCTTCACAGAGGTCCACATATCAACTTGCAGAATCCAAAGAAAGAGAGTTTCAAAAGTGCTCCATCAACAGGATTGTTCACCTCTGTGAGTTGAATGCAGTCATCACAGGAAACATTCTGAGAATGCTTCTGTCTGTGTTTGATGTGAAGATATACCCGTTTCGAAGGAAGGCCACAAAGTGGTCCAAATATCCACTTGCAGATTCTACAAAAATAGTGTTTGAAAGCTGAACTATGAAAGCAAGGTTCAACTCTGTGAGTTGAATGCAAACATCACAAAGAAGTTTCTCAGAATGCTTCCGTGTAGTTCTGGGAAGTTTATCCCGTTTCCAACGAAATCCTCAGAGAGGTCCAAATATCCACTTGCAGATTCTACAGAAAGTGTGTTTGGAAACTGCGCCATCTAAAGGAATGTTCAGCTCTGTTAGTTCAATGCAATGATCACTAAGAATTGTCTGTGAATGCTTCCGTTTGGTTTTTAGATGAAGTTATTTCCTTTACTACAGTAGGCCTCAAAGCAGTCCAAATTTCCAATCGCAGATTCTACAAAAAGATTGTTTACAACCTGCTCTATCTATAGGAATGTTCAACTCTGTGAGTCGAATGCAATCATCACAAAGTAGTTTCTGAGAATGCTTCCATCTAGTTTTTATGTGAAGATTTTCCTTTTCCACCACAGGCCTCAAAGCCCTCCAAATGTCCACTTGCAGATTCTAGAATAAGAGGGTTTCAGAGCTGCTCTGTCAAGAGGAAAGTTCAATTCTTGAAGTGGAACACAAACATAACAAAGCAGTTTCTGAGAATGCTTCTGTTTAGTTTTTCTGTGAAGATGAACCCGTTTCCAACGAAATCTTCACAGAGGTCCACATATCCACTTGCAGAATCCAAAGAAAGAGAGTTTCAAAACTGCTCCATCAGCAGGATTGTTCACCTCTGTGAGTTGAATGCAGTCATCACAGGAAACATTCTGAGAATGCTTCTGTCTAGGTTTGATGTGAAGATATACCCGTTTCGAAGGAAGGCCACAAAGTGGTCCAAATATCCACTTGCAGATTCTACAAAAAGAGTGTTTGAAAGCTGAACTATGAAAGCAAGGTTCAACTCTGTGAGTTGAATGCAAACATCACAAAGAAGTTTCTCACAATGCTTCCGTGTAGTTCTGGGAAGTTTATCCCGTTTCCAACGAAATCCTCAGAGAAGTCCAAATATCCACTTGCAGATTCTACAGAAAGTGTGTTTGGAAACAGCGCCATCTAAAGGAGTTTTCAGCTCTGTTAGTTCAATCCAATGATCACTAAGAATTGTCTGTGAATGCTTCCGTTTGGTTTTTAGATGAAGTTATTTCCTTTACTACAGTAGGCCTCAAAGCAGTCCAAATCTCCAATCGCAGATTCTACAAAAAGATTGTTTACAACCTGCTCTATCTATAGGAATGTTCAACTCTGTGAGTCGAATGCAATCATCACAAAGTAGTTTCTGAGAATGCTTCCATCTAGTTTTTATGTGAAGATTTTCCTTTTCCACCACAGGCCTCAAAGCCCTCCAAATGTCCACTTGCAGATTCTAGAATAAGAGGGTTTCAGAGCTGCTCTGTCAAGAGGAAAGTTCAATTCCTGAAGTGGAACACAAACATCACAAAGCAGTTTCTGAGAATGCTTCTGTTTAGTTTTTCTGTGAAGATGAACCCGTTTCCAACGAAATCTTCACAGAGGTCCACATATCCACTTGCAGAATCCAAAGAAAGAGAGTTTCAAAACTGCTCCATCAGCAGGATTGTTCACCTCTGTGAGTTGAATGCAGTCATCACAGGAAACATTCTGAGAATGCTTCTGTCTAGGTTTGATGTGAAGATATACCCGTTTCGAAGGAAGGCCACAAAGTGGTCCAAATATCCACTTGCAGATTCTACAAAAAGAGTGTTTGAAAGCTGAACTATGAAAGCAAGGTTCAACTCTGTGAGTTGAATGCAAACATCACAAAGAAGTTTCTCAGCATGCTTCCGTGTAGTTCTGGGAAGTTTATCCCTTTTCCAACGAAATCCTCAGAGAGGTCCAAATATCCACTTGCAGATTCTACAGAAAGTGTGTTTGGAAACTGCGCCATCTAAAGGAATGTTCAGCTCTGTTAGTTCAATGCAATGATCACTAAGAATTGTCTGTGAATGCTTCCGTTTGGTTTTTAGATGAAGTTATTTCCTTTACTACAGTAGGCCTCAAAGCAGTCCAAATCTCCAATCGCAGATTCTACAAAAAGATTGTTTACAACCTGCTCTATCTATAGGAATGTTCAACTCTGTGAGTCGAATGCAATCATCACAAAGTAGTTTCTGAGAATGCTTCCATCTGGTTTTCATGTGAAGATTTTCCTTTTCCACCACAGGCCTCAAAGCCCTCCAAATGTCCACTTGCAGATTCTAGAAAAAGAGGGTTTCAGAGCTGCTCTGTCAAGAGGAAAGTTCAATTCTTGAAGTGGAACACAAACATCACAAAGCAGTTTCTGAGAATGCTCCTGTTTAGTTTTTCTGTGAAGATGAACCCGTTTCCAACGAAATCTTCACAGAGGTCCCCATATCAACTTGCAGAATCCAAAGAAAGAGAGTTTCAAAACTGCTCCATCAACAGGATTGTTCACCTCTGTGAGTTGAATCCAGTCATCACAGGAAACATTCTGAGAATGCTTCTGTCTAGGTTTGATGTGAAGATATACCCGTTTCGAAGGAAGGCCACAAATTGGTCCAAATATCCACTTGCAGATTCTACAAAAAGAGTGTTTGAAAGCTGAACTATGAAAGCAAGGTTCAACTCTTTGAGTTGTATGCAAACATCACAAAGAAGTTTCTCAGAATGCTTCCGTGAAGTTCTGGGAAGTTTATCCCGTTTCCAACGAAATCCTCAGAGAAGTCCAAATATCCACTTGCAGATTCTACAGAAAGTGTGTTTGGTAACTGCTCCATCTAAAGGAATGTTCAGCTCTGTTAGTTCAATCCAATGATCACTAAGAATTATCTGTGAATGCTTCCGTTTGGTTTTTAGATGAAGTTATTTCCTTTACTACAGTAGGCCTCAAAGCAGTCCAAATCTCCAATCGCAGATTCTACAAAAAGATTGTTTACAACCTGCTCTATCTATAGGAATGTTCAACTCTGTGAGTCGAATGCAATCATCACAAAGTAGTTTCTGAGAATGCTTCCATCTAGTTTTTATGTGAAGATTTTCCTTTTCCACCACAGGCCTCAAAGCCCTCCAAATGTCCACTTGCAGATTCTAGAAAAAGAGGGTTTCAGAGCTGCTCTGTCAAGAGGAAAGTTCAATTCTTGAAGTGGAACACAAACATCACAAAGCAGTTTCTGAGAATGTTTCTGTTTAGTTTTTCTGTGAAGATGAACCCGTTTCCAACGAAATCTTCACAGAGGTCCACATATCCACTTGCAGAATCCAAAGAAAGAGAGTTTCAAAACTGCTCCATCAGCAGGATTGTTCACCTCTGTGAGTTGAATGCAGTCATCACAGGAAACATTCTGAGAATGCTTCTGTCTAGGTTTGATGTGAAGATATACCCGTTTCGAAGGAAGGCCACAAAGTGGTCCAAATATCCACTTGCAGATTCTACAAAAAGAGTGTTTGAAAGCTGAACTATGAAAGCAAGGTTCAACTCTGTGAGTTGAATGCAAACATCACAAAGAAGTTTCTCAGAATGCTTCCGTGTAGTTCTGGGAAGTTTATCCCGTTTCCAACGAAATCCTCAGAGAGGTCCAAATATCCACTTGCAGATTCTACAGAAAGTGTGTTTGGAAACTGCGCCATCTAAAGGAATGTTCAGCTCTGTTAGTTCAATGCAATGATCACTAAGGATTGTCTGTGAATGCTTCCGTTTGGTTTTTAGATGAAGTTATTTCCTTTACTACAGTAGGCCTCAAAGCAGTCCAAATCTCCAATCGCAGATTCTACAAAAAGATTGTTTACAACCTGCTCTATGTATAGGAATGTTCAACTCTGTGAGTCGAATGCAATCATCACAAAGTAGTTTCTGAGAATGCTTCCATCTAGTTTTTATGTGAAGATTTTCCTTTTCCACCACAGGCCTCAAAGCCCTCCAAATGTCCACTTGCAGATTCTAGAATAAGAGGGTTTCAGAGCTGCTCTGTCAAGAGGAAAGTTCAATTCTTGAAGTGGAACACAAACATCACAAAGCAGTTTCTGAGAATGCTCCTGTTTAGTTTTTCTGTGAAGATGAACCCGTTTCCAACGAAATCTTCACAGAGGTCCACATATCCACTTGCAGAATCCAAAGAAAGACAGTTTCAAAACTGCTCCATCAGCAGGATTGTTCACCTCTGTGAGTTGAATGCAGTCATCACAGGAAACACTCTGAGAATGCTTCTGTCTAGGTTTGATGTGAAGATATACCCGTTTCGAAGGAAGGCCACAAAGTGGTCCAAATATCCACTTGCAGATTCTACAAAAAGAGTGTTTGAAAGCTGAACTATGAAAGCAAGGTTCAACTCTGTGAGTTGAATGCAAACATCACAAAGAAGTTTCTCAGAATGCTTCCGTGTATTTCTGGGAAGTTTATCCCGTTTCCAACGAAATCCTCAGAGAGGTCCAAATATCCACTTGCAGATTCTACAGAAAGTGTGTTTGGAAACTGCGCCATCTAAAGGAATGTTCAGCTCTGTTAGTTCAATGCAATGATCACTAAGAATTGTCTGTGAATGCTTCCGTTTGGTTTTTAGATGAAGTTATTTCCTTTACTACAGTAGGCCTCAAAGCAGTCCAAATCTCCAATCGCAGATTCTACAAAAAGATTGTTTACAACCTGCTCTATCTATAGGAATGTTCAACTCTGTGAGTCGAATGCAATCATCACAAAGTAGTTTCTGAGAATGCTTCCATCTAGTTTTTATGTGAAGATTTTCCTTTTCCACCACAGGCCTCAAAGCCCTCCAAATGTCCACTTGCAGATTCTAGAATAAGAGGGCTTCAGAGCTGCTCTGTCAAGAGGAAAGTTCAATTCCTGAAGTGGAACACAAACATCACAAAGCAGTTTCTGAGAATGCTTCTGTTTAGTTTTTCTGTGAAGATGAACCCGTTTCCAACGAAATCTTCACAGAGGTCCACATATCCACTTGCAGAATCCAAAGAAAGAGAGTTTCAAAACTGCTCCATCAACAGGATTGTTCACCTCTGTGAGTTGAATGCAGTCATCACAGGAAACATTGCTGAGAATGCTTCTGTCTAGGTTTGATGTGAAGATATACCCGTTTCGAAGGAAGGCCACAAAGTGGTCCAAATATCCACTTGCAGATTCTACAAAAAGAGTGTTTGAAAGCTGAACTATGAAAGCAAGGTTCAACTCTGTGAGTTGAATGCAAACATCACAAAGAAGTTTCTCAGCATGCTTCCGTGTAGTTCTGGGAAGTTTATCCCGTTTCCAACGAAATCCTCAGAGAAGTCCAAATATCCACTTGCACATTCTACAGAAAGTGTGTTTGGAAACTGCTCCATCTAAAGGAATGTTCAGCTCTGTTAGTTCAATGCAATGATCACTAAGAATTGTCTGTGAATGCTTCCGTTTGGTTTTTAGATGAAGTTATTTCCTTTACTACAGTAGGCCTCAAAGCAGTCCAAATCTCCAATCGCAGATTCTACAAAAAGATTGTTTACAACCTGCTCTATCTATAGGAATGTTCAACTCTGTGAGTCGAATGCAATCATCACAAAGTAGTTTCTGAGAATGCTTCCATCTAGTTTTTATGTGAAGATTTTCCTTTTGCACCACAGGCCTCAAAGCCCTCCAAATGTCCACTTGCAGATTCTAGAAAAAGAGGGTTTCAGAGCTGCTCTGTCAAGAGGAAAGTTCAATTCTTGAAGTGGAACACAAACATCACAAAGCAGTTTCTGAGAATGCTCCTGTTTAGTTTTTCTGTGAAGATGAACCCGTTTCCAACGAAATCTTCACAGAGGTCCACATATCCACTTGCAGAATCCAAAGAAAGAGAGTTTCAAAACTGCTCCATCAGCAGGATTGTTCACCTCTGTGAGTTGAATGCAGTCATCACAGGAAACATTCTGAGAATGCTTCTGTCTAGGTTTGATGTGAAGATATACCCGTTTCGAAGGAAGGCCACAAAGTGGTCCAAATATCCACTTGCAGATTCTACAAAAAGAGTGTTTGAAAGCTGAACTATGAAAGCAAGGTTCAACTCTGTGAGTTGAATGCAAACATCACAAAGAAGTTTCTCACAATGCTTCCGTGTAGTTCTGGGAAGTTTATCCCGTTTCCAACGAAATCCTCAGAGAAGTCCAAATATCCACTTGCAGATTCTACAGAAAGTGTGTTTGGAAACTGCGCCATCTAAAGGAATGTTCAGCTCTGTTAGTTCAATGCAATGATCACTAAGAATTGTCTGTGAATGCTTCCGTTTGGTTTTTAGATGAAGTTATTTCCTTTACTACAGTAGGCCTCAAAGCAGTCCAAATCTCCAATCGCAGATTCTACAAAAAGATTGTTTACAACCTGCTCTATCTATAGGAATGTTCAACTCTGTGAGTCGAATGCAATCATCACAAAGTAGTTTCTGAGAATGCTTCCATCTAGTTTTTATGTGAAGATTTTCCTTTTCCACCACAGGCCTCAAAGCCCTCCAAATGTCCACTTGCAGATTCTAGAATAAGAGGGTTTTAGAGCTGCTCTGTCAAGAGGAAAGTTCAATTCCTGAAGTGGAACACAAACATCACAAAGCAGTTTCTGAGAATGCTTCTGTTTAGTTTTTCTGTGAAGATGAACCCGTTTCCAACGAAATCTTCACAGAGGTCCACATATCCACTTGCAGAATCCAAAGAAAGAGAGTTTCAAAACTGCTCCATCAGCAGGATTGTTCACCTCTGTGAGTTGAATGCAGTCATCACAGGAAACATTCTGAGAATGCTTCTGTCTAGGTTTGATGTGAAGATATACCCTTTTCAAAGGAAGGCCACAAAGTGGTCCAAATATCCACTTGCAGATTCTACAAAAAGAGTGTTTGAAAGCTGAACTATGAAAGCAAGGTTCAACTCTGTGAGTTGAATGCAAACATCACAAAGAAGTTTCTCACAATGCTTCCGTGTAGTTCTGGGAAGTACATCCCGTTTCCAACGAAATCCTCAGACAGGTCCAAATATCCACTTGCAGATTCTACAGAAAGTGTGTTTGGAAACTGCGCCATCTAAAGGAATGTTCAGCTCTGTTAGTTCAATGCAATGATCACTAAGAATTGTCTGTGAATGCTTCCGTTTGGTTTTTAGATGAAGTTATTTCCTTTACTACAGTAGGCCTCAAAGCAGTCCAAATCTCTAATCGCAGATTCTACAAAAAGATTGTTTACAACCTGCTCTATCTATAGGAATGTTCAACTCTGTGAGTCGAATGCAATCATCACAAAGGAGTTTCTGAGAATGCTTCCATCTAGTTTTTATGTGAAGATTTTCCTTTTCCACCACAGGCCTCAAAGCCCTCCAAATGTCCACTTGCAGATTCTAGAAAAAGAGGGTTTCAGAGCTGCTCTGTCAAGAGGAAAGTTCAATTCTTGAAGTGGAACACAAACATCACAAAGCAGTTTCTGAGAATGCTTCTGTTTAGTTTTTCTGTGAAGATGAACCCGTTTCCAACGAAATCTTCACAGAGGTCCACATATCCACTTGCAGAATCCAAAGAAAGAGAGTTTCAAAACTGCTCCATCAGCAGGATTGTTCACCTCTGTGAGTTGAATGCAGTCATCACAGGAAACATTCTGAGAATGCTTCTGTCTAGGTTTGATGTGAAGATATACCCGTTTCGAAGGAAGGCCACAAAGTGGTCCAAATATCCACTTGCAGATTCTACAAAAAGAGTGTTTGAAAGCTGAACTATGAAAGCAAGGTTCAACTCTGTGAGTTGAATGCAAACATCACAAAGAAGTTTCTCACAATGCTTCCGTGTAGTTCTGGGAAGTTTATCCCGTTTCCAACGAAATCCTCAGAGACGTCCAAATATCCACTTGCAGATTCTACAGAAAGTGTGTTTGGAAACTGCTCCATCTAAAGGAATGTTCAGCTCTGTTAGTTCAATGCAATGATCACTAAGAATTGTCTGTGAATGCTTCCGTTTGGTTTTTAGATGAAGTTATTTCCTTTACTACAGTAGGCCTCAAAGCAGTCCAAATCTCCAATCGCAGATTCTACAAAAAGATTGTTTACAACCTGCTCTATCTATAGGAATGTTCAACTCTGTGAGTCGAATGCAATCATCACAAAGTAGTTTCTGAGAATGCTTCCATCTAGTTTTTATGTGAAGATTTTCCTTTTCCACCACAGGCCTCAAAGCCCTCCAAATGTCCACTTGCAGATTCTAGAAAAAGAGGGTTTCAGAGCTGCTCTGTCAAGAGGAAAGTTCAATTCTTGAAGTGGAACACAAACATCACAAAGCAGTTTCTGAGAATGCTCCTGTTTAGTTTTTCTGTGAAGATGAACCCGTTTCCAACGAAATCTACACAGAGGTCCACATATCCACTTGCAGAATCCAAAGAAAGAGAGTTTCAAAACTGCTCCATCAGCAGGATTGTTCACCTCTGTGAGTTGAATGCAGTCATCACAGGAAACATTCTGAGAATGCTTCTGTCTAGGTTTGATGTGAAGATGTACCCGTTTCGAAGGAAGGCCACAAAGTGGTCCAAATATCCACTTGCAGATTCTACAAAAAGAGTGTTTGAAAGCTGAACTATGAAAGCAAGGTTCAACTCTGTGAGTTGAATGCAAACATCACAAAGAAGTTTCTCACAATGCTTCCCTGTAGTTCTGGGAAGTTTATCCCGTTTCCAACGAAATCCTCTGAGAAGTCCAAATATCCACTTGCAGATTCTACAGAAAGTGGGTTTGGAAACTGCTCCATCTAAAGGAATGTTCAGCTCTGTTAGTTCAATGCAATGATCACTAAGAATTGTCTGTGAATGCTTCCGTTTGGTTTTTAGATGAAGTTATTTCCTTTACTACAGTAGGCCTCAAAGCAGTCCAAATCTCCAATCGCAGATTCTACAAAAAGATTGTTTACAACCTGCTCTATCTATAGGAATGTTCAACTCTGTGAGTCGAATGCAATCATCACAAAGTAGTTTCTGAGAATGCTTCCATAAAGTTTTTATGTGAAGATTTTCCTTTTCCACCACAGGCCTCAAAGCCCTCCAAATGTCCACTTGCAGATTCTAGAAAAAGAGGGTTTCAGAGCTGCTCTGTCAAGAGGAAAGTTCAATTCTTTAAGTGGAACACAAACATCACAAAGCAGTTTCTGAGAATGCTCCTGTTTAGTTTTTCTGTGAAGATGAACCCGTTTCCAACGAAATCTTCACAGAGGTCCACATATCCACTTGCAGAATCCAAAGAAAGAGAGTTTCAAAACTGCTCCATCAGCAGGATTGTTCACCTCTGTGAGTTGAATGCAGTCATCACAGGAAACATTCTGAGAATGCTTCTGTCTAGGTTTAATGTGAAGATATACCCGTTTCGAAGGAAGGCCACAAAGTGGTCCAAATATCCACTTGCAGATTCTACAAAAAGAGTGTTTGAAAGCTGAACTATGAAAGCAAGGTTCAACTCTGTGAGTTGAATGCAAACATCACAAAGAAGTTTCTCACAATGCTTCCGTGTAGTTCTGGGAAGTTTATCCCGTTTCCAACGAAATCCTCAGAGAGGTCCAAATATCCACTTGCAGATTCTACAGAAAGTGTGTTTGGAAACTGCTCCATCTAAAGGAATGTTCAGCTCTGTTAGTTCAATCCAATGATCACTAAGAATTGTCTGTGAATGCTTCCGTTTGGTTTTTAGATGAAGTTATTTCCTTTACTACAGTAGGCCTCAAAGCAGTCCAAATCTCCAATCGCAGATTCTACAAAAAGATTGTTTACAACCTGCTCTATCTATAGGAATGTTCAACTCTGTGAGTCGAATGCAATCATCACAAAGTAGTTTCTGAGAATGCTTCCATCTAGTTTTTATGTGAAGATTTTCCTTTTCCACCACAGGCCTCAAAGCCCTCCAAATGTCCACTTGCAGATTCTAGAAAAAGAGGGTTTCAGAGCTGCTCTGTCAAGAGGAAAGTTCAATTCTTGAAGTGGAACACAAACATCACAAAGCAGTTTCTGAGAATGCTTCTGTTTAGTTTTTCTGTGAAGATGAACCCGTTTCCAACGAAATCTTCACAGAGGTCCACATATCAACTTGCAGAATCCAAAGAAAGAGAGTTTCAAAAGTGCTCCATCAACAGGATTGTTCACCTCTGTGAGTTGAATGCAGTCATCACAGGAAACATTCTGAGAATGCTTCTGTCTAGGTTTGGTGTGAAGATATACCCGTTTCGAAGGAAGGCCACAAAGTGGTCCAAATATCCACTTGCAGATTCTACAAAAAGAGTGTTTGAAAGCTGAACTATGAAAGCAAGGTTCAACTCTGTGAGTTGAATGCAAACATCACAAAGAAGTTTCTCAGCATGCTTCCGTGTAGTTCTGGGAAGTTTATCCCGTTTCCAACGAAATCCTCAGAGAAGTCCAAATATCCACTTGCAGATTCTACAGAAAGTGTGTTTGGAAACTGCTCCATCTAAAGGAATGTTCAGCTCTGTTAGTTCAATGCAATGATCACTAAGAATTGTCTGTGAATGCTTCCGTTTGGTTTTTAGATGAAGTTATTTCCTTTACTACAGTAGGCCTCAAAGCAGTCCAAATCTCCAATCGCAGATTCTACAAAAAGATTGTTTACAACCTGCTCTATCTATAGGAATGTTCAACTCTGTGAGTCGAATGCAATCATCACAAAGTAGTTCCTGAGAATGCTTCCATCTAGTTTTTATGTGAAGATTTTCCTTTTCCACCACAGGCCTCAAAGCCCTCCAAATGTCCACTTGCAGATTCTAGAATAAGAGGGTTTCAGAGCTGCTCTGTCAAGAGGAAAGTTCAATTCCTGAAGTGGAACACAAACATCACAAAGCAGTTTCTGAGAATGCTTCTGTTTAGTTTTTCTGTGAAGATGAACCCGTTTCCAACGAAATCTTCACAGAGGTCCACATATCAACTTGCAGAATCCAAAGAAAGAGAGTTTCAAAAGTGCTCCATCAACAGGATTGTTCACCTCTGTGAGTTGAATGCAGTCATCACAGGAAACATTCTGAGAATGCTTCTGTCTAGGTTTGATGTGAAGATATACCCGTTTCGAAGGAAGGCCACAAAGTGGTCCAAATATCCACTTGCAGATTCTACAAAAAGAGTGCTTGAAAGCTGAACTATGAAAACAAGGTTCAACTCTGTGAGTTGAATGCAAACATCACAAAGAAGTTTCTCACAATGCTTCCGTGTAGTTCTGGGAAGTTTATCCCGTTTCCAACGAAATCCTCAGAGAAGTCCAAATATCCACTTGCAGATTCTACAGAAAGTGGGTTTGGAAACTGCTCCATCTAAAGGAATGTTCAGCTCTGTTAGTTCAATCCAATGATCACTAAGAATTGTCTGTGAATGCTTCCGTTTGGTTTTTAGATGAAGTAATTTCCTTTACTACAGTAGGCCTCAAAGCAGTCCAAATCTCCAATCGCAGATTCTACAAAAAGATTGTTTACAACCTGCTCTATCTATAGGAATGTTCAACTCTGTGAGTCGAATGCAATCATCACAAAGAAGTTTCTGAGAATGCTTCCATAAAGTTTTTATGTGAAGATTTTCCTTTTCCACCACAGGCCTCAAAGCCCTCCAAATGTCCACTTGCAGATTCTAGAAAAAGAGGGTTTCAGAGCTGCTCTGTCAAGAGGAAAGTTCAATTCTTTAAGTGGAACACAAACATCACAAAGCAGTTTCTGAGAATGCTCCTGTTTAGTTTTTCTGTGAAGATGAACCCGTTTCCAACGAAATCTTCACAGAGGTCCACATATCCACTTGCAGAATCCAAAGAAAGAGAGTTTCAAAAGTGCTCCATCAGCAGGATTGTTCACCTCTGTGAGTTGAATGCAGTCATCACAGGAAACATTCTGAGAATGCTTCTGTCTAGGTTTGATGTGAAGATATACCCGTTTCGAAGGAAGGCCACAAAGTGGTCCAAATATCCACTTGCAGATTCTACAAAAAGAGTGTTTGAAAGCTGAACTATGAAAGCAAGGTTCAACTCTGTGAGTTGAATGCAAATATCACAAAGAAGTTTCTCACAATGCTTCCGTGTAGTTCTGGGAAGTTTATCCCGTTTCCAACGAAATCCTCAGAGAGGTCCAAATATCCACTTGCAGATTCTACAGAAAGTGTGTTTGGAAACTGCGCCATCTAAAGGAATGTTCAGCTCTGTTATTTCAATGCAATGATCACTAAGAATTGTCTGTGAATGCTTCCGTTTGGTTTTTAGATGAAGTTATTTCCTTTACTACAGTAGGCCTCAAAGCAGTCCAAATCTCCAATCGCAGATTCTACAAAAAGATTGTTTACAACCTGCTCTATCTATAGGAATGTTCAACTCTGTGAGTCGAATGCAATCATCACAAAGTAGTTTCTGAGAATGCTTCCATCTAGTTTTTATGTGAAGATTTTCCTTTTCCACCACAGGCCTCAAAGCCCTCCAAATGTCCACTTGCAGATTCTAGAAAAAGAGGGTTTCAGAGCTGCTCTGTCAAGAGGAAAGTTCAATTCTTGAAGTGGAACACAAACATCGCAAAGCAGTTTCTGAGAATGCTTCTGTTTAGTTTTTCTGTGAAGATGAACCCGTTTCCAACGAAATCTTCAAAGAGGTCCACATATCCACTTGCAGAATCCAAAGAAAGAGAGTTTCAAAACTGCTCCATCAACAGGATTGTTCACATCTGTGAGTCCAATGCGGTCATCACAGGAAACATTCTGAGAATGCTTCTGTCTAGGTTTGATGTGAAGATATACCCGTTTCGAAGGAAGGCCACAAAGTGGTCCAAATATCCACTTGCAGATTCTACAAAAAGAGTGTTTCAAAGCTGAACTATGAAAGCAAGGTTCAACTCTGTGAGTTGAATGCAAACATCACAAAGAAGATTCTCAGAATGCTTCCGTGTATTTCTGGGAAGTTTACCCCGTTTCCAACGAAATCCTCAGAGAGGTCCAAATATCCACTTGCAGATTCTACAGAAAGTGTGTTTGGAAAATGCTCCATCTAAAGGAATGTTCAGCTCTGTTAGTTCAATCCAATGATCACTAAGAATTGTCTGTGAATGCTTCCGTTTGGTTTTTAGATGAAGTTATTTCCTTTACTACAGTAGGCCTCAAAGCAGTCCAAATCTCCAATCGCAGATTCTACAAAAAGATTGTTTACAACCTGCTCTATCTATAGGAATGTTCAACTCTGTGAGTCGAATGCAATCATCACAAAGTAGTTTCTGAGAATGCTTCCATCTAGTTTTTATGTGAAGATTTTCCTTTTCCACCACAGGCCTCAAAGCCCTCCAAATGTCCACTTGCAGATTCTAGAAAAAGAGGGTTTCAGAGCTGCTCTGTCAAGAGGAAAGTTCAATTCTTGAAGTGGAACACAAACATCACAAAGCAGTTTCTGAGAATGCTTCTGTTTAGTTTTTCTGTGAAGATGAACCCGTTTCCAACGAAATCTTCACAGAGGTCCACATATCAACTTGCAGAATCCAAAGAAAGAGAGTTTCAAAACTGCTCCATCAACAGGATTGTTCACCTCTGTGAGTTGAATGCAGTCATCACAGGAAACATTCTGAGAATGCTTCTGTCTAGGTTTGATGTGAAGATATACCCGTTTCGAAGGAAGGCCACAAAGTGGTCCAAATATCCACTTGCAGATTCTACAAAAAGAGTGTTTGAAAGCTGAACTATGAAAGCAAGGTTCAACTCTGTGAGTTGAATGCAAACATCACAAAGAAGTTTCTCACAATGCTTCCGTGTAGTTCTGGGAAGTTTATCCCGTTTCCAACGAAATCCTCAGAGAAGTCCAAATATCCACTTGCAGATTCTACAGAAAGTGTGTTTGGAAACTGCTCCATCTAAAGGAATGTTCAGCTCTGTTAGTTCAATCCAATGATCACTAAGAATTGTCTGTGAATGCTTCCGTTTGGTTTTTAGATGAAGTTATTTCCTTTACTACAGTAGGCCTCAAAGCAGTCCAAATCTCCAATCGCAGATTCTACAAAAAGATTGTTTACAACCTGCTCTATCTAAAGGAATGTTCAACTCTGTGAGTCGAATGCAATCATCACAAAGTAGTTTCTGAGAATGCTTCCATAAAGTTTTTATGTGAAGATTTTCCTTTTCCACCACAGGCCTCAAAGCCCTCCAAATGTCCACTTGCAGATTCTAGAAAAAGAGGGTTTCAGAGCTGCTCTGTCAAGAGGAAACTTCAATTCTTGAAGTGGAACACAAACATCACAATGCAGTTTCTGAGAATGCTCCTGTTTAGTTTTTCTGTGAAGATGAACCCGTTTCCAACGAAATCTTCACAGAGGTCCACATATCCACTTGCAGAATCCAAAGAAAGAGAGTTTCAAAACTGCTCCATCAGCAGGATTGTTCACCTCTGTGAGTTGAATGCAGTCATCACAGGAAACATTCTGAGAATGCTTTCTGTCTAGGTTTGATGTGAAGATATACCCGTTTCGAAGGAAGGCCACAAAGTGGTCCAAATATCCACTTGCAGATTCTACAAAAAGAGTGTTTGAAAGCTGAACTATGAAAGCAAGGTTCAACTCTGTGAGTTGAACGCAAACATCACAAAGAAGTTTCTCACAATGCTTCCCTGTAGTTCTGGGAAGTTTATCCCGTTTCCAACGAAATCCTCAGAGAGGTCCAAATATCCACTTGCAGATTCTACAGAAAGTGTGTTTGGAAACTGCTCCATCTAAAGGAATGTTCAGCTCTGTTAGTTCAATGCAATGATCACTAAGAATTGTCTGTGAATGCTTCCGTTTGGTTTTTAGATGAAGTTATTTCCTTTACTACAGTAGGCCTCAAAGCAGTCCAAATCTCCAATCGCAGATTCTACAAAAAGATTGTTTACAACCTGCTCTATCTATAGGAATGTTCAACTCTGTGAGTCGAATGCAATCATCACAGAGTAGTTTCTGAGAATGCTTCCATCTAGTTTTTATGTGAAGATTTTCCTTTTCCACCACAGGCCTCAAAGCCCTCCAAATGTCCACTTGCAGATTCTAGAAAAAGAGGGTTTCAGAGCTGCTCTGTCAAGAGGAAAGTTCAATTCTTGAAGTGGAACACAAACATCACAAAGCAGTTTCTGAGAATGCTCCTGTTTAGTTTTTCTGTGAAGATGAACCCGTTTCCAACGAAATCTTCACAGAGGTCCACATATCCACTTGCAGAATCCAAAGAAAGAGAGTTTCAAAACTGCTCCATCAGCAGGATTGTTCACCTCTGTGAGTTGAATGCAGTCATCACAGGAAACATTCTGAGAATGCTTCTGTCTAGGTTTGATGTGAAGATATACCCGTTTCGAAGGAAGGCCACAAAGTGGTCCAAATATCCACTTGCAGATTCTACAAAAAGAGTGTTTGAAAGCTGAACTATGAAAGCAAGGTTCAACTCTGTGAGTTGAATGCAAACATCACAAAGAAGTTTCTCACAATGCTTCCGTGTAGTTCTGGGAAGTTTATCCCGTTTCCAACGAAATCCTCAGAGAGGTCCAAATATCCACTTGCAGATTCTACAGAAAGTGTGTTTGGAAACTGCTCCATCTAAAGGAATGTTCAGCTCTGTTAGTTCAATCCAATGATCACTAAGAATTGTCTGTGAATGCTTCCGTTTGGTTTTTAGATGAAGTTATTTCCTTTACTACAGTAGGCCTCAAAGCAGTCCAAATCTCCAATCGCAGATTCTACAAAAAGATTGTTTACAACCTGCTCTATCTATAGGAATGTTCAACTCTGTGAGTCGAATGCAATCATCACAAAGTAGTTTCTGAGAATGCTTCCATCTAGTTTTTATGTGAAGATTTTCCTTTTCCACCACAGGCCTCAAAGCCCTCCAAATGTCCACTTGCAGATTCTAGAATAAGAGGGTTTCAGAGCTGCTCTGTCAAGAGGAAAATACAATTCCTGAAGTGGAACACAAACATCACAAAGCAGTTTCTGAGAATGCTTCTGTTTAGTTTTTCTGTGAAGATGAACCCGTTTCCAACGAAATCTTCACAGAGGTCCACATATCCACTTGCAGAATCCAAAGAAAGAGAGTTTCAAAACTGCTCCATCAGCAGGATTGTTCACCTCTGTGAGTTGAATGCAGTCATCACAGGAAACATTCTGAGAATGCTTCTGTCTAGGTTTGATGTGAAGATATACCCGTTTCGAAGGAAGGCCACAAAGTGGTCCAAATATCCACTTGCAGATTCTACAAAAAGAGTGTTTGAAAGCTGAACTATGAAAGCAAGGTTCAACTCTGTGAGTTGAATGCAAACATCACAAAGAAGTTTCTCAGAATACTTCCGTGTAGTTCTGGGAAGTATATCCCTTTTCCAACGAAATCCTCACAGAGGTCCAAATATCCACTTGCAGATTCTACAGAGAGTGGGTTTGGAAACTGCTCCATCTAAAGGAATGTTCAGCTCTGTTAGTTCAATCCAATGATCACTAAGAATTGTCTGTGAATGCTTCCGTTTGGTTTTTAGATGAAGTTATTTCCTTTACTACAGTAGGCCTCAAAGCAGTCCAAATCTCCAATCGCAGATTCTACAAAAAGATTGTTTACAACCTGCTCTATCTGTAGGAAAGTTCAACTCTGTGAGTCGAACGCAATCATCACAAAGGAGTTTCTGAGAATGCTTCCATCTAGTTTTTATGGGAAGATTTTCCTTTTCCACCACAGGCCTCAAAGCCCTCCAAATGTCCACTTGCAGATTCTAGAAAAAGAGGGTTTCAGAGCTGCTCTGTCAAGAGGAAAGTTCAATTCTTGAAGTGGAACACAAACATCACAAAGCAGTTTCTGAGAATGCTCCTGTTTAGTTTTTCTGTGAAGATGAACCCGTTTCCAACGAAATCTTCACAGAGGTCCACATATCCACTTGCAGAATCCAAAGAAAGAGAGTTTCAAAACTGCTCCATCAGCAGGATTGTTCACCTCTGTGAGTTGAATGCAGTCATCACAGGAAACATTCTGAGAATGCTTCTGTCTAGGTTTGATGTGAAGATATACCCGTTTCGAAGGAAGGCCACAAAGTGGTCCAAATATCCACTTGCAGATTCTACAAAAAGAGTGTTTGAAAGCTGAACTATGAAAGCAAGGTTCAACTCTGTGAGTTGAATGCAAACATCACAAAGAAGTTTCTCAAAATGCTTCCGTGTAGTTCTGGGAAGTTTATCCCGTTTCCAACGAAATCCTCAGAGAAGTCCAAATATCCACTTGCAGATTCTACAGAAAGTGGGTTTGGCAACTGCTCCATCTAAAGGAATGTTCAGCTCTGTTAGTTCAATCCAATGATCACTAAGAATTGTCTGTGAATGCTTCCGTTTGGTTTTTAGATGAAGTTATTTCCTTTACTACAGTAGGCCTCAAAGAAATCCAAATCTCCAATCGCAGATTCTACAAAAACATTGTTTACAACCTGCTCTATCTATAGGAATGTTCAACTCTGTGAGTCGAATGCAATCATCACAAAGTAGTTTCTGAGAATGCTTTCCATCTAGTTTTTATGTGAAGATTTTCCTTTTCCACCACAGGCCTCAAAGCCCTCCAAATGTCCACTTGCAGATTCTAGAAAAAGAGGGTTTCAGAGCTGCTCTGTCAAGAGGAAAGTTCAATTCTTGAAGTGGAACACAAACATCACAAAGCAGTTTCTGAGAATGCTTCTGTTTAGTTTTTCTGTGAAGATGAACCCTTTTCCAACGAAATCTTCACAGAGGTCCACATATCCACATGCAGAATCCAAAGAAAGAGAGTTTCAAAACTGCTCCATCAACAGGGTTGTTCACCTCTGTGAGTTGAATGCAGTCATCACAGGAAACATTCTGAGAATGCTTCTGTCTAGGTTTGATGTGAAGATATACCCCTTTCGAAGGAAGGCCACAAAGTGGTCCAAATATCCACTTGCAGATTCTACAAAAACAGTGTTTGAAAGCTGAACTATGAAAGCAAGGTTCAACTCTGTGCGTTGAATGCAAACATCACAAAGAAGTTTCTCACAATGCTTCCGTGTAGTTCTGGGAAGTTTATCCCGTTTCCAACGAAATCCTCAGAGAGGTCCAAATATCCACTTGCAGATTCTACAGAAAGTGTCTTTGGAAACTGCTCCATCTAAAGGAATGTTCAGCTCTGTTAGTTCAATGCAATGATCACTAAGAATTATCTGTGAATGCTTCCGTTTGGTTTTTAGATGAAGTTATTTCCTTTACTACAGTAGGCCTCAAAGCAGTCCAAATCTCCAATCGCAGATTCTACAAAAAGATTGTTTACAACCTGCTCTATCTATAGGAATGTTCAACTCTGTGAGTCGAATGCAATCATCACAAAGTAGTTTCTGAGAATGCTTCCATCTAGTTTTTATGTGAAGATTTTCCTTTTCCACCACAGGCCTCAAAGCCCTCCAAATGTCCACTTGCAGATTCTAGAAAAAGAGGGTTTCAGAGCTGCTCTTTCAAGAGGAAAGTTCAATTCCTGAAGTGGAACACAAACATCACAAAGCAGTTTCTGAGAATGCTTCTGTTTAGTTTTTCTGTGAAGATGAACCCGTTTCCAACGAAATCTTCACAGAGGTCCACATATCCACTTGCAGAATCCAAAGAAAGAGAGTTTCAAAACTGCTCCATCAGCAGGATTGTTCACCTCTGTGAGTTGAATGCAGTCATCACAGGAAACATTCTGAGAATGCTTCTGTCTAGGTTTGATGTGAAGATATACCCGTTTCAAAGGAAGGCCACAAAGTGGTCCAAATATCCACTTGCAGATTCTACAAAAAGAGTGTTTGAAAGCTGAACTATGAAAGCAAGGTTCAACTCTGTGAGTTGAATGCAAACATCACAAAGAAGTTTCTCACAATGCTTCCGTGTAGTTCTGGGAAGTTTATCCCGTTTCCAACGAAATCCTCAGAGAAGTCCAAATATCCACTTGCAGATTCTACAGAAAGTGTGTTTGGAAACTGCGCCATCTAAAGGAATGTTCAGCTCTGTTAGTTCAATGCAATGATCACTAAGAATTGTCTGTGAATGCTTCCGTTTGGTTTTTAGATGAAGTTATTTCCTTTACTACAGTAGGCCTCAAAGCAGTCCAAATCTGCAATCGCAGATTCTACAAAAAGATTGTTTACAACCTGCTCTATCTATAGGAATGTTCAACTCTTTGAGTCGAATGCAATCATCACAAAGTAGTTTCTGAGAATGCTTCCATCTAGTTTTTATGTGAAGATTTTCCTTTACCACCACAGGCCTCAAAGCCCTCCAAATGTACACTTGCAGATTCTAGAAAAAGAGGGTTTCAGAGCTGCTCTGTCAAGAGGAAAGTTCAATTCTTGAAGTGGAACACAAACATCACAAAGCAGTTTCTGACAATGCTCCTGTTTAGTTTTTCTGTGAAGATGAACCCGTTTCCAACGAAATCTTCACAGAGGTCCACATATCCACTTGCAGAATCCAAAGAAAGAGAGTTTCAAAACTGCTCCATCAGCAGGATTGTTCACCTCTGTGAGTTGAATGCAGTCATCACAGGAAACATTCTGAGAATGCTTCTGTCTAGGTTTGATGTGAAGATATACCCGTTTCGAAGGAAGGCCACAAAGTGGTCCAAATATCCACTTGCAGATTCTACAAAAAGAGTGTTTGAAAGCTGAACTATGAAAGCAAGGTTCAACTCTGTGAGTTGAATGCAAACATCACAAAGAAGTTTCTCAGAATGCTTCCGTGTAGTTCTGGGAAGTTTATCCCGTTTCCAACGAAATCCTCAGAGAAGTCCAAATATCCACTTGCAGATTCTACAGAAAGTGTGTTTGGAAACTGCGCCATCTAAAGGAATGTTCAGCTCTGTTAGTTCAATGCAATGATCACTAAGAATTGTCTGTGAATGCTTCCGTTTGGTTTTTAGATGAAGTTATTTCCTTTACTACAGTAGGCCTCAAAGCAGTCCAAATCTCCAATCGCAGATTCTACAAAAAGATTGTTTACAACCTGCTCTATCTATAGGAATGTTCAACTCTGTGAGTCGAATGCAATCATCACAAAGTAGTTTCTGAGAATGCTTCCATCTAGTTTTTATGTGAAGATTTTCCTTTTCCACCACAGGCCTCAAAGCCCTCCAAATGTCCACTTGCAGATTCTAGAAAAAGAGGGTTTCAGAGCTGCTCTGTCAAGAGGAAAGTTCAATTCTTGAAGTGGAACACAAACATCACAAAGTAGTTTCTGAGAATGCTTCTGTTTAGTTTTTCTGTGAAGATGAACCCGTTTCCAACGAAATCTTCACAGAGGTCCACATATCCACTTGCAGAATCCAAAGAAAGAGAGTTTCAAAACTGCTCCATCAGCAGGATTGTTCACCTCTGTGAGTTGAATGCAGTCATCACAGGAAACATTCTGAGAATGCTTCTGTCTAGGTTTGATGTGAAGATATACCCGTTTCGAAGGAAGGCCAGAAAGTGGTCCAAATATCCACTTGCAGATTCTACAAAAAGAGTGTTTGAAAGCTGAACTATGAAAGCAAGGTTCAACTCTGTGAGTTGAATGCAAACATCACAAAGAAGTTTCTCAGAATGCTTCCGTGTAGTTCTGGGAAGTTTATCCCGTTTCCAACGAAATCCTCAGAGAGGTCCAAATATCCACTTGCAGATTCTACAGAAAGTGTGTTTGGAAACTGCTCCATCTAAAGGAATGTTCAGCTCTGTTAGTTCAATCCAATGATCACTAAGAATTGTCTGTGAATGCTTCCGTTTGGTTTTTAGATGAAGTTATTTCCTTTACTACAGTAGGCCTCAAAGCAGTCCAAATCTCCAATCGCAGATTCTACAAAAAGATTGTTTACAACCTGCTCTATCTATAGGAATGTTCAACTCTGTGAGTCGAATGCAATCATCACAAAGTAGTTTCTGAGAATGCTTCCATCTAGTTTTTATGTGAAGATTTTCCTTTTCCACCACAGGCCTCAAAGCCCTCCAAATGTCCACTTGCAGATTCTAGAATAAGAGGGTTTCAGAGCTGCTCTGTCAAGAGGAAAGTTCAATTCCTGAAGTGGAACACAAACATCACAAAGCAGTTTCTGAGAATGCTTCTGTTTAGTTTTTCTGTGAAGATGAACCCGTTTCCAACGAAATCTTCACAGAGGTCCACATATCCACTTGCAGAATCCAAAGAAAGAGAGTTTCAAAACTGCTCCATCAACAGGATTGTTCACCTCTGTGAGTTGAATGCAGTCATCACAGGAAACATTCTGAGAATGCTTCTGTCTAGGTTTGATGTGAAGATATACCCGTTTCGAAGGAAGGCCAGAAAGTGGTCCAAATATCCACTTGCAGATTCTACAAAAAGAGTGTTTGAAAGCTGAACTATGAAAGCAAGGTTCAACTCTGTGAGTTGAATGCAAACATCACAAAGAAGTTTCTCAGAATGCTTCCGTGTAGTTCTGGGAAGTTTATCCCGTTTCCAACGAAATCCTCAGAGAAGTCCAAATATCCACTTGCAGATTCTACAGAAAGTGTGTTTGGAAACTGCGCCATCTAAAGGAATGTTCAGCTCTGTTAGTTCAATGCAATGATCACTAAGAATTGTCTGTGAATGCTTCCGTTTGGTTTTTAGATGAAGTTATTTCCTTTACTACAGTAGGCCTCAAAGCAGTCCAAATCTCCAATCGCAGATTCTACAAAAAGATTGTTTACAACCTGCTCTATCTATAGGAATGTTCAACTCTGTGAGTCGAATGCAATCATCACAAAGTAGTTTCTGAGAATGCTTCCATCTAGTTTTTATGTGAAGATTTTCCTTTTCCACCACAGGCCTCAAAGCCCTCCAAATGTCCACTTGCAGATTCTAGAAAAAGAGGGTTTCAGAGCTGCTCTGTCAAGAGGAAAGTTCAATTCTTGAAGTGGAACACAAACATCACAAAGCAGTTTCTGAGAATGCTCCTGTTTAGTTTTTCTGTGAAGATGAACCCGTTTCCAACGAAATCTTCACAGAGGTCCACATATCCACTTGCAGAATCCAAAGAAAGAGAGTTTCAAAACTGCTCCTACAGCAGGATTGTTCACCTCTGTGAGTTGAATGCAGTCATCACAGGAAACATTCTGAGAATGCTTCTGTCTAGGTTTGATGTGAAGATACACCCGTTTCAAAGGAAGGCCACAAAGTGGTCCAAATATCCACTTGCAGATTCTACAAAAAGAGTGTTTGAAAGCTGAACTATGAAAGCAAGGTTCAACTCTGTGAGTTGAATGCAAACTTCACAAAGATGTTTCTCACAATGCTTCCGTGTAGTTCTGGGAAGTTTATCCCGTTTCCAACGAAATCCTCAGAGAAGTCCAAATATCCACTTGCAGATTCTACAGAAAGTGTGTTTGGAAACTGCTCCATCTAAAGGAATGTTCAGCTCTGTTAGTTCAATCCAATGATCACTAAGAATTGTCTGTGAATGCTTCCGTTTGGTTTTTAGATGAAGTTATTTCCTTTACTACAGTATGCCTCAAAGCAGTCCAAATCTCCAATCGCAGATTCTACAAAAAGATTGTTTACAACCTGCTCTATCTATAGGAATGTTCAACTCTGTGAGTCGAATGCAATCATCCCAAAGTAGTTTCTGAGAATGCTTCCATCTAGTTTTTATGTGAAGATTTTCCTTTTCCACCACAGGCCTCAAAGCCCTCCAAATGTCCACTTGCAGACTCTAGAAAAAGAGGGTTTCAGAGCTGCTCTGTCAAGAGGAAAGTTCAATTCTTGAAGTGGAACACAAACATCACAAAGCAGTTTCTGAGAATGCTTCTGTTTAGTTTTTCTGTGAAGATGAACCCGTTTCCAACGTAATCTTCACAGAGGTCCACATATCCACTTGCAGAATCCAAAGAAAGGGAGTTTCAAAACTGCTCCATCAGCAGGATTGTTCACCTCTGTGAGTTGAATGCAGTCATCACAGGAAACATTCTGAGAATGCTTCTGTCTAGGTTTGATGTGAAGATATACCCGTTTCGAAGGAAGGCCACAAAGTGGTCCAAATATCCACTTGCAGATTCTACAAAAAGAGTGTTTGAAAGCTGAACTATGAAACCAAGGTTCAACTCTGTGAGTTGAATGCAAACATCACAAAGAATTTTCTCACAATGCTTCCGTGTAGTTCTGGGAAGTTTATCCCGTTTCCAACGAAATCCTCAGAGAGGTCCAAATATCCACTTGCAGATTCTACAGAAAGTGTGTTTGGAAACTGCGCCATCTAAAGGAATGTTCAGCTCTGTTAGTTCAATGCAATGATCACTAAGAATTGTCTGTGAATGCTTCCGTTTGGTTTTTAGATGAAGTTATTTCCTTTACTACAGTAGGCCTCAAAGCAGTCCAAATCTCCAATCGCAGATTCTACAAAAAGATTGTTTACAACCTGCTCTATCTATAGGAATGTTCAACTCTGTGAGTCGAATGCAATCATCACAAAGTAGTTTCTGAGAATGCTTCCATCTAGTTTTTATGTGAAGATTTTCCTTTTCCACCACAGGCCTCAAAGCCCTCCAAATGTCCACTTGCAGATTCTAGAAAAAGAGGGTTTCAGAGCTGCTCTGTCAAGAGGAAAGTTCAATTCTTGAAGTGGAACACAAACATCACATAGCAGTTTCTGAGAATGCTCCTGTTTAGTTTTTCTGTGAAGATGAACCCGTTTCCAACGAAATCTTCACAGAGGTCCACATATCCACTTGCAGAATCCAAAGAAAGAGAGTTTCAAAACTGCTCCATCAGCAGGATTGTTCACCTCTGTGAGTTGAATGCAGTCATCACAGGAAACATTCTGAGAATGCTTCTGTCTAGGTTTGATGTGAAGATATACCCGTTTCGAAGGAAGGCCACAAAGTGGTCCAAATATCCACTTGCAGATTCTACAAAAAGAGTGTTTGAAAGCTGAACTATGAAAGCAAGGTTCAACTCTGTGAGTTGAATGCAAACATCACAAAGAAGTTTCTCAGAATGCTTCCCTGTAGTTCTGGGAAGTTTATCCCGTTTCCAACGAAATCCTCAGAGAAGTCCAAATATCCACTTGCAGATTCTACAGAAAGTGGGTTTGGAAACTGCTCCATCTAAAGGAATGTTCAGCTCTGTTAGTTCAATCCAATGATCACTAAGAATTATCTGTGAATGCTTCCGTTTGGTTTTTAGATGAAGTTATTTCCTTTACTACAGTAGGCCTCAAAGCAGTCCAAATCTCCAATCGCAGATTCTACAAAAACATTGTTTACAACCTGCTCTATCTATAGGAATGTTCAACTCTGTGAGTCGAATGCAATCATCACAAAGTAGTTTCTGAGAATGCTTCCATCTATTATTTATGTGAAGATTTTCCTTTTCCACCACAGGCCTCAAAGCCCTCCAAATATCCACTTGCAGATTCTAGAAAAAGAGGGTTTCAGAGCTGCTCTGTCAAGAGGAAAGTTCAATTCCTGAAGTGGAACACAAACATCACAAAGCAGTTTCTGAGAATGATTCTGTTTAGTTTTTCTGTGAAGATGAACCCGTTTCCAACGAAATCTTCACAGAGGTCCACATATCCACTTGCAGAATCCAAAGAAAGAGAGTTTCAAAACTGCTCCATCAGCAGGATTGTTCACCTCTGTGAGTTGAATGCAGTCATCACAGGAAACATTCTGAGAATGCTTCTGTCTAGGTTTGATGTGAAGATATACCCGTTTCGAAGGAAGGCCACAAAGTGGTCCAAATATCCACTTGCAGATTCTACAAAAAGAGTGTTTGAAAGCTGAACTATGAAAGCAAGGTTCAACTCTGTGAGTTGAATGCAAACATCACAAAGAAGTTTCTCACAATGCTTCCGTGTAGTTCTGGGAAGTTTATCCCGTTTCCAACGAAATCCTCAGAGAAGTCCAAATATCCACTTGCAGATTCTACAGAAAGTGTGTTTGGAAACTGCTCCATCTAAAGGAATGTTCAGCTCTGTTAGTTCAATCCAATGAATACTAAGAATTGTCTGTGAATGCTTCCGTTTGGTTTTTAGATGAAGTTATTTCCTTTACTACAGTAGGCCTCAAAGCAGTCCAAATTTCCAATCGCAGATTCTACAAAAAGATTGTTTACAACCTGCTCTATCTATAGGAATGTTCAACTCTGTGAGTCGAATGCAATCATCACAAAGTAGTTTCTGAGAATGCTTCCATCTAGTTTTTATGTGAAGATTTTCCTTTTCCACCACAGGCCTCAAAGCCCTCCAAATGTCCACTTGCAGATTCTAGAATAAGAGGGTTTCAGAGCTGCTCTGTCAAGAGGAAAGTTCAATTCCTGAAGTGGAACACAAACATCACAAAGCAGTTTCTGAGAATGCTTCTGTTTAGTTTTTCTGTGAAGATGAACCCGTTTCCAACGAAATCTTCACAGAGGTCCACATATCCACTTGCAGAATCCAAAGAAAGAGAGTTTCAAAACTGCTCCATCAGCAGGATTGTTCACCTCTGTGAGTTGAATGCAGTCATCACAGGAAACATTCTGAGAATGCTTCTGTCTAGGTTTGATGTGAAGATATACCCGTTTCGAAGGAAGGCCACAAAGTGGTCCAAATATCCACTTGCAGATTCTACAAAAAGAGTGTTTGAAAGCTGAACTATGAAAGCAAGGTTCAACTCTGTGAGTTGAATGCAAACATCACAAAGAAGTTTCTCAGAATGCTTCCGTGTAGTTCTGGGAATTTTATCCCGTTTCCAACGAAATCCTCAGAGAGGTCCAAATATCCACTTGCAGATTCTACAGAAAGTGTGTTTGGAAACTGCGCCATCTAAAGGAATGTTCAGCTCTGTTAGTTCAATGCAATGATCACTAAGAATTGTCTGTGAATGCTTCCGTTTGGTTTTTAGATGAAGTTATTTCCTTTACTACAGTAGGCCTCAAAGCAGTCCAAATCTCCAATCGCAGATTCTACAAAAAGATTGTTTACAACCTGCTCTATCTATAGGAATGTTCAACTCTGTGAGTCGAATGCAATCATCACAAAGTAGTTTCTGAGAATGCTTCCATCTAGTTTTTATGTGAAGATTTTCCTTTTCCACCACAGGCCTCAAAGCCCTCCAAATGTCCACTTGCAGATTCTAGAAAAAGAGGGTTTCAGAGCTGCTCTGTCAAGAGGAAAGTTCAATTCCTGAAGTGGAACACAAACATCACAAAGCAGTTTCTGAGAATGCTCCTGTTTAGTTTTTCTGTGAAGATGAACCCGTTTCCAACGAAATCTTCACAGAGGTCCACATATCCACTTGCAGAATCCAAAGAAAGAGAGTTTCAAAACTGCTCCATCAGCAGGATTGTTCACCTCTGTGAGTTGAATGCAGTCATCACAGGAAACATTCTGAGAATGCTTCTGTCTAGGTTTGATGTGAAGATATACCCGTTTCGAAGGAAGGCCACAAAGTGGTCCAAATATCCACTTGCAGATTCTACAAAAAGAGTGTTTGAAAGCTGAACTATGAAAGCAACGTTCAACTCTGTGAGTTGAATGCAAACATCACAAAGAAGTTTCTCAGCATGCTTCCGTGTAGTTCTGGGAAGTTTATCCCGTTTCCTACGAAATCCTCAGAGAAGTCCAAATATCCACTTGCAGATTCTACAGAAAGTGGGTTTGGAAACTGCTCCATCTAAAGGAATGTTCAGCTCTGTTAGTTCAATGCAATGATCACTAAGAATTGTCTGTGAATGCTTCCGTTTGGTTTTTAGATGAAGTTATTTCCTTTACTACAGTAGGCCTCAAAGCAGTCCAAATCTCCAATCGCAGATTCTACAAAAAGATTGTTTACAACCTGCTCTATGTATAGGAATGTTCAACTCTGTGAGTCGAATGCAATCATCACAAAGTAGTTTCTGAGAATGCTTCCATCTAGTTTTTATGTGAAGATTTTCCTTTTCCACCACAGGCCTCAAAGCCCTCCAAATGTCCACTTGCAGATTCTAGAAAAAGAGGGTTTCAGAGCTGCTCTGTCAAGAGGAAAGTTCAATTCTTGAAGTGGAACACAAACATCACAAAGTAGTTTCTGAGAATGCTTCTGTTTAGTTTTTCTGTGAAGATGAACCCGTTTCCAACGAAATCTTCACAGAGGTCCACATATCCACTTGCAGAATCCAAAGAAAGAGAGTTTCAAAACTGCTCCATCAGCAGGATTGTTCACCTCTGTGAGTTGAATGCAGTCATCACAGGAAACATTCTGAGAATGCTTCTGTCTAGGTTTGATGTGAAGATATACCCGTTTCGAAGGAAGGCCACAAAGTGGTCCAAATATCCACTTGCAGATTCTACAAAAAGAGTGTTTGAAAGCTGAACTATGAAAGCAAGGTTCAACTCTGTGAGTTGAATGCAAACATCACAAAGAAGTTTCTCAGAATGCTTCCGTGTAGTTCTGGGAAGTTTATCCCGTTTCCAACGAAATCCTCAGAGAGGTCCAAATATCCACTTGCAGATTCTACAGAAAGTGTGTTTGGAAACTGCGCCATCTAAAGGAATGTTCAGCTCTGTTAGTTCAATCCAATGATCACTAAGAATTGTCTGTGAATGCTTCCGTTTGGTTTTTAGATGAAGTTATTTCCTTTACTACAGTAGGCCTCAAAGCAGTCCAAATCTCCAATCGCAGATTCTACAAAAAGATTGTTTACAACCTGCTCTATGTATAGGAATGTTCAACTCTGTGAGTCGAATGCAATCATCACAAAGTAGTTTCTGAGAATGCTTCCATCTAGTTTTTATGTGAAGATTTTCTTTTCCACCAGAGGCCTCAAAGCCCTCCAAATGTCCACTTGCAGATTCTAGAATAAGAGGGTTTCAGAGCTGCTCTGTCAAGAGGAAAGTTCAATTCCTGAAGTCGAACACAAACATCACACAGCAGTTTCTGAGAATGCTTCTGTTTAGTTTTTCTGTGAAGATGAACCCGTTTCCAACGAAATCTTCACAGTGGTCCACATATCCACTTCCAGAATCCAAAGAAGGAGAGTTTCAAAACTGCTCCATCAGCAGGATTGTTCACCTCTGTGAGTTGAATGCAGTCATCACAGGAAACATTCTGAGAATGCTTCTGTCTAGGTTTGATGTGAAGATATACCCGTTTCGAAGGAAGGCCACAAAGTGGTCCAAATATCCACTTGCAGATTCTACAAAAAGAGTGTTTGAAAGCTGAACTATGAAAGCAAGGTTCAACTCTGTGAGTTGAATGCAAACATCACAAAGAAGTTTCTCAGAATGCTTCCGTGTAGTTCTGGGAAGTTTATCCCGTTTCCAACGAAATCCTCAGAGAAGTCCAAATATCCACTTGCAGATTCTACAGAAAGTGTGTTTGGAAACTGCTCCATCTAAAGGAATGTTCAGCTCTGTTAGTTCAATCCAATGATCACTAAGAATTGTCTGTGAATGCTTCCGTTTGGTTTTTAGATGAAGTTATTTCCTTTACTACAGTAGGCCTCAAAGCAGTCCAAATCTCCAATCGCAGATTCTACAAAAAGATTGTTTACAACCTGCTCTATCTATAGGAATGTTCAACTCTGTGAGTCGAATGCAATCATCACAAAGTAGTTTCTGAGAATGCTTCCATCTAGTTTTTATGTGAAGATTTTCCTTTTCCACCACAGGCCTCAAAGCCCTCCAAATGTCCACTTGCAGATTCTAGAAAAAGAGGGTTTCAGAGCTGCTCTGTCAAGAGGAAAGTTCAATTCCTGAAGTGGAACACAAACATCACAAAGCAGTTTCTGAGAATGCTCCTGTTTAGTTTTTCTGTGAAGATGAACCCGTTTCCAACGAAATCTTCACAGAGGTCCACATATCCACTTGCAGAATCCAAAGAAAGAGAGTTTCAAAACTGCTCCATCAGCAGGATTGTTCACCTCTGTGAGTTGAATGCAGTCATCACAGGAAACATTCTGAGAATGCTTCTGTCTAGGTTTGATGTGAAGATATACCCGTTTCGAAGGAAGGCCACAAAGTGGTCCAAATATCCACTTGCAGATTCTACAAAAAGAGTGTTTGAAAGCTGAACTATGAAAACAACGTTCAACTCTGTGAGTTGAATGCAAACATCACAAAGAAGTTTCTCACAATGCTTCCCTGTAGTTCTGAGAAGTTTATCCCGTTTCCAACGAAATCCTCAGAGAAGTCCAAATATCCACTTGCAGATTCTACAGAAAGTGTGTTTGGAAACTGCTCCATCTAAAGGAATGTTCAGCTCTGTTAGTTCAATCCAATGATCACTAAGAATTGTCTGTGAATGCTTCCGTTTGGTTTTTAGATGAAGTTATTTCCTTTACTACAGTAGGCCTCAAAGCAGTCCAAATCTCCAATCGCAGATTCTACAAAAAGATTGTTTACAACCTGCTCTATGTATAGGAATGTTCAACTCTGTGAGTCGAATGCAATCATCACAAAGTAGTTTCTGAGAATGCTTCCATCTAGTTTTTATGTGAAGATTTTCCTTTTCCACCACAGGCCTCAAAGCCCTCCAAATGTCCACTTGCAGATTCTAGAAAAAGAGGGTTTCAGAGCTGCTCTGTCAAGAGGAAAGTTCAATTCTTGAAGTGGAACACAAACATCACAAAGCAGTTTCTGAGAATGCTCCTGTTTAGTTTTTCTGTGAAGATGAACCCGTTTCCAACGAAATCTTCACAGAGGTCCACATATCCACTTGCAGAATCCAAAGAAAGAGAGTTTCAAAACTGCTCCATCAGCAGGATTGTTCACCTCTGTGAGTTGAATGCAGTCATCACAGGAAACATTCTGAGAATGCTTCTGTCTAGGTTTGATGTGAAGATATACCCGTTTCGAAGGAAGGCCACAAAGTGGTCCAAATATCCACTTGCAGATTCCACAAAATGAGTGTTTGAAAGCTGAACTATGAAAGCAAGGTTCAACTCTGTGAGTTGAATGCAAACACCACAAAGAAGTTTCTCACAATGCTTCCGTGTAGTTCTGGGAAGTTTATCCCGTTTCCAACGAAATCCTCAGAGAAGTCCAAATATCCACTTGCAGATTCTACAGAAAGTGTGTTTGGAAACTGCTCCATCTAAAGGAATGTTCAGCTCTGTTAGTTCAATCCAATGATCACTAAGAATTGTCTGTGAATGCTTCCGTTTGGTTTTTAGATGAAGTTATTTCCTTTACTACAGTAGGCCTCAAAGCAGTCCAAATCTCCAATCGCAGATTCTACAAAAAGATTGTTTACAACCTGCTCTATGTATAGGAATGTTCAACTCTGTGAGTCGAATGCAATCATCACAAAGTAGTTTCTGAGAATGCTTCCATCTAGTTTTTATGTGAAGATTTTCCTTTTTCACCACAGGTCTCAAAGCCCCCCAAATGTCCACTTGCAGATTCTAGAAAAAGAGGGTTTCAGAGCTGCTCTGTCAAGAGGAAAGTTCAATTCTTGAAGTGGAACACAAACATCACAAAGCAGTTTCTGAGAATGCTTCTGTTTAGTTTTTCTGTGAAGATGAACCCGTTTCCAACCAAATCTTCACAGAGGTCCACATATCCACTTGCAGAATCCAAAGAAAGAGAGTTTCAAAACTGCTCCATCAACAGGATTGTTCACCTCTGTGAGTTGAATGCAGTCATCACAGGAAACATTCTGAGAATGCTTCTGTCTAGGTTTGATGTGAAGATACACCCGTTTCGAAGGAAGGCCACAAAGTGGTCCAAATATCCACTTGCAGATTCTACAAAAAGAGTGTTTGAAAGCTGAACTAAGAAAGCAAGGTTCAACTCTGTGAGTTGAATGCAAACATCACAAAGAAGTTTCTCAGAATGCTTCCGTGTAGTTCTGGGAAGTTTATCCCGTTTCCAACGAAATCCTCAGAGAAGTCCAAATATCCACTTGCAGATTCTACAGAAAGTGTGTTTGGAAACTGCTCCATCTAAAGGAATGTTCAGCTCTGTTAGTTCAATCCAATGATCACTAAGAATTGTCTGTGAATGCTTCCGTTTGGTTTTTAGATGCAGTTATTTCCTTTACTACAGTAGGCCTCAAAGCAGTCCAAATCTCCAATCGCAGATTCTAGAAAAAGATTGTTTACAACCTGCTCTATCTATAGGAATGTTCAACTCTGTGAGTCAAATGCAATCATCACAAAGTAGTTTCTGAGAATGCTTCCATCTAGTTTTTATGTGAAGATTTTCCTTTTCCACCACAGGCCTCAAAGCCCTCCAAATGTCCACTTGCAGATTCTAGAATAAGAGGGTTTCAGAGCTGCTCTGTCAAGAGGAAAGTTCAATTCTTGAAGTGGAACACAAACATCACAAAGCAGTTTCTGAGAATGCTTCTGTTTAGTTTTTCTGTGAAGATGAACCCGTTTCCAACGAAATCTTCACAGAGGTCCACATATCCACTTGCAGAATCCAAAGAAAGAGAGTTTCAAAACTGCTCCATCAGCAGGATTGTTCACCTCTGTGAGTTGAATGCAGTCATCACAGGAAACATTCTGAGAATGCTTCTGTCTAGATTTGATGTGAAGATATACCCGTTTCGAAGGAAGGCCACAAAGTGGTCCAAATATCCACTTGCAGATTCTACAAAAAGAGGGTTTGAAAGCTGAACTATGAAAGCAAGGTTCAACTCTGTGAGTTGAAAGCAAACATCACAAAGAAGTTTCTCAGAATGCTTCCGTGTAGTTCTGGGAAGTTTATCCCGTTTCCAACGAAATCCTCAGAGAGGTCCAAATATCCACTTGCAGATTCTACAGAAAGTGTGTTTAGAAACTGCGCCATCTAAAGGAATGTTCAGCTCTGTTAGTTCAATGCAATGATCACTAAGAATTGTCTGTGAATGCTTCCGTTTGGTTTTTAGATGAAGTTATTTCCTTTACTACAGTAGGCCTCAAAGCAGTCCAAATCTCCAATCGCAGATTCTACAAAAAGATTGTTTACAACCTGCTCTATCTATAGGAATGTTCAACTCTGTGAGTCGAATGCAATCATAACAAAGTAGTTTCTGAGAATGCTTCCATCTAGTTTTTATGTGAAGATTTTCCTTTTCCACCACAGGCCTCAAAGCCCTCCAAATGTCCACTTGCAGATTCTAGAAAAAGAGGGTTTCAGAGCTGCTCTGTCAAGAGGAAAGTTCAATTCTTGAAGTGGAACACAAACATCACAAAGCAGTTTCTGAGAATGCTCCTGTTTAGTTTTTCTGTGCAGTTGAACCCGTTTCCAACGAAATCTTCACAGAGGTCCACATATCCACTTGCAGAATCCAAAGAAAGAGAGTTTTAAAACTGCTCCATCAACAGGATTGTTCACCTCTGTGAGTTGAATGCAGTCATCACAGGAAACATTCTGAGAATGCTTCTGTCTAGGTTTGATGTGAAGATATACCCGTTTCGAAGGAAGGCCACAAAGTGGTCCAAATATCCACTTGCAGATTCTACAAAAAGAGTGTTTGAAAGCTGAACTATGAAAGCAAGGTTCAACTCTGTGAGTTGAATGCAAACATCACAAAGAAGTTTCTCAGAATGCTTCCGTGTAGTTCTGGGAAGTTTATCCCGTTTCCAACGAAATCCTCAAAGATGTCCAAATATCCACTTGCAGATTCTACAGAAAGTGTGTTTGGAAAATGCTCCATCTAAAGGAATGTTCAGCTCTGTTAGTTCAATGCAATGATCACTAAGAATTGTCTGTGAATGCTTCCGTTTGGTTTTTAGATGAAGTTATTTCCTTTACTACAGTAGGCCTCAAAGCAGTCTAAATCTCCAATCGCAGATTCTACAAAAAGATTGTTTACAACCTGCTCTATCTATAGGAATGTTCAACTCTGTGAGTCGAATGCAATCATCACACAGTAGTTTCTGAGAATGCTTCCATCTAGTTTTTATGTGAAGATTTTCCTTTTCCACCACAGGCCTCAAAGCCCTCCAAATGTCCACTTGCAGATTCTAGAATAAGAGGGTTTCAGAGCTGCTCTGTCAAGAGGAAAGTTCAATTCTTGAAGTGGAACACAAACATCACAAAGCAGTTTCTGAGAATGCTCCTGTTTAGTTTTTCTGTGAAGATGAACCCGTTTCCAACGAAATCTTCACAGAGGTCCACATATCCACTTGCAGAATCCAAAGAAAGAGAGTTTCAAAACTGCTCCATCAGCAGGATTGTTCACCTCTGTGAGTTGAATGCAGTCATCACAGGAAACATTCTGAGAATGCTTCTGTCTAGGTTTGATGTGAAGATATACCCGTTTCGAAGGAAGGCCACAAAGTGGTCCAAATATCCACTTGCAGATTCTACAAAAAGAGTGTTTGAAAGCTGAACTATGAAACCAAGGTTCAACTCTGTGAGTTGAATGCAAACATCACAAAGAATTTTCTCACAATGCTTCCGTGTAGTTCTGGGAAGTTTATCCCGTTTCCAACGAAATCCTCAGAGAGGTCCAAATATCCACTTGCAGATTCTACAGAAAGTGTGTTTGGAAACTGCGCCATCTAAAGGAATGTTCAGCTCTGTTAGTTCAATGCAATGATCACTAAGAATTGTCTGTGAATGCTTCCGTTTGGTTTTTAGATGAAGTTATTTCCTTTACTGCAGTAGGCCTCAAAGCAGTCCAAATCTCCAATCGCAGATTCTACAAAAAGATTGTTTACAACCTGCTCTATCTATAGGAATGTTCAACTCTGTGAGTCGAATGCAATCATCACAAAGTAGTTTCTGAGAATGCTTCCATCTAGTTTTTATGTGAAGATTTTCCTTTTCCACCACAGGCCTCAAAGCCCTCCAAATGTCCACTTGCAGATTCTAGAAAAAGAGGGTTTCAGAGCTGCTCTGTCAAGAGGAAAGTTCAATTCTTGAAGTGGAACACAAACATCACAAAGCAGTTTCTGAGAATGCTCCTGTTTAGTTTTTCTGTGAAGATGAACCCGTTTCCAACGAAATCTTCACAGAGGTCCACATATCCACTTGCAGAATCCAAAGAAAGAGAGTTTCAAAACTGCTCCATCAGCAGGATTGTTCACCTCTGTGAGTTGAATGCAGTCATCACAGGAAACATTCTGAGAATGCTTCTGTCTAGGTTTGATGTGAAGATATACCCGTTTCGAAGGAAGGCCACAAAGTGGTCCAAATATCCACTTGCAGATTCTACAAAAAGAGTGTTTGAAAGCTGAACTATGAAAGCAAGGTTCAACTCTGTGAGTTGAATGCAAACATCACAAAGAAGTTTCTCAGAATGCTTCCGTGTAGTTCTGGGAAGTTTATCCCGTTTCCAACGAAATCCTCAGAGAAGTCCAAATATCCACTTGCAGATTCTACAGAAAGTGTGTTTGGAAACTGCGCCATCTAAAGGAATGTTCAGCTCTGTTAGTTCAATCCAATGATCACTAAGAATTGTCTGTGAATGCTTCCGTTTGGTTTTTAGATGAAGTTATTTCCTTTACTACAGTAGGCCTCAAAGCAGTCCAAATCTCCAATCGCAGATTCTACAAAAAGATTGTTTACAACCTGCTCTATCTATAGGAATGTTCAACTCTGTGAGTCGAATGCAATCATCACAAAGTAGTTTCTGAGAATGCTTCCATCTAGTTTTTATGTGAAGATTTTCCTTTTCCACCACAGGCCTCAAAGCCCTCCAAATGTCCACTTGCAGATTCTAGAAAAAGAGGGTTTCAGAGCTGCTCTGTCAAGAGGAAAGTTCAATTCTTGAAGTGGAACACAAACATCACAAAGCAGTTTCTGAGAATGCTTCTGTTTAGTTTTTCTGTGAAGATGAACCCGTTTCCAACGAAATCTTCACAGAGGTCCACATATCCACTTGCAGAATCCAAAGAAAGAGAGTTTCAAAACTGCTCCATCAGCAGGATTGTTCACCTCTGTGAGTTGAATGCAGTCATCACAGGAAACATTCTGAGAATGCTTCTGTCTAGGTTTGATGTGAAGATATACCCGTTTCGAAGGAAGGCCAGAAAGTGGTCCAAATATCCACTTGCAGATTCTACAAAAAGAGTGTTTGAAAGCTGAACTATGAAAGCAAGGTTCAACTCTGTGAGTTGAATGCAAACATCACAAAGAAGTTTCTCAGAATGCTTCCGTGTAGTTCTGGGAAGTTTATCCCGTTTCCAACGAAATCCTCAGAGAAGTCCAAATATCCACTTGCAGATTCTACAGAAAGTGGGTTTGGAAACTGCTCCATCTAAAGGAATGTTCAGCTCTGTTAGTTCAATCCAATGATCACTAAGAATTGTCTGTAAATGCTTCCGTTTGGTTTTTAGATGAAGTTATTTCCTTTACTACAGTAGGCCTCAAAGCAGTCCAAATCTCCAATCGCAGATTCTACAAAAAGATTGTTTACAACCTGCTCTATCTATAGGAATGTTCAACTCTGTGAGTCGAAAGCCATCATCACAAAGTAGTTTCTGAGAATGCTTCCATCTAGTTTTTATGTGAAGATTTTCCTTTTCCACCACAGGCCTCAAAGCCCTCCAAATGTCCACTTGCAGATTCTAGAATAAGAGGGTTTCAGAGCTGCTCTGTCAAGAGGAAAGTACAATTCTTGAAGTGGAACACAAACATCACAAAGCAGTTTCTGAGAATGCTTCTGTTTAGTTTTTCTGTGAAGATGAACCCGTTTCCAACGAAATCTTCACAGAGGTCGACATATCCACTTGCAGAATCCAAAGAAAGAGAGTTTCAAAACTGCTCCATCAGCAGGATTGTTCACCTCTGTGAGTTGAATGCAGTCATCACAGGAAACATTCTGAGAATGCTTCTGTCTAGGTTTGATGTGAAGATATACCCGTTTCGAAGGAAGGCCACAAAGTGGTCCAAATATCCACTTGCAGATTCTACAAAAAGAGTGTTTGAAAGCTGAACTATGAAAGCAAGGTTCAACTCTGTGAGTTGAATGCAAACATCACAAAGAAGTTTCTCACAATGCTTCCCTGTATTTCTGGGAAGCATATCCCTTTTCCAACGAAATCCTCAGAGAAGTCCAAATATCCACTTGCAGATTCTACAGAAAGTGGGTTTGGAAACTGCTCCATCTAAAGGAATGTTCAGCTCTGTTAGTTCAATCCAATGATCACTATGAATTTTCTGTGAATGCTTTCCGTTTGGTTTTTAGATGAAGTTATTTCCTTTACTACAGTAGGCCTCAAAGCAGTCCAAATCTCCAATCGCAGATTCTACAAAAAGATTGTTTACAACCTGCTCTATCTATAGGAATGTTCAACTCTGTGAGTCGAATGCAATCATCCCAAAGTAGTTTCTGAGAATGCTTCCATCTAGTTTTTATGTGAAGATTTTCCTTTTCCACCACAGGCCTCAAAGCCCTCCAAATGTCCACTTGCAGATTCTAGAAAAAGAGGTTTTCAGAGCTGCTCTGTCAAGAGGAAAGTTCAATTCTTGAAGTGGAACACAAACATCACAAAGCAGTTTCTGAGAATGCTCCTGTTTAGTTTTTCTGTGAAGATGAACCCGTTTCCAACGAAATCTTCACAGTAGGTCCACATATCCACTTGCAGAATCCAAAGAAAGAGAGTTTCAAAACTGCTCCATCAGCAGGATTGTTCACCTCTGTGAGTTGAATGCAGTCATCACAGGAAACATTCTGAGAATGCTTCTGTCTAGGTTTGATGTGAAGATATACCCGTTTCGAAGGAAGGCCACAAAGTGGTCCAAATATCCACTTGCAGATTCTACAAAAAGAGTGTTTGAAAGCTGAACTATGAAAGCAAGGTTCAACTCTGTGAGTTGAATGCAAACATCACAAAGAAGTTTCTCAGAATGCTTCCGTGTAGCTCTGGGAAGTTTATCCCGTTTCCAACGAAATCCTCAGAGAGGTCCAAATATCCACTTGCAGATTCTACAGAAAGTGTGTTTGGAAACTGCGCCATCTAAGGGAATGTTCAGCTCTGTTAGTTCAATCCAATGATCACTAAGAATTGTCTGTGAATGCTTCCGTTTGGTTTTTAGATGAAGTTATTTCCTTTACTACAGTAGGCCTCAAAGCAGTCCAAATCTCCAATCGCAGATTCTACAAAAAGATTGTTTACAACCTGCTCTATCTATAGGAATGTTCAACTCTGTGAGTCGAATGCAATCATCACAAAGTAATTTCTGAGAATGCTTCCATCTAGTTTTTATGTGAAGATTTTCCTTTTCCACCACAGGCCTCAAAGCCCTCCAAATGTCCACTTGCAGATTCTAGAAAAAGAGGGTTTCAGAGCTGCTCTGTCAAGAGGAAAGTTCAATTCTTGAAGTGGAACACAAACATCACAAAACAGATTCTGAGAATGCTTCTGTTTAGTTTTTCTGTGAAGATGAACCCGTTTCCAACCAAATCTTCACAGAGGTCCACATATCCACTTGCAGAATCCAAAGAAAGAGAGTTTCAAAACTGCTCCATCAACAGGATTGTTCACCTCTGTGAGTTGAATGCAGTCATCACAGGAAACATTCTGAGAATGCTTCTGTCTAGGTTTGATGTGAAGATATACCCGTGTCGAAGGAAGGCCACAAAGTGGTCCAAATATCCACTTGCAGATTCTACAAAAAGAGTGTTTGAAAGCTGAACTATGAAAGCAAGGTTCAACTCTGTGAGTTGAATGCAAACATCACAAAGAAGTTTCTCACAATGCTTCCGTGTAGTTCTGGGAAGTTTATCCCGTTTCCAACGAAATCCTCAGAGAAGTCCAAATATCCACTTGCAGATTCTACAGAAAGTGGGTTTGGAAACTGCTCCATCTAAAGGAATGTTCAGCTCTGTTAGTTCAATCCAATGATCACTAAGAATTGTCTGTGAATGCTTCCGTTTGGTTTTTAGATGAAGTTATTTCCTTTACTACAGTAGGCCTCAAAGCAGTCCAAATCTCCAATCGCAGATTCTACAAAAAGATTGTTTACAACCTGCTCTATCTATAGGAATGTTCAACTCTGTGAGTCCAATGCAATCATCACAAAGTGGTTTCTGAGAATGCTTCCATCTAGTTTTTATGTGAAGAGTTTCCTTTTCCACCACAGGCCTCAAAGCCCTCCAAATGTCCACTTGCAGATTCTAGAAAAAGAGGGTTTCAGAGCTGCTCTGTCAAGAGGAAAGTTCAATTCCTGAAGTGGAACACAAACATCACAAAGCAGTTTCTGAGAAGGCTCCTGTTTAGTTTTTCTGTGAAGATGAACCCGTTTCCAACGAAATCTTCACAGAGGTCCACATATCCACTTGCAGAATCCAAAGAAAGAGAGTTTCAAAACTGCTCCATCAGCAGGATTGTTCACCTCTGTGAGTTGAATGCAGTCATCACAGGAAACATTCTGAGAATGCTTCTGTCTAGGTTTGATGTGAAGATATACCCGTTTCGAAGGAAGGCCACAAAGTGGTCCAAATATCCACTTGCAGATTCTACAAAAAGAGTGTTTGAAAGCTGAACTATGAAACCAAGGTTCAACTCTGTGAGTTGAATGCAAACATCACAAAGAAGTTTCTCAGAATGCTTCCGTGTAGATCTGGGAAGTTTATCCCGTTTCCAACGAAATCCTCAGAGAGGTCCAAATATCCACTTGCAGATTCTACAGAAAGTGTGTTTGGAAACTGCGCCATCTAAAGGAATGTTCAGCTCTGTTAGTTCAATGCAATGATCACTAAGAATTGTCTGTGAATGCTTCCGTTTGGTTTTTAGATGAAGTTATTTCCTTTACTACAGTAGGCCTCAAAGCAGTCCAAATCTCCAATCGCAGATTCTACAAAAAGATTGTTTACAACCTGCTCTATGTATAGGAATGTTCAACTCTGTGAGTCGAATGCAATCATCACAAAGTAGTTTCTGAGAATGCTTCCATCTAGTTTTTATGTGAAGATTTTCCTTTTCCACCACAGGCCTCCAAGCCCTCCAAATGTCCACTTGCAGATTCTAGAAAAAGAGGGTTGCAGAGCTGCACTGTCAAGAGGAAAGTTCAATTCTTGAAGTGGAACACAAACATCACAAAGCAGTTTCTGAGAATGCTTCTGTTTAGTTTTTCTGTGAAGATGAACCCGTTTCCAACGAAATCTTCACAGAGGTCCACATATCCACTTGCAGAATCCAAAGAAAGAGAGTTTCAAAACTGCTCCATCAGCAGGATTGTTCACCTCTGTGAGTTGAATGCAGTCATCACAGGAAACATTCTGAGAATGCTTCTGTCTAGGTTTGATGTGAAGATATACCCGTTTCGAAGGAAGGCCACAAAGTGGTCCAAATATCCACTTGCAGATTCTACAAAAAGAGGGTTTGAAAGCTGAACTATGAAAGCAAGGTTCAACTCTGTGAGTTGAATGCAAACATCACAAAGAAGTTTCTCAGAATGCTTCCGTGTAGTTCTGGGAAGTTTATCCCGTTTCCAACGAAATCCTCAGAGAAGTCCAAATATCCACTTGCAGATTCTACAGAAAGTGTGTTTGGAAACTGCTCCATCTAAAGGAATGTTCAGCTCTGTTAGTTCAATCCAATGATCACTAAGAATTGTCTGTGAATGCTTCCGTTTGGTTTTTAGATGAAGTTATTTCCTTTACTACAGTAGGCCTCAAAGCAGTCCAAATCTCCAATCGCAGATTCTACAAAAACATTGTTTACAACCTGCTCTATCTATAGGAATGTTCAACTCTGTGAGTCGAATGCAATCATCACAAAGTAGTTTCTGAGAATGCTTCCATCTAGTTTTTATGTGAAGATTTTCCTTTTCCACCACAGGCCTCAAAGCCCTCCAAATGTCCACTTGCAGATTCTAGAAAAAGAGGGTTTCAGAGCTGCTCTGTCAAGAGGAAAGTTCAATTCTTGAAGTGGAACACAAACATCACAAAGTAGTTTCTGAGAATGCTTCTGTTTAGTTTTTTGTGAAGATGAACCCGTTTCCAACGAAATCTTCACAGAGGTCCACATATCCACTTGCAGAATCCAAAGAAAGAGAGTTTCAAAACTGCTCCATCAGCAGGATTGTTCACCTCTGTGAGTTGAATGCAGTCATCACAGGAAACATTCTGAGAATGCTTCTGTCTAGGTTTGATGTGAAGATATACCCGTTTCGAAGGAAGGCCACAAAGTGGTCCAAATATCCACTTGCAGATTCTACAAAAAGAGTGTTTGAAAGCTGAACTATGAAAGCAAGGTTCAACTCTGTGAGTTGAATGCAAACATCACAAAGAAGTTTCTCAGAATGCTTCCGTGTAGTTCTGGGAAGTTTATCCCGTTTCCAACGAAATCCTCAGAGAAGTCCAAATATCCACTTGCAGATTCTACAGAAAGTGTGTTTGGAAACTGCGCCATCTAAAGGAATGTTCAGCTCTGTTAGTTCAATGCAATGATCACTAAGAATTGTCTGTGAATGCTTCCGTTTGGTTTTTAGATGAAGTTATTTCCTTTACTACAGTAGGCCTCAAAGCAGTCCAAATCTCCAATCGCAGATTCTACAAAAAGATTGTTTACAACCTGCTCTATCTATAGGAATGTTCAACTCTGTGAGTCGAATGCAATCATCACAAAGTAGTTTCTGAGAATGCTTCCATCTAGTTTTTATGTGAAGATTTTCCTTTTCCACCACAGGCCTCAAAGCCCTCCAAATGTCCACTTGCAGATTCTAGAAAAAGAGGGTTTCAGAGCTGCTCTGTCAAGAGGAAAGTTCAATTCTTGAAGTGGAACACAAACATCACAAAGCAGTTTCTGAGAATGCTCCTGTTTAGCTTTTCTGTGAAGATGAACCCGTTTCCAATGAAATCTTCACAGAGGTCCACATATCCACTTGCAGAATCCAAAGAAAGAGAGTTTCAAAACTGCTCCAACAGCAGGATTGTTCACCTCTGTGAGTTGAATGCAGTCATCACAGGAAACATTCTGAGAATGCTTCTGTCTAGGTTTGATGTGAAGATATACCCGTTTCGAAGGAAGGCCACAAAGTGGTCCAAATATCCACTTGCAGATTCTACAAAAAGAGTGTTTGAAAGCTGAACTATGAAAGCAAGGTTCAACTCTGTGAGTTGAATGCAAACATCACAAAGAAGTTTCTCACAATGCTTCCGTGTAGTTCTGGGAAGTTTATCCCGTTTCCAACGAAATCCTCAGAGAAGTCCAAATATCCACTTGCAGATTCTACAGAAAGTGTCTTTGGAAACTGCTCCATCTAAAGGAATGTTCAGCTCTGTTAGTTCAATCCAATGATCACTAAGAATTGTCTGTGAATGCTTCCGTTTGGTTTTTAGATGAAGTTATTTCCTTTACTACAGTAGGCCTCAAAGCAGTCCAAATCTCCAATCGCAGATTCTACAAAAAGATTGTTTACAACCTCCTCTATCTATAGGAATGTTCAACTCTGTGAGTCGAATGCAATCATCACAAAGTAGTTTCTGAGAATGCTTCCATCTAGTTTTTATGTGAAGATTTTCCTTTTCCACCACAGGCCTCAAAGCCCTCCAAATGTCCACTTGCAGATTCTAGAATAAGAGGGTTTCAGAGCTGCTCTGTCAAGAGGAAAGTTCAATTCCTGAAGTGGAACACAAACATCACAAAGCAGTTTCTGAGAATGTTTCTTTTTAGTTTTTCTGTGAAGATGAACCCGTTTCCAACGAAATCTTCACAGAGGTCCACATATCCACTTGCAGAATCCAAAGAAAGAGAGTTTCAAAACTGCTCCATCAGCAGGATTGTTCACCTCTGTGAGTTGAATGCAGTCATCACAGGAAACATTCTGAGAATGCTTCTGTCTAGGTTTGATGTGAAGATATACCCGTTTCGAAGGAAGGCCACAAAGTGGTCCAAACATCCACTTGCAGATTCTACAAAAAGAGTGTTTGAAAGCTGAACTATGAAAGCAAGGTTCAACTCTGTGAGTTGAATGCAAACATCACAAAGAAGTTTCTCAGCATGCTTCCGTGTAGTTCTGGGAAGTTTATCCCGTTTCCAACGAAATCCTCAGAGAGGTCCAAATATCCACTTGCAGATTCTACAGAAAGTGTGTTTGGAAACTGCGCCATCTAAAGGAATGTTCAGCTCTGTTAGTTCAATCCAATGATCACTAAGAATTGTCTCTGAATGCTTCCGTTTGGTTTTCAAATGAAGTTATTTCCTTTTCTACAGTAGGCCTCAAAGCAGTCCAAATCTCCAATCGCAGATTCTACAAAAAGATTGTTTACAACCTGCTCTATCTATAGGAATGTTCAACTCTGTGAGTCGAATGCAATCATCACAAAGTAGTTTCTGAGAATGCTTCCATCTAGTTTTTATGTGAAGATTTTCCTTTTCCACCACAGGCCTCAAAGCCCTCCAAATGTCCACTTGCAGATTCTAGAAAAAGAGGGTTTCATAGCTGCTCTGTCAAGAGGAAAGTTCAATTCCTGAAGTGGAACACAAACATCACAAAGCAGTTTCTGAGAATGCTTCTGTTTAGTTTTTCTGTGAAGATGAACCCGTTTCCAACGAAATCTTCACAGAGGTCCACATATCCAGCTGCAGAATCCAAAGAAAGAGAGTTTCAAAACTGCTCCATCAGCCGGATTGCTCACCTCTGTGAGTTGAATGCAGTCATCACAGGAAACATTCTGAGAATGCTTCTGTCTAGGTTTGATGTGAAGATATACCCGTTTCGAAGGAAGGCCACAAAGTGGTTCAAATATCCACTTGCAGATTCTACAAAAAGAGTGTTTGAAAGCTGAACTATGAAAGCAAGGTTCAACTCTGTGAGTTGAATGCAAACATCACAAAGAAGTTTCTCAGAATGCTTCCGTGTAGTTCTGGGAAGTTTAGCCCGTTTCCAACGAAATCCTCAGAGAGGTCCAAATATCCACTTGCAGATTCTACAGAAAGTGTGTTTGGAAACTGCTCCATCTAAAGGAATGTTCAGCTCTGTTAGTTCAATCCAATGATCACTAAGAATTTTCTGTGAATGCCTCCGTTTGGTTTTTAGATGAAGTTATTTCCTTTACTACAGTAGGCCTCAAAGCAGTCCAAATCTCCAATCGCAGATTCTACAAAAAGATTGTTTACAACCTGCTCTATCTATAGGAATGTTCAACTCTGTGAGTCGAATGCAATCATCACAAAGTAGTTTCTGAGAATGCTTCCATCTAGTTTTTATGTGAAGATTTTCCTTTTCCACCACAGGCCTCAAAGCCCTCCAAATGTCCACTTGCAGATTCTAGAAAAAGAGGGTTTCAGAGCTGCTCTGTCAAGAGGAAAGTTCAATTCCTGAAGTGGAACACAAACATCACAAAGCAGTTTCTGAGAATGCTCCTGTTTAGTTTTTCTGTGAAGATGAACCCTTTTCCAACGAAATCTTCACAGAGGTCCACATATCCACTTGCAGAATCCAAAGAAAGAGAGTTTCAAAACTGCTCCATCAGCAGGATTGTTCACCTCTGTGAGTTGAATGCAGTCATCACAGGAAACATTCTGAGAATGCTTCTGTCTAGGTTTGATGTGAAGATATACCCGTTTCGAAGGAAGGCCACAAAGTGGTCCAAATATCCACTTGCAGATTCTACAAAAAGAGTGTTTGAAAGCTGAACTATGAAAGCAAGGTTCAACTCTGTGAGTTGAATGCAAACATCACAAAGAAGTTTCTCAGAATGCTTCCGTGTAGTTCTGGGAAGCTTATCCCGTTTCCAACGAAATCCTCAGAGAGGTCCAAATATCCACTTGCAGATTCTACAGAAAGTGTGTTTGGAAACTGTGCCATCTAAAGGAATGTTCAGCTCTGTTAGTTCAATCCAATGATCACTAAGAATTGTCTGTGAATGCTTCCGTTTGGTTTTTAGATGAAGTTATTTCCTTTACTACAGTAGGCCTCAAAGCAGTCCAAATCTCCAATCGCAGATTCTACAAAAAGATTGTTTACAACCTGCTCTATCTATAGGAATGTTCAACTCTGTGAGTCGAATGCAATCATCACAAAGTAGTTTCTGAGAATGCTTCCATCTAGTTTTTATGTGAAGATTTTCCTTTTCCACCACAGGCCTCAAAGCCCTCCAAATGTCCACTTGCAGATTCTAGAAAAAGAGGGTTTCAGAGCTGCTCTGTCAAGAGGAAAGTTCAATTCTTGAAGTGGAACACAAACATCACAAAGCAGTTTCTGAGAATGCTTCTGTTTAGTTTTTCTGTGAAGATGAACCCGTTTCCAACGAAATCTTCACAGAGGTCCACATATCCACTTGCAGAATCCAAAGAAAGAGAGTTTCAAAACTGCTCCATCAACAGGATTGTTCACCTCTGTGAGTTGAATGCAGTCATCACAGGAAACATTCTGAGAATGCTTCTGTCTAGGTTTGATGTGAAGATATACCCGTTTCGAAGGAAGGCCACAAAGTGGTCCAAATATCCACTTGCAGATTCTACAAAAAGAGTGTTTGAAAGCTGAACTATGAAAGCAAGGTTCAACTCTGTGAGTTGAATGCAAACATCACAAAGAAGTTTCTCAGAATGCTTCCGTGTAGTTCTGGGAAGTTTATCCCGTTTCCAACGAAATCCTCAGAGAGGTCCAAATATCCACTTGCAGATTCTACAGAAAGTGTGTTTGGAAACTACGCCATCTAAAGGAATGTTCAGCTCTGTTAGATCAATGCAATGATCACTAAGAATTGTCTGTGAATGCTTCCGTTTGGTTTTTAGATGAAGTTATTTCCTTTACTACAGTAGGCCTCAAAGCAGTCCAAATCTCCAATCGCAGATTCTACAAAAAGATTGTTTACAACCTGCTCTATCTATAGGAATGTTCAACTCTGTGAGTCGAATGCAATCATCACAAAGTAGTTTCTGAGAATGCTTCCATCTAGTTTTTATGTGAAGATTTTCCTTTTGCACCACAGGCCTCAAAGCCCTCCAAATGTCCACTTGCAGATTCTAGAAAAAGAGGGTTTCAGAGCTGCTCTGTCAAGAGGAAAGTTCAATTCTTGAAGTGGAACACAAACATCACAAAGCAGTTTCTGAGAATGCTCCTGTTTAGTTTTTCTGTGAAGATGAACCCGTTTCCAACGAAATCTTCACAGAGGTCCACATATCCACTTGCAGAATCCAAAGAAAGAGAGTTTCAAAACTGCTCCATCAGCAGGATTGTTCACCTCTGTGAGTTGAATGCAGTCATCACAGGAAACATTCTGAGAATGCTTCTGTCTAGGTTTGATGTGAAGATATACCCGTTTCGAAGGAAGGCCACAAAGTGGTCCAAATATCCACTTGCAGATTCTACAAAAAGAGTGTTTGAAAGCTGAACTATGAAAGCAAGGTTCAACTCTGTGTGTTGAATGCAAACATCAGAAAGATGATTCTCACAATGCTTCCGTGTAGTTCTGGGAAGTTTATCCCGTTTCCAACGAAATCCTCAGAGAAGTCCAAATATCCACTTGCAGATTCTACAGAAAGTGTGTTTGGAAACTGCTCCATCTCAAGGAATGTTCAGCTCTGTTAGTTCAATCCAATGATCACTAAGAATTGTCTGTGAATGCTTCCGTTTGGTTTTTAGATGAAGTTATTTCCTTTACTACAGTAGGCCTCAAAGCAGTCCAAATCTCCAATCACAGATTCTACAAAAAGATTGTTTACAACCTGCTCTATCTATAGGAATGTTCAACTATGTGAGTCGAATGCAATCATCACAAAGTAGTTTCTGAGAATGCTTCCATCTAGTTTTTATGTGAAGATTTTCCTTTTCCACCACAGGCCTCAAAGCCCTCCAAATGTCCACTTGCAGATTCTAGAAAAAGAGGGTTTCAGAGCTGCTCTGTCAAGAGGAAAGTTCAATTCTTGAAGTGGAACAGAAACATCACAAAGCAGTTTCTGGGAATGCTCCTGTTAATTTTTCTGTGAAGATGAACCCGTTTCCAACGAAATCTTCACAGAGGTCCACATATCCACTTGCAGAATCCAAAGAAAGAGAGTTTCAAAACTGCTCCATCAGCAGGATTGTTCACCTCTGTGAGTTGAATGCAGTCATCACAGGAAACATTCTGAGAATGCTTCTGTCTAGGTTTGATGTGAACATATACCCGTTTCGAAGGAAGGCCACAAAGTGGTCCAAATATCCACTTGCAGATTCTACAAAAAGAGTGTTTGAAAGCTGAACTATGAAAGCAAGGTTCAACTCTGTGAGTTGAATGCAAACATGACAAAGAAGTTTCTCAGAATGCTTCCGTGTAGTTCTGGGAAGTTTATCCCGTTTCCAACGAAATCCTCAGAGAGGTCCAAATATCCACTTGCAGATTCTACAGAAAGTGTGTTTGGAAACTGCGCCATCTAAAGGAATGTTCAGCTCTGTTAGTTCAATGCAATGATCACTAAGAATTGTATGTGAATGCTTCCATTTGGTTTTTAGATGAAGTTATTTCCTTTACTACAGTAGGCCTCAAAGCAGTCCAAATCTCCAATCGCAGATTCTACAAAAAGATTGTTTACAACCTGCTCTATCTATAGGAATGTTCAACTCTGTGAGTCGAATGCAATCATCACAAAGTAGTTTCTGAGAATGCTTCCATCTAGTTTTTATGTGAAGATTTTCCTTTTCCACCACAGGCCTCAAAGCCCTCCAAATGTCCACTTGCAGATTCTAGAATAAGAGGATTTCAGAGCTGCTCTGTCAAGAGGAAAGTTCAATTCCTGAAGTGGAACACAAACATCACAAAGCAGTTTCTGAGAATGCTTCTGTTTAGTTTTTCTGTGAAGATGAACCCGTTTCCAACGAAATCTTCACAGAGGTCCACATATCCACTTGCAGAATCCAAAGAAAGAGAGTTTCAAAACTGCTCCATCAGCAGGATTGTTCACCTCTGTGAGTTGAATGCAGTCATCACAGGAAACATTCTGAGAATGCTTCTGTCTAGGTTTGATGTGAAGATATACCCGTTTCGAAGGAAGGCCACAAAGTGGTCCAAATATCCACTTGCAGATTCTACAAAAAGAGTGTTTGAAAGCTGAACTATGAAAGCAAGGTTCAACTCTGTGAGTTGAATGCAAACATCACAAAGAAGTTTCTCAGAATGCTTCCGTGTAGTTCTGGGAAGTTTATCCCGTTTCCAACGAAATCCTCAGAGAAGTCCAAATATCCACTTGCAGATTCTACAGAAAGTGTGTTTGGAAACTGCTCCATCTAAAGGAATGTTCAGCTCTGTTAGTTCAATCCAATGATCACTAAGAATTGTCTGTGAATGCTTCCGTTTGGTTTTTAGATGAAGTTATTTCCTTTACTACAGTAGGCCTCAAAGCAGTCCAAATCTCCAATCGCAGATTCTACAAAAAGATTGTTTACAACCTGCTCTATCTATAGGAATGTTCAACTCTGTGAGTCGAATGCAATCATCACAAAGTAGTTTCTGAGAATGCTTCCATCTAGTTTTTATGTGAAGATTTTCCTTTTCCACCACAGGCCTCAAAGCCCTCCAAATGTCCACTTGCAGATTCTAGAATAAGAGGGTTTCAGAGCTGCTCTGTCAAGAGGAAAGTTCAATTCCTGAAGTGGAACACAAACATCACAAAGCAGTTTCTGAGAATGCTTCTGTTTAGTTTTTCTGTGAAGATGAACCCGTTTCCAACGAAATCTTCACAGAGGTCCACATATCCACTTGCAGAATCCAAAGAAAGAGAGTTTCAAAACTGCTCCATCAGCAGGATTGTTCACCTCTGTGAGTTGAATGCAGTCATCACAGGAAACATTCTGAGAATGCTTCTGTCTAGGTTTGATGTGAAGATATACCCGTTTCGAAGGAAGGCCACAAAGTGGTCCAAATATCCACTTGCAGATTCTACAAAAAGAGTGTTTGAAAGCTGAACTATGAAAGCAAGGTTCAACTCTGTGAGTTGAATGCAAACATCACAAAGAAGTTTCTCAGAATGCTTCCGTGTAGTTCTGAGAAGTTTATCCCGTTTGCAACGAAATCCTCAGAGAGGTCCAAATATCCACTTGCAGATTCTACAGAAAGTGTGTTTGGAAACTACGCCATCTAAAGGAATGTTCAGCTCTGTTAGATCAATGCAATGATCACTAAGAATTGTCTGTGAATGCTTCCGTTTGGTTTTTAGATGAAGTTATTTCCTTTACTACAGTAGGCCTCAAAGCAGTCCAAATCTCCAATCGCAGATTCTACAAAAAGATTGTTTACAACCTGCTCTATCTATAGGAATGTTCAACTCTGTGAGTCGAATGCAATCATCACAAAGTAGTTTCTGAGAATGCTTCCATCTAGTTTTTATGTGAAGATTTTCCTTTTCCACCACAGGCCTCAAAGCCCTCCAAATGTCCACTTGCAGATTCTAGAAAAAGAGGGTTTCAGAGCTGCTCTGTCAAGAGGAAAGTTCAATTCTTGAAGTGGAACACAAACATCACAAAGCAGTTTCTGAGAATGCTCCTGTTTAGTTTTTCTGTGAAGATGAACCCGTTTCCAACGAAATCTTCACAGAGGTCCACATATCCACTTGCAGAATCCAAAGAAAGAGAGTTTCAAAACTGCTCCATCAGCAGGATTGTTCACCTCTGTGAGTTGAATGCAGTCATCACAGGAAACATTCTGAGAATGCTTCTGTCTAGGTTTGATGTGAAGATATACCCGTTTCGAAGGAAGGCCACAAAGTGTTCCAAATATCCACTTGCAGATTCTACAAAAAGAGTGTTTGAAAGCTGAACTATGAAAGCAAGGTTCAACTCTGTGAGTTGAATGCAAACATCACAAAGAAGTTTCTCACAATGCTTCCGTGTAGTTCTGGGAAGTTTATCCCGTTTCCAACGAAATCCTCAGAGAGGTCCAAATATCCACTTGCAGATTCTACAGAAAGTGTGTTTGGAAACTGCGCCATCTAAAGGAATGTTCAGCTCTGTTAGTTCAATGCAATGATCACTAAGAATTGTCTGTGAATGCTTCCGTTTCGTTTTTAGATGAAGTTATTTCCTTTTCTACAGTAGGCCTCAAAGCAGTCCAAATCTCCAATCGCAGATTGTACAAAAAGATTGTTTACAACCTGCTCTATCTATAGGAATGTTCAACTCTGTGAGTCGAATGCAATCATCACAAAGTAGTTTCTGAGAATGCTTCCATCTAGTTTTTATGTGAAGATTTTCCTTTTCCACCACAGGCCTCAAAGCCCTCCAAATGTCCACTTGCAGATTCTAGAAAAAGAGGGTTTCAGAGCTGCTCTGTCAAGAGGAAAGTTCAATTCTTGAAGTGGAACACAAACATCACAAAGCAGTTTCTGAGAATGCTCCTGTTTAGTTTTTCTGTGAAGATGAACTCGTTTCCAACGAAATCTTCACACAGGTCCACATATCCACTTGCAGAATCCAAAGAAAGAGAGTTTCAAAACTGCTCCAACAGCAGGATTGTTCACCTCTGTGAGTTGAATGCAGTCATCACAGGAAACATTCTGAGAATGCTTCTGTCTAGGTTTGATGTGAAGATATACCCGTTTCGAAGGAAGGCCACAAAGTGGTCCAAATATCCACTTGCAGATTCTACAAAAAGAGTGTTTGAAAGCTGAACTATGAAAGCAAGGTTCAACTCTGTGAGTTGAATGCAAACATCACAAAGAAGTTTCTCACAATGCTTCCGTGTAGTTCTGGGAAGTTTATCCCGTTTCCAACGAAATCCTCAGAGAAGTCCAAATATCCACTTGCAGATTCTACAGAAAGTGGGTTTGGAAACTGCTTCATCTAAAGGAATGTTCAGCTCTGTTAGTTCAAACCAATGATCACTAAGTATTGTCTGTGAATGCTTCCGTTTGGTTTTTAGATGAAGTTATTTCCTTTACTACAGTAGGCCTCAAAGCAGTCCAAATCTCCAATCGCAGATTCTACAAAAAGATTGTTTACAACCTGCTCTATCTATAGGAATGTTCAACTCTGTGAGTCGAATGCAATCATCACAAAGTAGTTTCTGAGAATGCTTCCATCTAGTTTTTATGTGAAGATTTTCCTTTTCCACCACAGGCCTCAAAGCCCTCCAAATGTCCACTTGCAGATTCTAGAATAAGAGGGTTTCAGAGCTGCTCTGTCAAGAGGAAAGTTCAATTCCTGAAGTGGAACACAAACATCACAAAGCAGTTTCCGAGAATGCTCCTGTTTAGTTTTTCTGTGAAGATGAACCCATTTCCAACGAAATCTTCACAGAGGTCCACATATCCACTTGCAGAATCCAAAGAAAGAGAGTTTCAAAACTGCTCCAACAGCAGGATTGTTCACCTCTGTGACTTGAATGCAGTCATCACAGGAAACATTCTGAGAATGCTTCTGTCTAGGTTTGATGTGAAGATATACCCGTTTCGAAGGAAGGCCACAAAGTGGTCCAAATATCCACTTGCAGATTCTACAAAAAGAGTGTTTGAAAGCTGAACTATGAAAGCAAGGTTCAACTCTGTGAGTTGAATGCAAACATCACAAAGAAGTTTCTCACAATGCTTCCGTGTAGTTCTGGGAAGTTTATCCTTTTCCAACGAAATCCTCAGAGAAGTCCAAATATGCACTTGCAGATTCTACAGAAAGTGTGTTTGGAAACTGCGCCATCTAAAGGAATGTTCAGCTCTGTTAGTTCAATGCAATGATCACTAAGAATTGTCTGTGAATGCTTCCGTTTGGTTTTTAGATGAAGTTATTTCCTTTACTACAGTAGGCCTCAAAGCAGTCGAAATCTCCAATCGCAGATTCTACAAAAAGATTGTTTACAACCTGCTCTATCTATAGGAATGTTCAACTCTGTGAGTCGAATGCAATCATCAAAAAGTAGTTTCTGAGAATGCTTCCATCTAGTTTTTATGTGAAGATTTTCCTTTTCCACCACAGGCCTCAAAGCCCTCCAAATGTCCACTTGCAGATTCTAGAATAAGAGGGTTTCAGAGCTGCTCTGTCAAGAGGAAAGTTCAATTCCTGAAGTGGAACACAAACATCACAAAGCAGTTTCTGAGAATGCTCCTGTTTAGTTTTTCTGTGAAGATGAACCCGTTTCCAACGAAATCTTCACAGAGGTCCACATATCAACTTGCAGAATCCAAAGAAAGAGAGTTTCAAAAGTGCTCCATCAACAGGATTGTTCACCTCTGTGAGTTGAATGCAGTCATCACAGGAAACATTCTGAGAATGCTTCTGTCTAGGTTTGATGTGAAGATATACCCGTTTCGAAGGAAGGCCACAAAGTGGTCCAAATATCCACTTGCAGATTCTACAAAAAGAGTGTTTGAAAGCTGAACTATGAAAGCAAGGTTCAACTCTGTGAGTTGAATGCAAACATCACAAAGAAGTTTCTCAGCATGCTTCCGTGTAGTTCTGGGAAGTTTATCCCGTTTCCAACGAAATCCTCAGAGAAGTCCAAATATCCACTTGCAGATTCTACAGAAAGTGTGTTTGGAAACTGCTCCATCTAAAGGAATGTTCAGCTCTGTTAGTTCAATGCAATGATCACTAAGAATTGTCTGTGAATGCTTCCGTTTGGTTTTTAGATGAAGTTATTTCCTTTACTACAGTAGGCCTCAAAGCAGTCCAAATCTCCAATCGCAGATTCTACAAAAAGATTGTTTACAACCTGCTCTATCTATAGGAATGTTCAACTCTGTGAGTCGAAAGCCATCATCACAAAGTAGTTTCTGAGAATGCTTCCATCTAGTTTTTATGGGAAGATTTTCCTTTTCCACCACAGGCCTCAAAGCCCTCCAAATGTCCACTTGCAGATTCTAGAAAAAGAGGGTTTCAGAGCTGCTCTGTCAAGAGGAAAGTTCAATTCTTGAAGTGGAACACAAACATCACAAAGCAGTTTCTGAGAATGCTCCTGTTTAGTTTTTCTGTGAAGATGAACCCGTTTCCAACGAAATCTTCACAGAGGTCCACATATCCACTTGCAGAATCCAAAGAAAGAGAGTTTCAAAACTGCTCCATCAGCAGGATTGTTCACCTCTGTGAGTTGAATGCAGTCATCACAGGAAACATTCTGAGAATGCTTCTGTCTAGGTTTGATGTGAAGATATACCCGTTTCGAAGGAAGGCCACAAAGTGGTCCAAATATACACTTGCAGATTCTACAAAAAGAGTGTTTGAAAGCTGAACTATGAAAGCAAGGTTCAACTCTTTGAGTTGAATGCAAACATCACAAAGAAGTTTCTCAGAATGCTTCCGTGTAGTTCTGGGAAGTTTATCCCGTTTCCAACGAAATCCTCAGAGAGGTCCAAATATCCACTTGCAGATTCTACAGAAAGTGTGTTTGGAAACTGCGCCATCTAAAGGAATGTTCAGCTCTGTTAGTTCAATGCAATGATCACTAAGAATTGTCTGTGAATGCTTCCGTTTGGTTTTTAGATGAAGTTATTTCCTTTTCTACAGTAGGCCTCAAAGCAGTCCAAATCTCCAATCGCAGATTCTACAAAAAGATTGTTTACAACCTGCTCTATCTATAGGAATGTTCAACTCTGTGAGTCGAATGCAATCATCACAAAGTAGTTTCTGAGAATGCTTCCATCTAGTTTTTATGTGAAGATTTTCCTTTTCCACCACAGGCCTCAAAGCCCTCCAAATGTCCACTTGCAGATTCTAGAAAAAGAGGGTTTCAGAGCTGCTCTGTCAAGAGGAAAGTTCAATTCTTGAAGTGGAACACAAACATCACAAAGCAGTTTCTGAGAATGCTCCTGTTTAGTTTTTCTGTGAAGATGAACCCGTTTCCAACGAAATCTTCACAGAGGTCCACATATCCACTTGCAGAATCCAAAGAAAGAGAGTTTCAAAACTGCTCCATCAGCAGGATTGTTCACCTCTGTGAGTTGAATGCAGTCATCACAGGAAACATTCTGAGAATGCTTCTGTCTAGGTTTGATGTGAAGATATACCCGTTTCGAAGGAAGGCCCCAAAGTGGTCCAAATATCCACTTGCAGATTCTACAAAAAGAGTGTTTGAAAGCTGAACTATGAAAGCAAGGTTCAACTCTCTGAGTTGAATGCAAACATCTCAAAGAAGTTTCTCAGAATGCTTCCGTGTAGTTCTGGGAAGTTTATCCCGTTTCCAACGAAATCCTCAGAGAGGTCCAAATATCCACTTGCAGATTCTACAGAAAGTGTGTTTGGAAACTGCTCCATCTAAAGGAATGTTCAGCTCTGTTAGTTCAATCCAATGATCACTAAGAATTGTCTGTGAATGCTTCCGTTTGGTTTTTAGATGAAGTTATTTCCTTTACTACAGTAGGCCTCAAAGCAGTCCAAATCTCCAATCGCAGATTCTACAAAAAGTTTGTTTACATCCTGCTCTATCTATAGGAATGTTCAACTCTGTGAGTCGAATGCAATCATCACAAAGTAGTTTCTGAGAATGCTTCCATCTAGTTTTATGTGAAGATTTTCCTTTTCCACCACAGGCCTCAAAGCCCTCCAAATGTCCACTTGCAGATTCTAGAAAAAGAGGGTTTCAGAGCTGCTCTGTCAAGAGGAAAGTTCAATTCTTGAAGTGGAACACAAACATCACAAAGCAGTTTCTGAGAATGCTCCTGTTTAGTTTTTCTGTGAAGATGAACCCGTTTCCAACGAAATCTTCACAGAGGTCCACATATCCACTTGCAGAATCCAAAGAAAGAGAGTTTCAAAACTGCTCCATCAGCAGGATTGTTCACCTCTGTGAGTTGAATGCAGTCATCACAGGAAACATTCTGAGAATGCTTCTGTCTAGGTTTGATGTGAAGATATACCCGTTTCGAAGGAAGGCGACAAAGTGGTCCAAATATCCACTTGCAGCTTCTACAAAAAGAGTGTTTGAAAGCTGAACTATGAAAGCAAGGTTCAACTCTGTGAGTTGAATGCAAACATCACAAAGAAGTTTCTCAGAATGCTTCCGTGTAGTTCTGGGAAGTTTATCCCATTTCCAACGAAATCCTCAGAGAGGTCCAAATATCCTGTTGCAGATTCTACAGAAAGTGTGTTTGGAAACTGTGCCATCGAAAGGAATGTTCAGCTCTGTTAGTTCAATCCAATGATCACTAAGAATTGTCTGTGAATGCTTCCGTTTGGTTTTTAGATGAAGTTATTTCCTTTACTACAGTAGGCCTCAAAGCAGTCCAAATCTCCAATCGCAGATTCTACAAAAACATTGTTTACAACCTGCTCTATCTATAGGAATGTTCAACTCTGTGAGTCGAATGCAATCATCACAAAGTAGTTTCTGAGAATGCTTCCATCTAGTTTTTATGTGAAGATTTTCCTTTTCCACCACAGGCCTCAAAGCCCTCCAAATGTCCACTTGCAGATTCTAGAAAAAGAGGGTTTCAGAGCTGCTCTGTCAAGAGGAAAGTTCAATTCTTGAAGTGGAACACAAACATCACAAAGCAGTTTCTGAGAATGCTTCTGTTTAGTTTTTCTGTGAAGATGAACCCGTTTCCAACGAAATCTTCACAGAGGTCCACATATCCACTTGCAGAATCCAAAGAAAGAGAGTTTCAAAACTGCTCCATCAGCAGGATTGTTCACCTCTGTGAGTTGAATGCAGTCATCACAGGAAACATTCTGAGAATGCTTCTGTCTAGGTTTGATGTGAAGATATACCCGTTTCGAAGGAAGGCCACAAAGTGGTCCAAATATCCACTTGCAGATTCTACAAAAAGAGTGTTTGAAAGCTGAACTATGAAAGCAAGGTTCAACTCTGTGAGTTGAATGCAAACATCACAAAGAAGTTTCTCAGAATGCTTCCGTGTAGTTCTGGGAAGTTTATCCCGTTTCCAACGAAATCCTCAGAGAGGTCCAAATATCCACTTGCAGATTCTACAGAAAGTGGGTTTGGAAACTGCGCCATCTAAAGGAATGTTCAGCTCTGTTAGTTCAATGCAATGATCACTAAGAATTGTCTGTGAATGCTTCCGTTTGGTTTTTAGATGAAGTTATTTCCTTTACTACAGTAGGCCTCAAAGCAGTCCAAATCTCCAATCGCAGATTCTACAAAAAGATTGTTTACAACCTGCTCTATCTATAGGAATGTTCAACTCTGTGAGTCGAATGCAATCATCACAAAGTAGTTTCTGAGAATGCTTCCATCTAGTTTTTATGTGAAGATTTTCCTTTTCCACCACAGGCCTCAAAGCCCTCCAAATGTCCACTTGCAGATTCTAGAAAAAGAGGGTTTCAGGGCTGCTCTATCAAGAGGAAAGTTCAATTCCTGAAGTGGAACACAAACATCACAAAGCAGTTTCTGAGAATGCTCCTGTTTAGTTTTTATGTGAAGATGAACCCGTTTCCAACGAAATCTTCACAGAGGTCCACATATCCACTTGCAGAATCCAAAGAAAGAGAGTTTCAAAACTGCTCCATCAGCAGGATTGTTCACCTCTGTGAGTTGAATGCAGTCATCACAGGAAACATTCTGAGAATGCTTCTGTCTAGGTTTGATGTGAAGATATACCCGTTTCGAAGGAAGGCCACAAAGTGGTCCAAATATCCACTTTCTGTAGATTCTACAAAAAGAGTGTTTGAAAGCTGAACTATGAAAGCAAGGTTCAACTCTGTGAGTTGAATGCAAACATCACAAAGAAGTTTCTCAGAATGCTTCCGTGTAGTTCTGGGAAGTTTATCCCGTTTCCAACGAAATCCTCAGAGAAGTCCAAATATCCACTTGCAGATTCTACAGAAAGTGTGTTTGGAAACTGCTCCATCTAAAGGAATGTTCAGCTCTGTTAGTTCAATGCAATGATCACTAAGAATTGTCTGTGAATGCTTCCGTTTGGTTTTTAGATGAAGTTATTTCCTTTACTACAGTAGGCCTCAAAGCAGTCCAAATCTCCAATCGCAGATTCTACAAAAAGATTGTTTACAACCTGCTCTATCTATAGGAATGTTCAACTCTGTGAGTCGAATGCAATCATCACAAAGTAGTTTCTGAGAATGCTTCCATCTAGTTTTTATGTGAAGATTTTCCTTTTCCACCACAGGCCTCAAAGCCCTCCAAATGTCCACTTGCAGATTCTAGAATAAGAGGATTTCAGAGCTGCTCTGTCAAGAGGAAAGTTCAATTCCTGAAGTGGAACACAAACATCACAAAGCAGTTTCTGAGAATGCTTCTGTTTAGTTTTTCTGTGAAGATGAACCCGTTTCCAACGAAATCTTCACAGAGGTCCACATATCCACTTGCAGAATCCAAAGAAAGAGAGTTTCAAAACTGCTCCATCAGCAGCATTGTTCACCTCTGTGAGTTGAATGCAGTCATCACAGGAAACATTCTGAGAATGCTTCTGTCTAGGTTTGATGTGAAGATATACCCGTTTCGAAGGAAGGCCACAAAGTGGTCCAAATATCCACTTGCAGATTCTACAAAAGGAGTGTTTGAAAGCTGAACTATGAAAGCAAGGTTCAACTCTGTGAGTTGAATGCAAACATCACAAAGAAGTTTCTCACAATGCTTCCGTGTAGTTCTGGGAAGTTTATCCCGTTTCCAACGAAATCCTCAGAGAAGTCCAAATATCCACTTGCAGATTCTACAGAAAGTGTGTTTGGAAACTGCTCCATCTAAAGGAATGTTCAGCTCTGTTAGTTCAATCCAATGATCACTAAGAATTGTCTGTGAATGCTTCCGTTTGGTTTTTAGATGAAGTTATTTCCTTTACTACAGTAGGCCTCAAAGCAGTCCAAATCTCCAATCGCAGATTCTACAAAAAGATTGTTTACAACCTGCTCTATCTTTAGGAATGTTCAACTCTGTGAGTCGAATGCAATCATCACAAAGTAGTTTCTGAGAATGCTTCCATCTAGTTTTTATGTGAAGATTTTCCTTTTCCACCACAGGCCTCAAAGCCCTCCAAATGTCCACTTGCAGATTCTAGAATAAGAGGATTTCAGAGCTGCTCTGTCAAGAGGAAAGTTCAATTCCTGAAGTGGAACACAAACATCACAAAGCAGTTTCTGAGAATGCTTCTGTTTAGTTTTTCTGTGAAGATGAACCCGTTTCCAACGAAATCTTCACAGAGGTCCACATATCCACTTGCAGAATCCAAAGAAAGAGAGTTTCAAAACTGCTCCATCAACAGGATTGTTCACCTCTGTGAGTTGAATGCAGTCATCACAGGAAACATTCTGAGAATGCTTCTGTCTAGGTTTGATGTGAAGATATACCCGTTTCGAAGGAAGGCCACAAAGTGGTCCAAATATCCACTTGCAGATTCTACAAAAAGAGTGTTTGAAAGCTGAACTAAGAAAGCAAGGTTCAACTCTGTGAGTTGAATGCAAACATCACAAAGAAGTTTCTCAGAATGCTTCCGTGAAGTTCTGGGAAGTTTATCCCGTTTCCAACGAAATCCTCAGAGAAGTCCAAATATCCACTTGCAGATTCTACAGAAAGTGTGTTTGGAAACTGCTCCATCTAAAGGAATGTTCAGCTCTGTTAGTTCAATCCAATGATCACTAAGAATTGTCTGTGAATGCTTCCGTTTGGTTTTTAGATGAAGTTATTTCCTTTACTACAGTAGGCCTCAAAGCAGTCCAAATCTCCAATCGCAGATTCTACAAAAAGATTGTTTACAACCTGCTCTATCTATAGGAATGTTCAACTCTGTGAGTCGAATGCAATCATCACAAAGTAGTTTCTGAGAATGCTTCCATCTAGTTTTTATGTGAAGATTTTCCTTTTCCACCACAGGCTTCAAAGCCCTCCAAATGTCCACTTGCAGATTCTAGAAAAAGAGGGTTTCAGAGCTGCTCTGTCAAGAGGAAAGTTCAATTCTTGAAGTGGAACACAAATATCACAAAGCAGTTTCTGAGAATACTTCTGTTTAGTTTTTCTGTGAAGATGAACCCGTTTCCAACGAAATCTTCACAGAGGTCCACATATCAACTTGCAGAATCCAAAGAAAGAGAGTTTCAAAACTGCTCCATCAACAGGATTGTTCACCTCTGTGAGTTGAATGCAGTCATCACAGGAAACATTCTGAGAATGCTTCTGTCTAGGTTTGATGTGAAGATATACCCGTTTCGAAGGAAGGCCACAAAGTGGTCCAAATATCCACTTGCAGATTCTACAAAAAGAGTGTTTGAAAGCTGAACTATGAAAGCAAGGTTCAACTCTGTGAGTTGAATGCAAACATCACAAAGAAGTTTCTCACAATGCTTCCGTGTAGTTCTGGGAAGTTTATCCCGTTTCCAAAGATATCCTCAGGAGAGGTCCAAATATCCACTTGCAGATTCTACAGAAAGTGGGTTTGGAAACTGCGCCATATAAAGGAATGTTCAGCTCTGTTAGTTCAATGCAATGATCACTAAGAATTGTCTGTGAATGCTTCCGTTTGGTTTTTAGATGAAGTTATTTCCTTTACTACAGTAGGCCTCAAAGCAGTCCAAATCTCCAATCGCAGATTCTACAAAAAGATTGTTTACAACCTGCTCTATCTATAGGAATGTTCAACTCTGTGAGTCGAATGCAATCATCACAAAGTAGTTTCTGAGAATGCTTCCATCTAGTTTTTATGTGAAGATTTTCCTTTTCCACCACAGGCCTCAAAGCCCTCCAAATGTCCACTTGCAGATTCTAGAATAAGAGGGTTTCAGAGCTGCTCTGTCAAGAGGAAAGTTCAATTCCTGAAGTGGAACACAAACATCACAAAGCAGTTTCTGAGAATGCTTCTGTTTAGTTTTTCTGTGAAGATGAACCCGTTTCCAACGAAATCTTCACAGAGGTCCACATATCCACTTGCAGAATCCAAAGAAAGAGAGTTTCAAAACTGCTCCGTCAGCAGGATTGTTCACCTCTGTGAGTTGAATGCAGTCATCACAGGAAACATTCTGAGAATGCTTCTGTCTAGGTTTGATGTGAAGATATACCCGTTTCGAAGGAAGGCCACAAAGTGGTCCAAATATCCACTTGCAGATTCTACAAAAAGAGTGTTTGAAAGCTGAACTATGAAAGCAAGGTTCAACTCTGTGAGTTGAATGCAAACATCACAAAGAAGTTTCTCAGAATGCTTCCCCGTAGTTCTGGGAAGTTTATGCCGTTTCCAACGAAATCCTCAGAGAAGTCCAAATATCCACTTGCAGATTCTACAGAAAGTGTGTTTGGAAACTGCTCCATCTAAAGGAATGTTCAGCTCTGTTAGTTCAATCCAATGATCACTAAGAATTGTCTGTGAATGCTTCCGTTTGGTTTTTAGATGAAGTTATTTCCTTTACTACAGTAGGCCTCAAAGCAGTCCAAATCTCCAATCGCAGATTCTACAAAAAGATTGTTTACAACCTGCTCTATCTATAGGAATGTTCAACTCTGTGAGTCGAATGCAATCATCACAAAGTAGTTTCTGAGAATGCTTCCATCTAGTTTTTATGTGAAGATTTTCCTTTACCACCACAGGCCTCAAAGCCCTCCAAATGTCCACTTGCAGATTCTAGAAAAAGAGGGTTTCAGAGCTGCTCTGTCAAGAGGAAAGTTCAATTCCTGAAGTGGAACACAAACATCACAAAGCAGTTTCTGAGAATGCTTCTGTTTAGTTTTTCTGTGAAGATGAACCCGTTTCCAACGAAATCTTCACAGAGGTCCACATATCCACTTGCAGAATCCAAAGAAAGAGAGTTTCAAAACTGCTCCATCAGCAGGATTGTTCACCTCTGTGAGTTGAATGCAGTCATCACAGGAAACATTCTGAGAATGCTTCTGTCTAGGTTTGATGTGAAGATATACCCGTTTGGAAGGAAGGCCACAAAGTGGTCCAAATATCCACTTGCAGATTCTACAAAAAGAGTGTTTGAAAGCTGAACTATGAAAGCAAGTTTCAACTCTGTGAGTTGAATGCAAACATCACAAAGAAGTTTCTCAGAATGCTTCCGTGTAGTTCTGGGAAGTTTATCCCGTTTCCAACGAAATCCTCAGAGAAGTCCAAATATCCACTTGCAGATTCTACAGAAAGTGTGTTTGGAAACTGCGCCATCTAAAGGAATGTTCAGCTCTGTTAGTTCAATGCAATGATCACTAAGAATTGTCTGTGAATGCTTCCGTTCGGTTTTTAGATGAAGTTATTTCCTTTACTACAGTAGGCCTCAAAGCAGTCCAAATCTCCAATCGCAGATTCTACAAAAAGATTGTTTACAACCTGCTCTATCTATAGGAATGTTCAACTCTGTGAGTCGAATGCAATCATCACAAAGTAGTTTCTGAGAATGCTTCCATCTAGTTTTTATGTGAAGATTTTCCTTTTCCACCACAGGCCTCAAAGCCCTCCAAATGTCCACTTGCAGATTCTAGAAAAAGAGGGTTTCAGAGCTGCTCTGTCAAGAGGAAAGTTCAATTCTTGAAGTGGAACACAAACATCACAAAGCAGTTTCTGAGAATGCTCCTGTTTAGTTTTTCTGTGAAGATGAACCCGTTTCCAATGAAATCTTCACAGAGGTCCACATATCCACTTGCAGAATCCAAAGAAAGAGAGTTTCAAAACTGCTCCATCAACAGGATTGTTCACCTCTGTGAGTTGAATGCAGTCATCACAGGAAACATTCTGAGAATGCTTCTGTCTAGGTTTGATGTGAAGATATACCCGTTTCGAAGGAAGGCCACAAAGTGGTCCAAATATCCACTAGCAGATTCTACAAAAAGAGTGTTTGAAAGCTGAACTATGAAAGCAAGGTTCAACTCTGTGAGTTGAATGCAAACATCACAAAGAAGTTTCTCAGAATGCTTCCCGTGTAGTTCTGGGAATTTTATCCCGTTTCCAACGAAATCCTCAGAGAAGTCCAAATATCCACTTGCAGATTCTACAGAAAGTGTGTTTGGAAACTGCGCCATCTAAAGGAATGTTCAGCTCTGTTAGTTCAATCCAATGATCACTAAGAATTGTCTGTGAATGCTTCCGTTTGGTTTTTAGATGAAGTTATTTCCTTTACTACAGTAGGCCTCAAAGCAGTCCAAATCTCCAATCGCAGATTCTACAAAAAGATTGTTTACAACCTGCTCTATCTATAGGAATGTTCAACTCTGTGAGTCGAATGCAATCATCACAAAGTAGTTTCTGAGAATGCTTCCATCTAGTTTGTATGTGAAGATTTTCCTTTTCCACCACAGGCCTCAAAGCCCTCCAAATGTCCACTTGCAGACTCTAGAAAAAGAGGGTTTCAGAGCTACTATGTCAAGAGGAAAGTTCAATTCTTGAAGTGGAACACAAACATCACAAAGCAGTTTCTGAGAATGCTACTGTTTAGTTTTTCTTTGAAGATGAAACCGTTTCCAACGAAATCTTCAAATAGGTCCACATATCCACTTTCAGATTCCAGAGAAAGAGAGATTCAAAACTGCTCCATCAGCAGGATTGTTCACCTCTGTGCGTTGAATGCAGTAATCACAGGAAACATTGTGAGAATGCTTCTGTCTAGGTTTGATGTGAAGATATACCAGTTTCGAAGGAAGGCCACAAAGTGGTCCAAATATCCACTTGCAGTTTCTACAAAAAGAGTGTTTGAAAGCTGAACTATGAAAGCAAGGTTCAACTCTGTGAGTTGAATGCAACATCACAAAGTAGTTTCTGAGAATGCTTCTGTGTAGTTCTGGGAATTTATCCCTTTTCCAACGAAATCCTCAGAGAAGTCCCAATATCCACTTGCATATTCTACAGAAAGTGTGTTGGGAAACTGCGCCATCTAAAGGAATGTTCAGCTCTCTTAGTTCAATCCAATGATCACAAAGTATTGTCTGTGAATGCTTCCGCTTGGTTTTTCGATGAAGTTATTTCCTTTACTACAGTAGGCCTCAAAGAAGTCCAAATCTCCAATCGCAGATTCTACAGAAAGATTGTTTACAACCTGCTCTATCTATAGGAATTTTCAACTCTATGAGTCGAATGCAATCATCACAAAGTAGTTTCTGAGAATGCTTCCATCTAGTTTTTATGTGAAGATTTTCCTTTTCCACCACAGGCCTCAAAGCCCTCCAAATGTCCACTTGCAGATTCTAGAAAAAGAGGGTTTCAGAGCTGCTCTGTCAAGAGGAAAGTTCAATTCCTGAAGTGGAAAGCAAACATCACAAAGCAGTTTCTGAGAATGCTTCTGTTTAGTTTTTCTGTGAAGATGAACCCGTTTCCAACGAAATCTTCACAGAGGTCCACATATCCACTTGCAGAATCCAAAGAAAGAGAGTTTCAAAACTGCTCCATCAGCAGGATTGTTCACCTCTGTGAGTTGAATGCAGTCATCACAGGAAACATTCTGAGAATGCTTCTGTCTAGGTTTGATGTGAAGATATACCCGTTTCGAAGGAAGGCCACAAAGTGGTCCAAATATCCACTTGCAGATTCTACAAAAAGAGTGTTTGAAAGCTGAACTATGAAAGCAAGGTTCAACTCTGTGAGTTGAATGCAAACATCACAAAGAAGTTTCTCAGAATGCTTCCGTGTAGTTCTGGGAATTTTATCCCGTTTCCAACGAAATCCTCAGAGAGGTCCAAATATCCACTTGCAGATTCTACAGAAAGTGTGTTTGGAAACTGCGCCATCTAAAGGAATGTTCAGCTCTGTTAGTTCAATGCAATGATCACTAAGAATTGTCTGTGAATGCTTCCGTTTGGTTTTTAGATGAAGTTATTTCCTTTACTACAGTAGGCCTCAAAGCAGTCCAAATCTCCAATCGCAGATTCTTCAAAAAGATTGTTTACAACCTGCTCTATCTATAGGAATGTTCAACTCTGTGAGTCGAATGCAATCATCACAAAGTAGTTTCTGAGAATGCTTCCATCTAGTTTTTATGTGAAGATTTTCCTTTTCCACCACAGGCCTCAAAGCCCTCCAAATGTCCACTTGCAGATTCTAGAATAAGAGGGTTTCAGAGCTGCTCTGTCAAGAGGAAAGTTCAATTCCTGAAGTGGAACACAAACATCACAAAGCAGTTTCCGAGAATGCTTCTGTTTAGTTTTTCTGTGAAGATGAACCCGTTTCCAACGAAATCTTCACAGAGGTCCACATATCAACTTGCAGAATCCAAAGAAAGAGAGTTTCAAAAGTGCTCCATCAACAGGATTGTTCACCTCTGTGAGTTGAATGCAGTCATCACAGGAAACATTCTGAGAATGCTTCTGTCTAGGTTTGATGTGAAGATATACCCGTTTCGAAGGAAGGCCACAAAGTGGTCCAAATATCCACTTGCAGATTCTACAAAAAGAGTGTTTGAAAGCTGAACTATGAAAACAAGGTTCAACTCTGTGAGTTGAATGCAAACATCACAAAGAAGTTTCTCAGAATGCTTCCGTGTAGTTCTGGGAAGTTTATCCCGTTTCCAACGAAATCCTCAGAGAGGTCCAAATATCCACTTGCAGATTCTACAGAAAGTGTGTTTGGAAACTGCTCCATCTAAAGGAATGTTCAGCTCTGTTAGTTCAATCCAATGATCACTAAGAATTGTCTGTGAATGCTTCCGTTTGGTTTTTAGATGAAGTTATTTCCTTTACTACAGTAGGCCTCAAAGCAGTCCAAATCTCCAATCGCAGATTCTACAAAAAGATTGTTTACAACCTGCTCTATCTATAGGAATGTTCAACTCTGTGAGTCGAATGCAATCATCACAAAGTAGTTTCTGAGAATGCTTCCATCTAGTTTTTATGTGAAGATTTTCCTTTTCCACCACAGGCCTCAAAGCCCTCCAAATGTCCACTTGCAGATTCTAGAAAAAGAGGGTTTCAGAGCTGCTCTGTCAAGAGGAAAGTTCAATTCTTGAAGTGGAACAGAAACATCACAAAGCAGTTTCTGGGAATGCTTCTGTTTATTTTTTCTGTGAAGATGAACCCGTTTCCAACGAAATCTTCACAGAGGTCCACATATCCACTTGCAGAATCCAAAGAAAGAGAGTTTCAAAACTGCTCCATCAGCAGGATTGTTCACCTCTGTGAGTTGAATGCAGTCATCACAGGAAACATTCTGAGAATGCTTCTGTCTAGGTTTGATGTGAAGATATACCCGTTTCGAAGGAAGGCCACAAAGTGGTCCAAATATCCACTTGCAGATTCTACAAAAAGAGTGTTTGAAAGCTGAACTATGAAAGCAAGGTTCAACTCTGTGAGTTGAATGCAAACATCACAAAGAAGTTTCTCACAATGCTTCCGTGTAGTTCTGGGAAGTTTATCCCGTTTCCAACGAAATCCTCAGAGAAGTCCAAATATCCACTTGCAGATTCTACAGAAAGTGTGTTTGGAAACTGCTCCATCTAAAGGAATGTTCAGCTCTGTTAGTTCAATCCAATGATCACTAAGAATTGTCTGTGAATGCTTCCGTTTGGTTTTTAGATGTAGTTATTTCCTTTACTACAGTTGGCCTCAAAGCAGTCCAAATCTCCAATCGCAGATTCTAGAAAAAGATTGTTTACAACCTGCTCTATCTATAGGAATGTTCAACTCTGTGAGTCGAATGCAATCATCACAAAGTAGTTTCTGAGAATGCTTCCATAAAGTTTTTATGTGAAGATTTTCCTTTTCCACCACAGGCCTCAAAGCCCTCCAAATGTCCACTTGCAGATTCTAGAAAAAGAGGGTTTCAGAGCTGCTCTGTCAAGAGGAAAGTTCAATTCTTTAAGTGGAACACAAACATCACAAAGCAGTTTCTGAGAATGCTCCTGTTTAGTTTTTCTGTGAAGATGAACCCGTTTCCAACGAAATCTTCACAGAGGTCCACATATCCACTTGCAGAATCCAAAGAAAGAGAGTTTCAAAACTGCTCCATCAGCAGGATTGTTCACCTCTGTGAGTTGAATGCAGTCATCACAGGAAACATTCTGAGAATGCTTCTGTCTAGGTTTGATGTGAAGATATACCCGTTTCGAAGGAAGGCCACAAAGTGGTCCAAATATACACTTGCAGATTCTACAAAAAGAGTGTTTGAAAGCTGAACTATGAAAGCAAGGTTAAACTCTGTGAGTTGAATGCAAACATCACAAAGAAGTTTCTCAGAATGCTTCCGTGTAGTTCTGGGAAGTTTATCCCGTTTCCAACGAAATCCTCAGAGAGGTCCAAATATCCACTTGCAGATTCTACAGAAAGTGTGTTTGGAAACTGCGCCATCTAAAGGAATGTTCAGCTCTGTTAGTTCAATGCAATGATCACTAAGAATTGTCTGTGAATGCTTCCGTTTGGTTTTTAGATGAAGTTATTTCCTTTACTACAGTAGGCCTCAAAGCAGTCCAAATCTCCAATCGCAGATTCTACAAAAACATTGTTTACAACCTGCTCTATCTATAGGAATGTTCAACTCTGTGAGTCGAATGCAATCATCACAAAGTAGTTTCTGAGAATGCTTCCATCTAGTTTTTATGTGAAGATTTTCCTTTTCCACCACAGGCCTCAAAGCCCTCCAAATGTCCACTTGCAGATTCTAGAAAAAGAGGGTTTCAGAGCTGCTCTGTCAAGAGGAAAGTTCAATTCTTGAAGTGGAACACAAACATCACAAAGTAGTTTCTGAGAATGCTTCTGTTTAGTTTTTCTGTGAAGATGAACCCGTTTCCAACGAAATCTTCACAGAGGTCCACATATCCACTTGCAGAATCCAAAGAAAGAGAGTTTCAAAACTGCTCCATCAGCAGGATTGTTCACCTCTGTGAGTTGAATGCAGTCATCACAGGAAACATTCTGAGAATGCTTCTGTCTAGGTTTGATGTGAAGATATACCCGTTTCGAAGGAAGGCCACAAAGTGGTCCAAATATCCACTTGCAGATTCTACAAAAAGAGTGTTTGAAAGCTGAACTATGAAAGCAAGGTTCAACTCTGTGAGTTGAATGCAAACATCACAAAGAAGTTTCTCACAATGCTTCCGTGTAGTTCTGGGCAGTTTATCCCGTTTCCAACGAAATCCTCAGAGAAGTCCAAATATCCACTTGCAGATTCTACAGAACGTGTGTTTGGAAACTGCTCCATCTAAAGGAATGTTCAGCTCTGTTAGTTCAATCCAATGATCACTAAGAATTGTCTGTGAATGCTTCCGTTTGGTTTTTAGATGAAGTTATTTCCTTTACTACAGTAGGCCTCAAAGCAGTCCAAATCTCCAATCGCAGATTCTACAAAAAGATTGTTTACAACCTGCTCTATCTATAGGAATGTTCAACTCTGTGAGTCGAATGCAATCATCACAAAGTAGTTTCTGAGAATGCTTCCATCTAGTTTTTATGTGAAGATTTTCCTTTTCCACCACAGGCCTCAAAGCCCTCCAAATGTCCACTTGCAGATTCTAGAAAAAGAGGGTTTCAGAGCTGCTCTGTCAAGAGGAAAGTTCAATTCTTGAAGTGGAACACAAACATCACAAAGCAGTTTCTGAGAATGTTTCTGTTTAGTTTTTCTGTGAAGATGAACCCGTTTCCAACGAAATCTTCACAGAGGTCCACATATCCACTTGCAGAATCCAAAGAAAGAGAGTTTCAAAACTGCTCCATCAGCAGGATTGTTCACCTCTGTGAGTTGAATGCAGTCATCACAGGAAACATTCTGAGAATGCTTCTGTCTAGGTTTGATGTGAAGATATACCCGTTTCGAAGGAAGGCCACAAAGTGGTCCAAATATCCACTTGCAGATTCTACAAAAAGAGTGTTTGAAAGCTGAACTATGAAAGCAAGGTTCAACTCTGTGAGTTGAATGCAAACATCACAAAGAAGTTTCTCACAATGCTTCCGTGTAGTTCTGGGAAGTTTATCCCTTTTCCAACGAAATCCTCAGAGAAGTCCAAATATCCACTTGCAGATTCTACAGAAAGTGTGTTTGGAAACTGCTCCATCTAAAGGAATGTTCAGCTCTGTTAGTTCAATGCAATGATCACTAAGAATTGTCTGTGAATGCTTCCGTTTGGTTTTTAGATGAAGTTATTTCCTTTACTACAGTAGGCCTCAAAGCAGTCCAAATCTCCTATGGCAGATTCTACAAAAAGATTGTTTACAACCTGCTCTATCTATAAGAATGTTCAACTCTTTGAGTCGAATGCAATCATCACAAAGTAGTTTCTGAGAATTCTTCCATCTAGTTTTTATGTGAAGATTTTCCTTTTCCACCACAGGCCTCAAAGCCCTCCAAATGTCCACTTGCAGATTCTAGAAAAAGAGGGTTTCAGAGCTGCTCTGTCAAGAGGAAAGTTCAATTCCTGAAGTGGAACACAAACATCACAAAGCAGTTTCTGAGAATGCTTCTGTTTAGTTTTTCTGTGAAGATGAACCCGTTTCCAACGAAATCTTCACAGAGGTCCACATATCCACTTGCAGAATCCAAAGAAAGAGAGTTTCAAAACTGCTCCATCAGCAGGATTGTTCACCTCTGTGAGTTGAATGCAGTCATCACAGGAAACATTCTGAGAATGCTTCTGTCTAGGTTTGATGTGAAGATATACCCGTTTCGAAGGAAGGCCACAAAGTGGTCCAAATATCCACTTGCAGATTCTACAAAAAGAGGGTTTGAAAGCTGAACTATGAAAGCAAGGTTCAACTCTGTGAGTTGAATGCAAACATCACAAAGAAGTTTCTCAGAATGCTTCCGTGTAGTTCTGGGAAGTTTATCCCGTTTCCAACGAAATCCTCAGAGAGGTCCAAATATCCACTTGCAGATTCTACAGAAAGTGTGTTTGGAAACTGCGCCATCTAAAGGAATGTTCAGCTCTGTTAGTTCAATGCAATGATCACTAAGAATTGTCTGTGAATGCTTCCGTTTGGTTTTTAGATGAAGTTATTTCCTTTACTACAGTAGGCCTCAAAGCAGTCCAAATCTCCAATCGCAGATTCTACAAAAAGATTGTTTACAACCTGCTCTATCTATAGGAATGTTCAACTCTCTGAGTCGAATGCAATCATCACAAAGTAGTTTCTGAGAATGCTTCCATTTAGTTTTTATGTGAAGAGTTTCCTTTTCCACCACAGGCCTCAAAGCCCTCCAAATGTCCACTTGCAGATTCTAGAAAAAGAGGGTTTCAGAGCTGCTCTGTCAAGAGAAAAGTTCAATTCTTGAAGTGGAACACAAACATCACAAAGCAGTTTCCGAGAATGCTTCTGTTTAGTTTTTCTGTGAAGATGAACCCGTTTCCAACGAAATCTTCACAGAGGTCCACATATCCACTTGCAGAATCCAAAGAAAGAGAGTTTCAAAACTGCTCCATCAGCAGGATTGTTCACCTCTGTGAGTTGAATGCAGTCATCACAGGAAACATTCTGAGAATGCTTCTGTCTAGGTTTGATGTGAAGATATACCCGTTTCGAAGGAAGGCCAAAAATGGTCCAAATATCCACTTGCAGATTCTACAAAAAGAGTGTTTGAAAGCTGAACTATGAAAGCAAGGTTCAACTCTGTGAGTTAAATGCAAACATCACAAAGAAGTTTCTCACAATGCTTCCGTGTAGTTCTGGGAAGTTTATCCCGTTTCCAACGAAATCCTCAGAGAGGTCCAAATATCCACTTGCAGATTCTACAGAAAACGTGTTTGGAAACTGCGCCATCTAAGGGAATGTTCAGCTCTGTTAGTTCAATCCAATGATCACTAAGAATTTTCTGTGAATGCTTCCGTTTGGTTTTTAGATGAAGTTATTTCCTTTACTACAGTAGGCCTCAAAGCAGTCCAAATCTCCAATCGCAGATTCTACAAAAAGATTGTTTACAACCTGCTCTATCTATAGGAATGTTCAACTCTGTGAGTCGAATGCAATCATCACAAAGGAGTTTCTGAGAATGCTTCCATCTAGTTTTTATGGGAAGATTTTCCTTTTCCACCACAGGCCTCAAAGCCCTCCAAATGTCCACTTGCAGATTCTAGAAAAAGAGGGTTTCAGAGCTGCTCTGTCAAGAGGAAAGTTCAATTCTTGAAGTGGAACACAAACATCACAAAGCAGTTTCTGAGAATGCTCCTGTTTAGTTTTTCTGTGAAGATGAACAGGTTTCCAACGAAATCTTCACAGAGGTCCACATATCCACTTGCAGAATCCAAAGAAAGAGAGTTTCAAAACTGCTCCATCAGCAGGATTGTTCACCTCTGTGAGTTGAATGCAGTCATCACAGGAAACATTCTGAGAATGCTTCTGTCTAGGTTTGATGTGAAGATATACCCGTTTCGAAGGAAGGCCACAAAGTGGTCCAAATATCCACTTGCAGATTCTACAAAAAGAGTGTTTGAAAGCTGAACTATGAAAGCAAGGTTCAAATCTGTGAGTTGAATGCAAACATCACAAAGAAGTTTCTCACAATGCTTCCGTGTAGTTCTGGGAAGTTTATCCCGTTTCCAACGAAATCCTCAGAGAAGTCCAAATATCCACTTGCAGATTCTACAGAAAGTGGGTTTGGAAACTGCTCCATCTAAAGGAATGTTCAGCTCTGTTAGTTCAATCCAATGATCACTAAGAATTGTCTGTGAATGCTTCCGTTTGGTTTTTAGATGAAGTTATTTCCTTTACTACAGTAGGCCTCAAAGCAGTCCAAATCTCCAATCGCAGATTCTACAAAAAGATTGTTTACAACCTGCTCTATCTATAGGAATGTTCAACTCTGTGAGTCGAATGCAATCATCACAAAGTAGTTTCTGAGAATGCTTCCATCTAGTTTTTATGTGAAGATTTTCCTTTTCCACCACAGGCCTCAAAGCCCTCCAAATGTCCACTTGCAGATTCTAGAAAAAGAGGGTTTCAGAGCTGCTCTGTCAAGAGGAAAGTTCAATTCTTGAAATGGAACACAAACATCACAAAGCAGTTTCTGAGAATGCTCCTGTTTAGTTTTTCTGTGAAGATGAACCCGTTTCCAACGAAATCTTCACAGAGGTCCACATATCCACTTGCAGAATCCAAAGAAAGAGAGTTTCAAAACTGCTCCATCAGCAGGATTGTTCACCTCTGTGAGTTGAATGCAGTCATCACAGGAAACATTCTGAGAATGCTTCTGTCTAGGTTTGATGTGAAGATATACCCGTTTCGAAGGAAGGCCACAAAGTGGTCCAAATATCCACTTGCAGATTCTACAAAAAGAGTGTTTGAAAGCTGAACTATGAAAGCAAGGTTCAACCCTGTGAGTTGAATGCAAACATCACAAAGAAGTTTCTCAGAAAGCTTCCGTGTAGTTCTGGGAAGTTTATCCCGTTTCCAACGAAATCCTCAGAGAGGTCCAAATATCCACTTGCAGATTCTACAGAAAGTGTGTTTGGAAACTGCTCCATCTAAAGGAATGTTCAGCTCTGTTAGTTCAATCCAATGATCACTAAGAATTGTCTGTGAATGCTTCCGTTTGGTTTTTAGATGAAGTTATTTCCTTTACTACAGTAGGCCTCAAAGCAGTCCAAATCTCCAATCGCAGATTCTACAAAAAGATTGTTTACAACCTGCTCTATCTATAGGAATGTTCAACTCTGTGAGTCGAATGCAATCATCACAAAGTAGTTTCTGAGAATGCTTCCATCTAGTTTTTATGTGAAGATTTTCCTTTTCCACCACAGGCCTCAAAGCCCTCCAAATGTCCACTTGCAGATTCTAGAAAAAGAGGGTTTCAGAGCTGCTCTGTCAAGAGGAAAGTTCAATTCTTGAAGTGGAACACAAACATCACAAAGCAGTTTCTGAGAATGCTTCTGTTTAGTTTTTCTGTGAAGATGAACCCGTTTCCAACGAAATCTTCACAGAGGTCCACATATCCACTTGCAGAATCCAAAGAAAGAGAGTTTCAAAACTGCTCCAACAGCAGGATTGTTCACCTCTGTGAGTTGAATGCAGTCATCACAGGAAACATTCTGAGAATGCTTCTGTCTAGGTTTGATGTGAAGATATACCCGTTTCGAAGGAAGGCCACAAAGTGGTCCAAATATCCACTTGCAGATTCTACAAAAAGAGTGTTTGAAAGCTGAACTATGAAAGCAAGGTTCAACTCTGTGAGTTGAATGCAAACATCACAAAGAAGTTTCTCACAATGCTTCCGTGTAGTTCTGGGAAGTTTATCCCGTTTCCAACGAAATCCTCAGAGAGGTCCAAATATCCACTTGCAGATTCTACAGAAAGTGTGTTTGGAAACTGCGCCATCTAAAGGAATGTTCAGCTCTGTTAGTTCAATGCAATGATCACTAAGAATTGTCTGTGAATGCTTCCGTTTGGTTTTTAGATGAAGTTATTTCCTTTACTACAGTAGGCCTCAAAGCAGTCCAAATCTCCAATCGCAGATTCTACAAAAAGATTGTTTACAACCTGCTCTATCTATAGGAATGTTCAACTCTGTGAGTCGAATGCAATCATCACAAAGTAGTTTCTGAGAATGCTTCCATCTAGTTTTTATGTGAAGATTTTCCTTTTGCACCACAGGCCTCAAAGCCCTCCAAATGTCCACTTGCAGATTCCAGAAAAGGAGGGTTTCTGAGCTGCTCTGTCAAGAGGAAAGTTCAATTCTTGATGTGGAACACAAACATCACAAAGCAGTTTCTGAGAATGCTCCTGTTTAGTTTTTCTGTGAAGATGAACCCGTTTCCAACGAAATCTTCACAGAGGTCCACATATCCACTTGCAGAATCCAAAGAAAGAGAGTTTCAAAACTGCTCCATCAGCAGGATTGTTCACCTCTGTGAGTTGAATGCAGTCATCACAGGAAACATTCTGAGAATGCTTCTGTCTAGGTTTGATGTGAAGATATACCCGTTTCGAAGGAAGGCCACAAAGTGGTCCAAATATCCACTTGCAGATTCTACAAAAAGAGTGTTTGAAAGCTGAACTATGAAAGCAAGGTTCAACTCTGTGAGTTGAATGCAAACATCACAAAGAAGTTTCTCAGAATGCTTCCGTGTAGTTCTGGGAAGTTTATCCCGTTTCCAACGAAATCCTCAGAGAGGTCCAAATATCCACTTGCAGATTCTACAGAAAGTGTGTTTGGAAACTGCTCCATCTAAAGGAATGTTCAGCTCTGTTAGTTCAATGCAATGATCACTAAGAATTGTCTGTGAATGCTTCCGTTTGGTTTTTAGATGAAGTTATTTCCTTTACTACAGTAGGCCTCAAAGCAGTCGAAATCTCCAATCGCAGATTCTACAAAAAGATTGTTTACAACCTGCTCTATCTATGGGAATGTTCAACTCTGTGATTCGAATGCAATCATGACAAAGGAGTTTGTGAGAATGCTTCCATCTAGTTTTTATGTGAAGATTTTCCTTTTCCACCACAGGCCTCAAAGCCCTCCAAATGTCCACTTGCAGATTCTAGAAAAAGAGGGTTTCAGAGCTGCTCTGTCAAGAGGAAAGTTCAATTCTTGAAGTGGAACACAAACATCACAAAGCAGTTTCTGAGAATGCTCCTGTTTAGTTTTTCTGTGAAGATGAACCCGTTTCCAACGAAATCTTCACAGAGGTCCACATATCCACTTGCAGAATCCAAAGAAAGAGAGTTTCAAAACTGCTCCATCAGCAGGATTGTTCACCTCTGTGAGTTGAATGCAGTCATCACAGGAAACATTCTGAGAATGCTTCTGTCTAGGTTTGATGTGAAGATATACCCGTTTCGAAGGAAGGCCACAAAGTGGTCCAAATATCCACTTGCAGATTCCACAAAAAGAGTGTTTGAAAGCTGAACTATGAAAGCAAGGTTCAACTCTGTGAGTTGAATGCAAACATCACAGAGAAGTTTCTCACAATGCTTCCGTGTAGTTCTGGGAAGATTATCCCGTTTCCAACGAAATCCTCAGAGAAGTCCAAATATCCACTTGCAGATTCTACAGAAAGTGTGTTTGGAAACTGCTCCGTCTCAAGGAATATTCAGCTCTGTTAGTTCAATCCAATGATCACTAAGAATTGTCTGTGAATGCTTCCGTTTGGTTTTTAGATGAAGTTATTTCCTTTACTACAGTAGGCCTCAAAGCAGTCCAAATCTCCAATCGCAGATTCTACAAAAAGATTGTTTACAATCTGCTCTATCTATAGGAATGTTCAACTCTGTGAGTCGAATGCAATCATCACAAAGTAGTTTCTGAGAATGCTTCCATCTAGTTTTTATGTGAAGATTTTCCTTTTCCACCACAGGCCTCAAAGCCCTCCAAATGTCCACTTGCAGATTCTAGAATAAGAGGGTTTCAGAGCTGCTCTGTCAAGAGGAAAGTTCAATTCCTGAAGTGGAACACAAACATCACAAAGCAGTTTCTGAGAATGCTTCTGTTTAGTTTTTCTGTGAAGATGAACCCGTTTCCAACGAAATCTTCACAGAGGTCCACATATCCACTTGCAGAATCCAAAGAAAGAGAGTTTCAAAACTGCTCCATCAGCAGGATTGTTCACCTCTGTGAGTTGAATGCAGTCATCACAGGAAACATTCTGAGAATGCTTCTGTCTAGGTTTGATGTGAAGATATACCCGTTTCGAAGGAAGGCCACAAAGTGGTCAAAATATCCACTTGCAGATTTTACAAAAAGAGTGTTTGAAAGCTGAACTATGAAAGCAAGGTTCAACTCTGTGAGTTGAATGCAAACATCACAAAGAAGTTTCTCAGAATGGTTCCGTGTAGTTCTGGGAAGTTTATCCCGTTTCCAACGAAATCCTCAGAGAGGTCCAAATATCCACTTGCAGATTCTACAGAAAGTGTGTTTGGAAACTGCGCCATCTAAAGGAATGTTCAGCTCTGTTAGTTCAATGCAATGATCACTAAGAATTGTCTGTGAATGCTTCCGTTTGGTTTTTAGATGAAGTTATTTCCTTTACTACAGTAGGCCTCAAAGCAGTCCAAATCTCCAATCGCAGATTCTACAAAAAGATTGTTTACAACCTGCTCTATCTATAGGAATGTTCAACTCTGTGAGTCGAATGCAATCATCACAAAGTAGTTTCTGAGAATGCTTCCATCTAGTTTTTATGTGAAGATTTTCCTTTTCCACCACAGGCCTCAAAGCCCTCCAAATGTCCACTTGCAGATTCTAGAATAAGAGGGTTTCAGAGCTGCTCTGTCAAGAGGAAAGTTCAATTCCTGAAGTGGAACACAAACATCACAAAGCAGTTTCTGAGAATGCTTCTGTTTAGTTTTTCTGTGAAGATGAACCCGTTTCCAACGAAATCTTCACAGAGGTCCACATATCAACTTGCAGAATCCAAAGAAAGAGAGTTTCAAAAGTGCTCCATCAACAGGATTGTTCACCTCTGTGAGTTGAATGCAGTCATCACAGGAAACATTCTGAGAATGCTTCTGTCTAGGTTTGATGTGAAGATATACCCGTTTCGAAGGAAGGCCACAAAGTGGTCCAAATATCCACTTGCAGATTCTACAAAAAGAGTGTTTGAAAGCTGAACTATGAAAGCAAGGTTCAACTCTGTGAGTTGAATGCAAACATCACAAAGAAGTTTCTCAGAATGCTTCCGTGTAGTTCTGGGAAGTTTATCCCGTTTCCAACGAAATCCTCAGAGAAGTCCAAATATCCACTTGCAGATTCTACAGAAAGTGGGTTTGGAAACTGCTCCATCTAAAGGAATGTTCAGCTCTGTTAGTTCAATCCAATGATCACTAAGAATTGTCTGTGAATGCTTCCGTTTGGTTTTTAGATGAAGTTATTTCCTTTACTACAGTAGGCCTCAAAGCAGTCCAAATCTCCAATCGCAGATTCTACAAAAACATTGTTTACAACCTGCTCTATCTATAGGAATGTTCAACTCTGTGAGTCGAATGCAATCATCACAAAGTAGTTTCTGAGAATGCTTCCATCTAGTTTTTATGTGAAGATTTTCCTTTTCCACCACAGGCCTCAAAGCCCTCCAAATGTCCACTTGCAGATTCTAGAAAAAGAGGGTTTCAGAGCTGCTCTGTCAAGAGGAAAGTTCAATTCTTGAAGTGGAACACAAACATCACAAAGTAGTTTCTGAGAATGCTTCTGTTTAGTTTTTCTGTGAAGATGAACCCGTTTCCAACGAAATCTTCACAGAGGTCCACATATCCACTTGCAGAATCCAAAGAAAGAGAGTTTCAAAAGTGCTCCATCAACAGGATTGTTCACCTCTGTGAGTTGAATGCAGTCATCACAGGAAACATTCTGAGAATGCTTCTGTCTAGGTTTGATGTGAAGATATACCCGTTTCGAAGGAAGGCCACAAAGTGGTCCAAATATCCTCTTGCAGATTCTACAAAAAGAGTGTTTGAAAGCTGAACTATGAAACCAAGGTTCAACTCTGTGAGTTGAATGCAAACATCACAAAGAAATTTCTCACAATGCTTCCGTGTAGTTCTGGGAAGTTTATCCCGTTTCCAACGAAATCCTCAGAGAAGTCCAAATATCCACTTGCAGATTCTACAGAAAGTGGGCTTGGCAACTGCTCCATCTAAAGGAATGTTCAGCTCTGTTAGTTCAATGCAATGATCACTAAGAATTGTCTGTGAATGCTTCCGTTTGGTTTTTAGATGAAGTTATTTCCTTTACTACAGTAGGCCTCAAAGCAGTCCAAATCTCCAATCGCAGATTCTACAAAAACATTGTTTACAACCTGCTCTATCTATAGGAATGTTCAACTCTGTGAGTCGAATGCAATCATCACAAAGTAGTTTCTGAGAATGCTTCCATCTAGTTTTTATGTGAAGATTTTCCTTTTCCACCACAGGCCTCAAAGCCCTCCAAATGTCCACTTGCAGATTCTAGAAAAAGAGGGTTTCAGAGCTGCTCTGTCAAGAGGAAAGTTCAATTCTTGAAGTGGAACACAAACATCACAAAGCAGTTTCTGAGAATGCTCCTGTTTAGTTTTTCTGTGAAGATGTACCCGTTTCCAACGAAATCTTCACAGAGTTCCACATATCCACTTGCAGAATCCAAAGAAAGAGAGTTTCAAAACTGCTCCAACAGCAGGATTGTTCACCTCTGTGAGTTGAATGCAGTCATCACAGGAAACATTCTGAGAATGCTTCTGTCTAGGTTTGATGTGAAGATATACCCGTTTCGAAGGAAGGCCACAAAGTGGTCCAAATATCCACTTGCAGATTCTACAAAAAGAGTGTTTGAAAGCTGAACTATGAAAGCAAGGTTCAACTCTGTGAGTTGAATGCAAACATCACAAAGAAGTTTCTCACAATGCTTCCGTGTAGTTCTGGGAAGTTTATCCCGTTTCCAACGAAATCCTCAGAGAGGTCCAAATATCCACTTGCAGATTCTACAGAAAGTGTGTTTGGAAACTGCGCCATCTAAAGGAATGTTCAGCTCTGTTAGTTCAATGCAATGATCACTAAGAATTGTCTGTGAATGCTTCCGTTTGGTTTTTAGATGAAGTTATTTCCTTTACTACAGTAGGCTTCAAAGCAGTCCAAATCTCCAATCGCAGATTCTACAAAAAGATTGTTTACAACCTGCTCTATCTATAGGAATGTTCAACTCTGTGAGTCGAATGCAATCATCACAAAGTAGTTTCTGAGAATGCTTCCATCTAGTTTTTATGTGAAGATTTTCCTTTTCCACCACAGGCCTCAAAGCCCTCCAAATGTCCACTTGCAGATTCTAGAAAAAGAGGGTTTCAGAGCTGCTCTGTCAAGAGGAAAGTTCAATTCCTGAAGTGGAACACAAACATCACAAAGCAGTTTCTGAGAATGCTCCTGTTTAGTTTTTCTGTGAAGATGAACCCCTTTCCAACGAAATCTTCACAGAGGTCCACATATCCACTTGCAGAATCCAAAGAAAGAGAGTTTCAAAACTGCTCCATCAGCAGGATTGTTCACCTCTGTGAGTGGAATGCAGTCATCACAGGAAACATTCTGAGAATGCTTCTGTCTATGTTTGATGTGAAGAATATACCCGTTTCGAAGGAAGGCCACAAAGTGGTCCAAATATCCACTTGCAGATTCTACAAAAAGAGTATTTGAAAGCTGAACTATGAAAGCAAGGTTCAACTCTGTGAGTTGAATGCAAACATCACAAAGAAGTTTCTCAGAATGCTTCCGTGTAGTTCTGGGAAGTTTATCCCGTTTCCAACGAAATCCTCAGAGAGGTCCAAATATCCACTTGCAGATCCTACAGAAAGTGTGTTTGGAAACTGCGCCATCTAAAGGAATGTTCAGCTCTGTTATTTCAATGCAATGATCACTAAGAATTGTCTGTGAATGCTTCCGTTTGGTTTTTAGATGAAGTTATTTCCTTTACTACAGTAGGCCTCAAAGCAGTCCAAATCTCCAATCGCAGATTCTACAAAAAGATTGTTTACAACCTGCTCTATCTATAGGAATGTTCAACTCTGTGAGTCGAATGCAATCATCACAAAGTAGTTTCTGAGAATGCTTCCATCTAGTTTTTATGTGAAGATTTTCCTTTTCCACCACAGGCCTCAAAGCCCTCCAAATGTCCAATTGCAGATTCTAGAATAAGAGGGTTTCAGAGCTGCTCTGTTAAGAGGAAAGTTCAATTCCTGAAGTGGAACACAAACATCACAAAGCAGTTTCTGAGAATGCTCCTGTTTAGTTTTTCTGTGAAGATGAACCCGTTTCCAAGGAAATCTTCACAGAGGTCCACATATCCACTTGCAGAATCCAAAGAAAGGGAGTTTCAAAACTGCTCCATCAGCAGGATTGTTCACCTCTGTGAGTTGAATGCAGTCATCACAGGAAACATTCTGAGAATGCTTCTGTCTAGGTTTGATGTGAAGATATACCCGTTTCGAAGGAAGGCCACAAAGTGGTCCACATATCCACTTGCAGATTCTACAAAAAGAGTCTTTGAAAGCTGAACTATGAAAGCAAGGTTCAACTCTGTGAGTTGAATGCAAACATCACAAAGAAGTTTCTCAGAATGCTTCCGTGTAGTTCTAGGAAGTTTATCCCGTTTCCAACGAAATCCTCAGAGAGGTCCAAATATCCACTTGCAGATTCTACAGAAAGTGTGTTTGGAAACTGCTCCATCTAAAGGAATGTTCAGCTCTGTTAGTTCAATCCAATGATCACTAAGAATTGTCTGTGAATGCTTCCGTTTGGTTTTTAGATGAAGTTATTTCCTTTACTACAGTAGGCCTCAAAGCAGTCCAAATCTCCAATCGCAGATTCTACAAAAAGATTGTTTACAACCTGCTCTATCTATAGGAATGTTCAACTCTGTGAGTCGAACGCAATCATCACAAAGTAGTTTCTGAGAATGCTTCCATCTAGTTTTTATGTGAATATTTTCCTTTTCCACCACAGGCCTCAAAGCCCTCCAAATGTCCACTTGCAGATTCTAGAATAAGAGGGTTTCAGAGCTGCTCGGTCAAGAGGAAAGTTCAATTCCTGAAGTGAAACACAAACATCACAAAGCAGTTTCTGAGAATGCTTCTGTTTAGTTTTTCTGTGAAGATGAACCCGTTTCCAACGAAATCTTCACAGAGGTCCACATATCCACTTGCAGAATCCAAAGAAAGAGAGTTTCAAAACTGCTCCATCAGCAGGATTGTTCACCTCTGTGAGTTGAATGCAGTCATCACAGGAAACATTCTGAGAATGCTTCTGTCTAGGTTTGATGTGAAGATATACCCGTTTCGAAGGAAGGCCACAAAGTGGTCCAAATATCCACTTGCAGATTCTACAAAAAGAGGGTTTGAAAGCTGAACTATGAAAGCAAGGTTCAACTCTGTGAGTTGAATGCAAACATCACAAAGAAGTTTCTCAGAATGCTTCCGTGTAGTTCTGGGAAGTTTATCCCGTTTCCAACGAAATCCTCAGAGAGGTCCAAATATCCACTTGCAGATTCTACAGAAAGTGTGTTTGGAAACTGCGCCATCTAAAGGAATGTTCAGCTCTGTTAGTTCAATCCAATGATCACTAAGAATTGTCTGTGAATGCTTCCGTTTGGTTTTTAGATGAAGTTATTTCCTTTTCTACAGTAGGCCTCAAAGCAGTCCAAATCTCCAATCGTAGATTCTACAAAAAGATTGTTTACAACCTGCTCTATCTATAGGAATGTTCAACTTTGTGAGTCGAATGCAATCATCACAAAGTAGTTTCTGAGAATGCTTCCATCTAGTTTTTATGGGAAGATTTTCCTTTTCCACCACAGGCCTCAAAGCCCTCCAAATGTCCACTTGCAGATTCTAGAAAAAGAGGGTTTCAGAGCTGCTCTGTCAAGAGGAAAGTTCAATTCTTGAAGTGGAACACAAACATCACAAAGCAGTTTCTGAGAATGCTCCTGTTTAGTTTTTCTGTGAAGATGAGCACGTTTCCAACGAAATCTTCACAGAGGTCCACATATCCACTTGCAGAATCCAAAGAAAGAGAGTTTCAAAACTGCTCCATCAGCAGGATTGTTCACCTCTGTGAGTTGAATGCAGTCATCACAGGAAACATTCTGAGAATGCTTCTGTCTAGGTTTGATGTGAAGATATACCCGTTTCGAAGGAAGGCCACAAAGTGGTCCAAATATCCACTTGCAGATTCTACAAAAAGAGTGTTTGAAAGCTGAACTATGAAAGCAAGGTTCAACTCTGTGAGTTGAATGCAAACATCACAAAGAAGTTTCTCACAATGCTTCCGTGTAGTTCTGGGAAGTTTATCCCGTTTCCAACGAAATCCTCAGAGAGGTCCAAATATCCACTTGCAGATTCTACAGAAAGTGTGTTTGGAAACTGCGCCATCTAAAGGAATGTTCAGCTCTGTTAGTTCAATCCAATGATCACTAAGAATTGTCTGTGAATGCTTCCGTTTGGTTTTTAGATGAAGTTATTTCCTTTACTACAGTAGGCCTCAAAGCAGTCCAAATCTCCAATCGCAGATTCTACAAAAAGATTGTTTACAACCTGCTCTATCTATAGGAATGTTCAACTCTGTGAGTCGAATGCAATCATCACAAAGTAGTTTCTGAAAATGCTTCCATCTAGTTTTTATGTGAAGATTTTCCTTTTCCACCACAGGCCTCAAAGCCCTCCAAATGTCCACTTGCAGATTCTAGAAAAAGAGGGTTTCAGAGCTGCTCTGTCAAGAGGAAAGTTCAATTCCTGAAGTGGAACACAAACATCACAAAGCAGTTTCTGAGAATGCTTCTGTTTAGTTTTTCTGTGAAGATGAACCCGTTTCCAACGAAATCTTCACAGAGGTCCACATATCCACTTGCAGAATCCAAAGAAAGAGAGTTTCAAAACTGCTCCATCAGCAGGATTGTTCACCTCTGTGAGTTGAATGCAGTCATCACAGGAAACATTCTGAGAATGCTTCTGTCTAGGTTTGATGTGAAGATATACCCGTTTCGAAGGAAGGCCACAAAGTGGTCCAAATATCCACTTGCAGATTCTACAAAAAGAGTGTTTGAAAGCTGAACTATGAAAGCAAGGTTCAACTCTGTGAGTTGAATGCAAACATCACAAAGAAGTTTCTCACAATGCTTCCGTGTAGTTCTGGGAAGTTTATCCCGTTTCCAACGAAATCCTCAGAGAGGTCCAAATATCCACTTGCAGATTCTACAGAAAGTGTGTTTGGAAACTGCGCCATCTAAAGGAATGTTCAGCTCTGTTAGTTCAATGCAATGATCACTAAGAATTGTCTGTGAATGCTTCCGTTTGGTTTTTAGATGAAGTTATTTCCTTTACTACAGTAGGCCTCAAAGCAGTCCAAATCTCCAATCGCAGATTCTACAAAAAGATTGTTTACAACCTGCTCTATCTATAGGAATGTTCAACTCTGTGAGTCGAATGCAATCATCATAAAGTAGTTTCTGAGAATGCTTCCATCTAGTTTTTATGTGAAGATTTTCCTTTTCCACCACAGGCCTCAAAGCCCTCCAAATGTCCACTTGCAGATTCTAGAAAAAGAGGGTTTCAGAGCTGCTCTGTCAAGAGGAAAGTTCAATTCTTGAAGTGGAACACAAACATCACAAAGTAGTTTCTGAGAATGCTTCTGTTTAGTTTTTCTGTGAAGATGAACCCGTTTCCAACGAAATCTTCACAGAGGTCCACATATCAACTTGCAGAATCCAAAGAAAGAGAGTTTCAAAAGTGCTCCATCAACAGGATTGTTCACCTCTGTGAGTTGAATGCAGTCATCACAGGAAACATTCTGAGAATGCTTCTGTCTAGGTTTGATGTGAAGATATACCCGTGTCGAAGGAAGGCCACAAAGTGGTCCAAATATCCACTTGCAGATTCTACAAAAAGAGTGTTTGAAAGCTGAACTATGAAAGCAAGGTTCAACTCTGTGAGTTGAATGCAAACATCACAAAGAAGTTTCTCACAATGCTTCCCTGTAGTTCTGGGAAGTTTATCCCGTTTCCAACGAAATCCTCAGAGAAGTCCAAATATCCACTTGCAGATTCTACAGAAAGTGTGTTTGGAAACTGCTCCATCTAAAGGAATGTTCAGCTCTGTTAGTTCAATACAATGATCACTAAGAATTGTCTGTGAATGCTTCCGTTTGGTTTTTAGATGAAGTTATTTCCTTTACTACAGTAGGCCTCAAAGCAGTCCAAATCTCCAATCGCAGATTCTACAAAAAGATTGTTTACAACCTGCTCTATCTATAGGAATGTTCAACTCTGTGAGTCGAAAGCCATCATCACAAAGTAGTTTCTGAGAATGCTTCCATCTAGTTTTTATGTGAAGATTTTCCTTTTCCACCACAGGCCTCAAAGCCCTCCAAATGTCCACTTGCAGATTCTAGAATAAGAGGGTTTCAGAGCTGCTCTGTCAAGAGGAAAGTTCAATTCCTGAAGTGGAACACAAACATCACAAAGCAGTTTCTGAGAATGCTTCTGTTTAGTTTTTCTGTGAAGATGAACCCGTTTCCAACGAAATCTTCACAGAGGTCCACATATCCACTTGCAGAATCCAAAGAAAGAGAGTTTCAAAACTGCTCCATCAGCAGGATTGTTCACCTCTGTGAGTTGAATGCAGTCATCACAGGAAACATTCTGAGAATGCTTCTGTCTAGGTTTGATGTGAAGATATACCCGTTTCGAAGGAAGGCCACAAAGTGGTCCAAATATCCACTTGCAGATTCTACAAAAAGAGTGTTTGAAAGCTGAACTATGAAAGCAAGGTTCAACTCTGTGAGTTGAATGCAAACATCACAAAGAAGTTTCTCACAATGCTTCCGTGTAGTTCTGGGAAGTTTATCCCGTTTCCAACGAAATCCTCAGAGAAGTCCAAATATCCACTTGCAGATTCTACAGAAAGTGTGTTTGGAAACTGCTCCATCTAAAGGAATGTTCAGCTCTGTTAGTTCAATCCAATGATCACTAAGAATTGTCTGTGAATGCTTCCGTTTGGTTTTTAGATGAAGTTATTTCCTTTACTACAGTAGGCCTCAAAGCAGTCCAAATCTCCAATCGCAGATTCTACAAAAAGATTGTTTACAACCTGCTCTATCTATAGGAATGTTCAACTCTGTGAGTCGAATGCAATCATCACAAAGTAGTTTCTGAGAATGCTTCCATCTAGTTTTTATGTGAAGATTTTCCTTTTCCACCACAGGCCTCAAAGCCCTCCAAATGTCCACTTGCAGATTCTAGAAAAAGAGGGTTTCAGAGCTGCTCTGTCAAGAGGAAAGTTCAATTCTTGAAGTGGAACACAAACATCACAAAGCAGTTTCTGAGAATGCTTCTGTTTAGTTTTTCTGTGAAGATGAACCCGTTTCCAACGAAATCTTCACATAGGTCCACATATCAACTTGCAGAATCCAAAGAAAGAGAGTTTCAAAACTGCTCCATCAACAGGATTGTTCACCTCTGTGAGTTGAATGCAGTCATCACAGGAAACATTCTGAGAATGCTTCTGTCTAGGTTTGATGTGAAGATATACCCGTTTCGAAGGAAGGCCACAAAGTGGTCCAAATATCCACTTGCAGATTCTACAAAAAGAGTGTTTGAAAGCTGAACTATGAAAGCAAGGTTCAACTCTGTGAGTTGAATGCAAACATCACAAAGAAGTTTCTCAGAATGCTTCCGTGTAGTTCTGGGAAGTTTATCCCGTTTCCAACGAAATCCTCAGAGAGGTCCAAATATCCACTTGCAGATTCTACAGAAAGTGTGTTTGGAAACTGCGCCATCTAAAGGAATGTTCAGCTCTGTTAGTTCAATCCAATGATCACTAAGAATTGTCTGTGAATGCTTCCGTTTGGTTTTTAGATGAAGTTATTTCCTTTACTACAGTAGGCCTCAAAGCAGTCCAAATCTCCAATCGCAGATTCTACAAAAAGATTGTTTACAACCTGCTCTATCTATAGGAATGTTCAACTCTGTGAGTCGAATGCAATCATCACAAAGTAGTTTCTGAGAATGCTTCCATCTAGTTTTTATGTGAAGATTTTCCTTTTCCACCACAGGCCTCAAAGCCCTCCAAATGTCCACTTGCAGATTCTAGAAAAAGAGGGTTTCAGAGCTGCTCTGTCAAGAGGAAAGTTCAATTCTTGAAGTGGAACACAAACATCACAAAGCAGTTTCTGAGAATGTTTCTGTTTAGTTTTTCTGTGAACATGAAACCGTTTCCAACGAAATCTTCACAGAGGTCCACATATCAACTTGCAGAATCCAAAGAAAGAGAGTTTCAAAACTGCTCCATCAACAGGATTGTTCACCTCTGTGAGTTGAATGCAGTCATCACAGGAAACATTCTGAGAATGCTTCTGTCTAGGTTTGATGTGAAGATATACCCGTTTCGAAGGAAGGCCACAAAGTGGTCCAAATATCCACTTGCAGATTCTACAAAAAGAGTGTTTGAAAGCTGAACTATGAAAGCAAGGTTCAACTCTGTGAGTTGAATGCAAACATCACAAAGAAGTTTCTCACAATGCTTCCGTGTAGTTCTGGGAAGTATATCCCGTTTCCAACGAAATCCTCAGAGAAGTCCAAATATCCACTTGCAGATTCTACAGAAAGTGTGTTTGGAAAATGCTCCATCTAAAGGAATGTTCAGCTCTGTTAGTTCAATGCAATGATCACTAAGAATTGTCTGTGAATGCTTCCGTTTGGTTTTTAGATGAAGTTATTTCCTTTACTACAGTAGGCCTCAAAGCAGTCCAAATCTCCAATCGCAGATTCTACAAAAAGATTGTTTACAACCTGCTCTATCTATAGGAATGTTCAACTCTGTGAGTCGAATGCAATCATCACAAAGTAGTTTCTGAGAATGCTTCCATCTAGTTTTTATGTGAAGATTTTCCTTTTCCACCACAGGCCTCAAAACCCTCCAAATGTCCACTTGCAGATTCTAGAAAAAGAGGGTTTCAGAGCTGCTCTGTCAAGAGGAAAGTTTAATTCTTGAAGTGGAACACAAACATCACAAAGCAGTTTCTGAGAATGCTTCTGTTTAGTTTTTCTGTGAAGATGAACCCGTTTCCAACGAAATCTTCACAGAGGTCCACATATCAACTTGCAGAATCCAAAGAAAGAGAGTTTCAAAAGTGCTCCATCAACAGGATTGTTCACCTCTGTGAGTTGAATGCAGTCATCACAGGAAACATTCTGAGAATGCTTCTGTCTAGGTTTGATGTGAAGATATACCCGTTTCGAAGGAAGGCCACAAAGTGGTCCAAATATCCACTTGCAGATTCTACAAAAAGAGTGTTTGAAAGCTGAACTATGAAAGCAAGGTTCAACTCTGTGAGTTGAATGCAAACATCACAAAGAAGTTTCTCACAATGCTTCCGTGTAGTTCTGGGAAGTTTATCCCGTTTCCAACGAAATCCTCAGAGAAGTCCAAATATCCACTTGCAGATTCTACAGAAAGTGGGTTTGGAAACTGCTCCATCTAAAGGAATGTTCAGCTCTGTTAGTTCAATCCAATGATCACTAAGAATTGTCTGTGAATGCTTCCGTTTGGTTTTTAGATGAAGTTATTTCCTTTACTACAGTAGGCCTCAAAGCAGTCCAAATCTCCAATCGCAGATTCTACAAAAAGATTGTTTTCAACCATGCTCTATCTATAGGAATGTACAACTCTGTGAGTCGAATGCAATCATCACAAAGTAGTTTCTGAGAATGCTTCCATCTAGTTTTTATGTGAAGATTTTCCTTTTCCACCACAGGCCTCAAAGCCCTCCAAATGTCCACTTGCAGATTCTAGAATAAGAGGGTTTCAGAGCTGCTCTATCAAGAGGAAAGTTCAATTCCTGAAGTGGAACACAAACATCACAAAGCAGTTTCTGAGAATGCTCCTGTTTATTTTTTCTGTGAAGATGAACCCGTTTCCAACGAAATCTTCACAGAGGTCCTCATATCCACTTGCAGAATCCAAAGAAAGAGAGTTTCAAAACTGCTCCATCAGCAGGATTGTTCACCTCTGTGAGTTGAATGCAGTCATCACAGGAAACATTCTGAGAATGCTTCTGTCTAGGTTTGATGTGAAGATATACCCGTTTCGAAGGAAGGCCACAAAGTGGTCCAAATATCCACTTGCAGATTCTACAAAAAGAGTGTTTGAAAGCTGAACTATGAAAGCAAGGTTCAACTCTGTGAGTTGAATGCAAACATCACAAAGAAGTTTCTCACAATGCTTCCGTGTAGTTCTGGTAAGTTTATCCCGTTTCCAACGAAATCCTCAGAGAGGTCCAAATATCCACTTGCAGATTCTACAGAAAGTGTGTTTGGAAACTGCGCCATCTAAAGGAATGTTCAGCTCTGTTAGTTCAATCCAATGATCACTAAGAATTGTCTGTGAATGCTTCCGTTTGGTTTTTAGATGAAGTTATTTCCTTTACTACAGTAGGCCTCAAAGCAGTCCAAATCTCCAATCGCAGATTCTACAAAAAGATTGTTTACAACCTGCTCTATCTATAGGAATGTTCAACTCTGTGAGTCGAATGCAATCATCACAAAGTAGTTTCTGAGAATGCTTCCATCTAGTTTTTATGTGAAGATTTTCCTTTTCCACCACAGGCCTCAAAGCCCTCCAAATGTCCACTTGCAGATTCTAGAAAAAGAGGGTTTCAGAGCTGCTCTGTCAAGAGGAAAGTTCAATTCTTGAAGTGGAACACAAACATCACAAAGCAGTTTCTGAGAATGCTTCTGTTTAGTTTTTCTGTGAAGATGAACCCGTTTCCAACGAAATCTTCACAGAGGTCCACATATCAACTTGCAGAATCCAAAGAAAGAGAGTTTCAAAAGTGCTCCATCAACAGGATTGTTCACCTCTGTGAGTTGAATGCAGTCATCACAGGAAACATTCTGAGAATGCTTCTGTGTAGGTTTGATGTGAAGATATACCCGTTTCGAAGGAAGGCCACAAAGTGGTCCAAATATCCACTTGCAGATTCTACAAAAAGAGTGTTTGAAAGCTGAACTATGAAAGCAAGGTTCAACTCTGTGAGTTGAATGCAAACATCACAAAGAAGTTTCTCAGAATGCTTCCGTGTAGTTCTGGGAAGTTTATCCCGCTTCCAACGAAATCCTCAGAGAAGTCCAAATATCCACTTGCAGATTCTACAGAAAGTGTGTTTGGAAACTGCGCCATCTAAAGGAATGTTCAGTTCTGTTAGTTCAATGCAATGATCACTAAGAATTGTCTGTGAATGCTTCCGTTTGGTTTTTAGATGAAGTTATTTCCTTTACTACAGTAGGCCTCAAAGCAGTCCAAATCTCCAATCGCAGATTCTACAAAAAGATTGTTTACAACCTGCTCTATCTATAGGAATGTTCAACTCTGTGAGTCGAATGCAATCATCACAAAGTAGTTTCTGAGAATGCTTCCATCTAGTTTTTATGTGAAGATTTTCCTTTTCCACCACAGGCCTCAAAGCCCTCCAAATGTCCACTTGCAGATTCTAGAAAAAGAGGGTTTCAGAGCTGCTCTGTCAAGAGGAAAGTTCAATTCTTGAAGTGGAACACAAACATCACAAAGCAGTTTCTGAGAATGCTTCTGTTTAGTTTTTCTGTGAAGATGAACCCGTTTCCAACGAAATCTTCACAGAGGTCCACATATCCACTTGCAGAATCCAAAGAAAGAGAGTTTCAAAACTGCTCCATCAGCAGGATTGTTCACCTCTGTGAGTTGAATGCAGTCATCACAGGAAACATTCTGAGAATGCTTCTGTCTAGGTTTGATGTGAAGATATACCCGTTTCGAAGGAAGGCCACAAAGTGGTCCAAATATCCACTTGCAGATTCCACAAAAAGAGTGTTTGAAAGCTGAACTATGAAAGCAAGGTTCAACTCTGTGAGTTGAATGCAAACATCACAAAGAAGTTTCTCACAATGCTTCCGTGTAGTTCTGGGAAGTTTATCCCGTTTCCAACGAAATCCTCAGAGAAGTCCAAATATCCACTTGCAGATTCTACAGAAAGTGTGTTTGGAAACTGCTCCATCTAAAGGAATGTTCAGCTCTGTTAGTTCAATCCAATGATCACTAAGAATTGTCTGTGAATGCTTCCGTTTGGTTTTTAGATGAAGTTATTTCCTTTACTACAGTAGGCCTCAAAGCAGTCCAAATCTCCAATCGCAGATTCTACAAAAAGATTGTTTACAACCTGCTCTATCTATAGGAATGTTCAACTCTGTGAGTCGAATGCAATCATCACAAAGTAGTTTCTGAGAATGCTTCCATCTAGTTTTTATGTGAAGATTTTCCTTTTCCACCACAGGCCTCAAAGCCCTCCAAATGTCCACTTGCAGATTCTAGAATAAGAGGGTTTCAGAGCTGCTCTGTCAAGAGGAAAGTTCAATTCCTGAAGTGGAACACAAACTTCACAAAGCAGTTTCTGAGAATGTTTCTTTTTAGTTTTTCTGGGAAGATGAACCCTTTTCCAACGAAATCTTCACAAAGGTCCACATATCCACTTGCAGAATCCAAAGAAAGAGAGTTTCAAAACTGCTCCATCAGCAGGATTGTTCACCTCTGTGAGTTGAATGCAGTCATCACAGGAAACATTCTGAGAATGCTTCTGTCTAGGTTTGATGTGAAGATATACCCGTTTCGAAGGAAGGCCACAAAGTGGTCCAAATATCCACTTTCTGTAGATTCTACAAAAAGAGTGTTTGAAAGCTGAACTATGAAAGCAAGGTTCAACTCTGTGAGTTGAATGCAAACATCACAAAGAAGTTTCTCAGAATGCTTCCGTGTAGTTCTGGGAAGTTTATCCCGTTTCCAACGAAATCCTCAGAGAAGTCCAAATATCCACTTGCACATTCTACAGAAAGTGTGTTTGGAAACTGCTCCATCTAAAGGAATGTTCAGCTCTGTTAGTTCAATGCAATGATCACTAAGAATTGTCTGTGAATGCTTCCGTTTGGTTTTTAGATGATGTTATTTCCTTTACTACAGTAGGCCTCAAAGCAGTCCAAATCTCCAATCGCAGATTCTACAAAAAGATTGTTTACAACCTGCTCTATCTATAGGAATGTTCAACTCTGTGAGTCGAATGCAATCATCACAAAGTAGTTTCTGAGAATGCTTCCATCTAGTTTTTATGTGAAGATTTTCCTTTTCCACCACAGGCCTCAAAGCCCTCCAAATGTCCACTTGCAGATTCTAGAATAAGAGGGTTTCAGAGCTGCTCTGTCAAGAGGAAAGTTCAATTCCTGAAGTGGAACACAAACATCACAAAGCAGTTTCTGAGAATGCTTCTGTTTAGTTTTTCTGTGAAGATGAACCCGTTTCCAACGAAATCTTCACAGAGGTCCACATATCAACTTGCAGAATCCAAAGAAAGAGAGTTTCAAAAGTGCTCCATCAACAGGATTGTTCACCTCTGTGAGTTGAATGCAGTCATCACAGGAAACATTCTGAGAATGCTTCTGTCTAGGTTTGATGTGAAGATATACCCGTTTCGAAGGAAGGCCACAAAGTGGTCCAAATATCCACTTGCAGATTCTACAAAAAGAGTGTTTGAAAGCTGAACTATGAAAGCAAGGTTCAACTCTGTGAGTTGAATGCAAACATCACAAATAAGTTTCTCAGCATGCTTCCGTGTAGTTCTGGGAAGTTTATCCCGTTTCCAACGAAATCCTCAGAGAGGTCCAAATATCCACTTGCAGATTCTACAGAAAGTGGGTTTGGAAACTGCGCCATCTAAAGCAATGTTCAGCTCTGTTAGTTCAATGCAATGATCACTAAGAATTGTCTGTGAATGCTTCCGTTTGGTTTTTAGATGAAGTTATTTCCTTTACTACAGTAGGCCTCAAAGCAGTCCAAATCTCCAATCGCAGATTCTACAAAAAGATTGTTTACAACCTGCTCTATCTATAGGAATGTTCAACTCTGTGAGTCGAATGCAATCATCACAAAGTAGTTTCTGAGAATGCTTCCATCTAGTTTTTATGTGAAGATTTTCCTTTTCCACCACAGGCCTCAAAGCCCTCCAAATGTCCACTTGCAGATTCTAGAAAAAGAGGGTTTCAGAGCTGCTCTGTCAAGAGGAAAGTTCAATTCTTGAAGTGGAACACAAACATCACAAAGTAGTTTCTGAGAATGCTTCTGTTTAGTTTTTCTGTGAAGATGAACCCGTTTCCAACGAAATCTTCACAGAGGTCCACATATCAACTAGCAGAATCCAAAGAAAGAGAGTTTCAAAAGTGCTCCATCAACAGGATTGTTCACCTCTGTGAGTTGAATGCAGTCATCACAGGAAACATTCTGAGAATGCTTCTGTCTAGGTTTGATGTGAAGATATACCCGTTTCGAAGGAAGGCCACAAAGTGGTCCAAATATCCACTTGCAGATTCTACAAAAAGAGTGTTTGAAAGCTGAACTATGAAAACAAGGTTCAACTCTGTGAGTTGAATGCAAACATCACAAAGAAGTTTCTCACAATGCTTCCGTGTAGTTCTGGGAAGTTTATCCCGTTTCCAACGAAATCCTCAGAGAAGTCCAAATATCCACTTGCAGATTCTACAGAAAGTGGGTTTGGAAACTGCTCCATCTAAAGGAATGTTCAGCTCTGTTAGTTCAATCCAATGATCACTAAGAATTGTCTGTGAATGCTTCCGTTTGGTTTTTAGATGAAGTTATTTCCTTTACTACAGTAGGCCTCAAAGCAATCCAAATCTCCAATCGCAGATTCTACAAAAACATTGTTTACAACCTGCTCTATCTATAGGAATGTTCAACTGCTGTGAGTCGAATGCAATCATCACAAAGTAGTTTGCTGAGAATGCTTCCATCTAGTTTTTATGTGAAGATTTTCCTTTTCCACCACAGGCCTCAAAGCCCTCCAAATGTCCACTTGCAGATTCTAGAAAAAGAGGGTTTCAGAGCTGCTCTGTCAAGAGGAAAGTTCAATTCCTGAAGTGGAACACAAACATCACAAAGCAGTTTCTGAGAATGATTCTGTTTAGTTTTTCTGTGAAGATGAACCCGTTTCCAACGAAATCTTCACAGAGGTCCACATATCCACTTGCAGAATCCAAAGAAAGAGAGTTTCAAAACTGCTCCATCAGCAGGATTGTTCACCTCTGTGAGTTGAATGCAGTCATCACAGGAAACATTCTGAGAATGCTTCTGTCTAGGTTTGATGTGAAGATATACCCGTTTCGAAGGAAGGCCACAAAGTGGTCCAAATATCCACTTGCAGATTCTACAAAAAGAGTGTTTGAAAGCTGAACTATGAAAGCAAGGTTCAACTCTGTGAGTTGAATGCAAACATCACAAAGAAGTTTCTCAGAATGCTTCCGTGTAGTTCTGGGAAGTTTATCCCGTTTCCAACGAAATCCTCAGAGAAGTCCAAATATCCACTTGCAGATTCTACAGAAAGTGGGTTTGGAAACTGCTCCATCTAAAGGAATGTTCAGCTCTGTTAGTTCAATGCAATGATCACTAAGAATTGTCTGTGAATGCTTCCGTTTGGTTTTTAGATGAAGTTATTTCCTTTACTACAGTAGGCCTCAAAGCAGTCCAAATCTCCAATCGCAGATTCTACAAAAAGATTGTTTACAACCTGCTCTATGTATAGGAATGTTCAACTCTGTGAGTCGAATGCAATCATCACAAAGTAGTTTCTGAGAATGCTTCCATCTAGTTTTTATGTGAAGATTTTCCTTTTCCACCACAGGCCTCAAAGCCCTCCAAATGTCCACTTGCAGATTCTAGAATAAGAGGGTTTCAGAGCTGCTCTTTCAAGAGGAAAGTTGAATTCCTGAAGTGGAACACAAACATCACAAAGCAGTTTCTGAGAATGCTTCTGTTTAGTTTTTCTGTGAAGATGAACCCGTTTCCAACGAAATCTTCACAGAGGTCCACATATCCACTTGCAGAATCCAAAGAAAGAGAGTTTCAAAACTGCTCCATCAGCAGGATTGTTCACCTCTGTGAGTTGAATGCAGTCATCACAGGAAACATTCTGAGAATGCTTCTGTCTAGGTTTGATGTGAAGATATACCCGTTTCGAAGGAAGGCCACAAAGTGGTCCAAATATCCACTTTCTGTAGATTCTACAAAAAGAGTGTTTGAAAGCTGAACTATGAAAGCAAGGTTCAACTCCTGTGAGTTGAATGCAAACATCACAAAGAAGTTTCTCAGAATGCTTCCGTGTAGTTCTGGGAAGTTTATCCCGTTTCCAACGAAATCCTCAGAGAAGTCCAAATATCCACTTGCACATTCTACAGAAAGTGTGTTTGGAAACTGCTCCATCTAAAGGAATGTTCAGCTCTGTTAGTTCAATGCAATGATCACTAAGAATTGTCTGTGAATGCTTCCGTTTGGTTTTTAGATGATGTTATTTCCTTTACTACAGTAGGCCTCAAAACAGTCCAAATCTCCAATCGCAGATTCTACAAAAAGATTGTTTACAACCTGCTCTATCTATAGGAATGTTCAACTCTGTGAGTCGAATGCAATCATCACAAAGTAGTTTCTGAGAATGCTTCCATCTAGTTTTTATGTGAAGATTTTCCTTTTCCACCACAGGCCTCAAAGCCCTCCAAATGTCCACTTGCAGATTCTAGAATAAGAGGGTTTCAGAGCTGCTCTGTCAAGAGGAAAGTTCAATTCCTGAAGTGGAACACAAACATCACAAAGCAGTTTCCGAGAATGCTTCTGTTTAGTTTTTCTGTGAAGATGAACCCGTTTCCAACGAAATCTTCACAGAGGTCCACATATCCACTTGCAGAATCCAAAGAAAGAGAGTTTCAAAACTGCTCCATCAGCAGGATTGTTCACCTCTGTGAGTTGAATGCAGTCATCACAGGAAACATTCTGAGAATGCTTCTGTCTAGGTTTGATGTGAAGATATACCCGTTTCGAAGGAAGGCCACAAAGTGGTCCAAATATCCACTTGCAGATTCTACAAAAAGAGTGTTTGAAAGCTGAACTATGAAAGCAAGATTCAACTCTGTGAGTTGAATGCAAACATCACAAAGAAGTTTCTCAGAATGCTTCCGTGTAGTTCTGGGAAGTTTATCCCGTTTCCAACGAAATCCTCAGAGAAGTCCAAATATCCACTTGCAGATTCTACAGAAATTGTGTTTGGAAACTGCTCCATCTAAAGGAATGTTCAGCTCTGTTAGTTCAATCCAATGATCACTAAGAATTGTCTGTGAATGCTTCCGTTGGGTTTTTAGATGAAGTTATTTCCTTTACTACAGTAGGCCTCAAAGCAGTCCAAATCTCCAATCGCAGATTCTACAAAAAGATTGTTTACAACCTGCTCTATCTATAGGAATGTTCAACTCTGTGAGTCGAATGCAATCATCACAAAGGAGTTTCTGAGAATGCTTCCATCTAGTTTTTATGTGAAGATTTTCCTTTTCCACCACAGGCCTCAAAGCCCTCCAAATGTCCACTTGCAGATTCTAGAAAAAGAGGGTTTCAGAGCTGCTCTGTCAAGAGGAAAGTTCAATTCTTGAAGTGGAACACAAACATCACAAAGCAGTTTCTGAGAATGCTCCTGTTTAGTTTTTCTGTGAAGATGAACCCGTTTCCAACGAAATCTTCACAGAGGTCCACATATCCACTTGCAGAATCCAAAGAAAGACAGTTTCAAAACTGCTCCATCAACAGGATTGTTCACGTCTGTGAGTTGAATGCAGTCATCACAGAAAACATTCTGAGAATGCTTCTGTCTAGGTTTGATGTGAAGATATACCCGTTTCGAAGGAAGGCCACAAAGTGGTCCAAATATCCACTTGCAGATTCTACAAAAAGAGTGTTTGAAAGCTGAACTATGAAAGCAAGGTTCAACTCTGTGAGTTGAATGCAAACATCACAAAGAAGTTTCTCAGAATGCTTCCGTGTAGTTCTGGGAAGTTTATCCCGTTTCCAACGAAATCCTCAGAGAAGTCCAAATATCCACTTGCAGATTCTACAGAAAGTGTGTTTGGAAAATGCTCCATCTAAAGGAATGTTCAGCTCTGTTAGTTCAATCCAATGATCACTAAGAATTGTCTGTGAATGCTTCCGTTTGGTTTTTAGATGAAGTTATTTCCTTTACTACAGTAGGCCTCAAAGCAGTCCAAATCTCCAATCGCAGATTCTACAAAAAGATTGTTTACAACCTGCTCTATCTATAGGAATGTTCAACTCTGTGAGTCGAATGCAATCATCACAAAGTAGTTTCTGAGAATGCTTCCATCTAGTTTTTATGTGAAGATTTTCCTTTTCCACCACAGGCCTCAAAGCCCTCCAAATGTCCACTTGCAGATTCTAGAAAAAGAGGGTTTCAGAGCTGCTCTGTCAAGAGGAAAGTTCAATTCTTGAAGTGGAACACAAACATCACAAAGCAGTTTCTGAGAATGCTTCTGTTTAGTTTTTCTGTGAAGATGAACCCGTTTCCAACGAAATCTTCACAGAGGTCCACATATCAACTTGCAGAATCCAAAGAAAGAGAGTTTCAAAACTGCTCCATCAACAGGATTGTTCACCTCTGTGAGTTGAATGCAGTCATCACAGGAAACATTCTGAGAATGCTTCTGTCTAGGTTTGATGTGAAGATATACCCGTTTCGAAGGAAGGCCACAAAGTGGTCCAAATATCCACTTGCAGATTCTACAAAAAGAGTGTTTGAAAGCTGAACTATGAAAGCAAGGTTCAACTCTGTGAGTTGAATGCAAACATCACAAAGAAGTTTCTCAGAATGCTTCCGTGTAGTTCTGGGAAGTTTATCCCGTTTCCAACGAAATCCTCAGAGAAGTCCAAATATCCACTTGCAGATTCTACAGAAAGTGTGTTTGGAAAATGCTCCATCTAAAGGAATGTTCAGCTCTGTTAGTTCAATCCAATGATCACTAAGAATTGTCTGTGAATGCTTCCGTTTGGTTTTTAGATGAAGTTATTTCCTTTACTACAGTAGGCCTCAAAGCAGTCCAAATCTCCAATCGCAGATTCTACAAAAAGATTGTTTACAACCTGCTCTATCTATAGGAGTGTTCAACTCTGTGAGTCGAATGCAATCATCACAAAGTAGTTTCTGAGAATGCTTCCATCTAGTTTTTATGTGAAGATTTTCCTTTTCCACCACAGGCCTCAAAGCCCTCCAAATGTCCACTTGCAGATTCTAGAATAAGAGGGTTTCAGAGCTGCTCTGTCAAGAGGAAAGTTCAATTCCTGAAGTGGAACACAAACATCACAAAGCAGTTTCTGAGAATGCTTCTGTTTAGTTTTTCTGTGAAGATGAACCCGTTTCCAACGAAATCTTCACAGAGGTCCACATATCCACTTGCAGAATCCAAAGAAAGAGAGTTTCAAAACTGCTCCATCAGCAGGATTGTTCACCTCTGTGAGTTGAATGCAGTCATCACAGGAAACATTCTGAGAATGCTTCTGTCTAGGTTTGATGTGAAGATATACCCGTTTCGAAGGAAGGCCACAAAGTGGTCCAAATATCCACTTGCAGATTCTACAAAAAGAGTGTTTGAAAGCTGAACTATGAAAGCAAGTTTCAACTCTGTGAGTTGAATGCAAACATCACAAAGAAGTTTCTCAGAATACTTCCGTGTAGTTCTGGGAAGTTTAGCCCGTTTCCAACGAAATCCTCAGAGAGGTCCAAATATCCACTTGCAGATTCTACAGAAAGTGTGTTTGGAAACTGCTCCATCTAAAGGAATGTTCAGCTCTGTTAGTTCAATCCAATGATCACTAAGAATTGTCTGTGAATGCTTCCGTTTGGTTTTTAGATGAAGTTATTTCCTTTACTACAGTAGGCCTCAAAGCAGTCCAAATCTCCAATCGCAGATTCTACAAAAAGATTGTTTTCAACCTGCTCTATCTATAGGAATGTTCAACTCTGTGAGTCGAATGCAATCATCACAAAGTAGTTTCTGAGAATGCTTCCATCTAGTTTTTATGTGAAGATTTTCCTTTTCCACCACAGGCCTCAAAGCCCTCCAAATGTCCACTTGCAGATTCTAGAAAAAGAGGGTTTCAGAGCTGCTCTGTCAAGAGGAAAGTTCAATTCTTGAAGTGGAACACAAACATCACAAAGCAGTTTCTGAGAATGCTCCTGTTTAGTTTTTCTGTGAAGATGAACCCGTTTCCAACGAAATCTTCACAGAGGTCCACATATCCACTTGCAGAATCCAAAGAAAGAGAGTTTCAAAACTGCTCCATCAGCAGGATTGTTCACCTCTGTGAGTTGAATGCAGTCATCACAGGAAACATTCTGAGAATGCTTCTGTCTAGGTTTGATGTGAAGATATACCCGTTTCGAAGGAAGGCCACAAAGTGGTCCAAATATCCACTTGCAGATTCTACAAAAAGAGTGTTTGAAAGCTGAACTATGAAAGCAAGGTTCAACTCTGTGAGTTGAATGCAAACATCACAAAGAAGTTTCTCACAATGCTTCCGTGTAGTTCTGGGAAGTTTATCCCGTTTCCAACGAAATCCTCAGAGAGGTCCAAATATCCACTTGCAGATTCTACAGAAAGTGTGTTTGGAAACTGCGCCATCTAAAGGAATGTTCAGCTCTGTTAGTTCAATGCAATGATCACTAAGAATTGTCTGTGAATGCTTCCGTTTGGTTTTTAGATGAAGTTATTTCCTTTACTACAGTAGGCCTCAAAGCAGTCCAAATCTCCAATCGCAGATTCTACAAAAAGATTGTTTACAACCTGCTCTATCTATAGGAATGTTCAACTCTGTGAGTCGAATGCAATCATCACAAAGTAGTTTCTGAGAATGCTTCCATCTAGTTTGTATGTGAAGATTTTCCTTTTCCACCACAGGCCTCAAAGCCCTCCAAATGTCCACTTGCAGATTCTAGAATAAGAGGGTTTCAGAGCTGCTCTGTCAAGAGGAAAGTTCAATTCCTGAAGTGGAACACAAACATCACAAAGCAGTTTCTGAGAATGCTTCTGTTTAGTTTTTCTGTGAAGATGAACCCGTTTCCAACGAAATCTTCACAGAGGTCCACATATCCACTTGCAGAATCCAAAGAAGGAGAGTTTCAAAACTGCTCCATCAGCAGGATTGTTCACCTCTGTGAGTTGAATGCAGTCATCACAGGAAACATTCTGAGAATGCTTCTGTCTAGGTTTGATGTGAAGATATACCCGTTTCGAAGGAAGGCCACAAAGTGGTCCAAATATCCACTTGCAGATTCTACAAAAAGAGTGTTTGAAAGCTGAACTATGAAAGCAAGGTTCAACTCTGTGAGTTGAATGCAAACATCACAAAGAAGTTTCTCAGAATGCTTCCGTGTAGTTCTGGGAAGTTTATCCCGTTTCCAACGAAATCCTCAGAGAGGTCCAAATATCCACTTGCAGATTCTACAGAAAGTGTGTTTGGAAACTGCGCCATCTAAAGGAATGTTCAGCTCAGTTAGTTCAATCCAATGATCACTAAGAATTGTCTGTGAATGCTTCCGTTTGGTTTTTAGATGAAGTTATATCCTTTACTACAGTAGGCCTCAAAGCAGTCCAAATCTCCAATCGCAGATTCTACAAAAAGATTGTTTTCAACCTGCTCTATCTATAGGAATGTTCAACTCTGTGAGTCGAATGCAATCATCACAAAGTAGTTTCTGAGAATGCTTCCATCTAGTTTTTATGTGAAGATTTTCCTTTTCCACCACAGGCCTCAAAGCCCTCCAAATGTCCACTTGCAGATTCTAGAAAAAGAGGGTTTCAGAGCTGCTCTGTCAAGAGGAAAGTTCAATTCTTGAAGTGGAACACAAACATCACAAAGCAGTTTCTGAGAATGCTCCTGTTTAGTTTTTCTGTGAAGATGAACCCGTTTCCAACGAAATCTTCACAGAGGTCCACATATCCACTTGCAGAATCCAAAGAAAGAGAGTTTCAAAACTGCTCCATCAGCAGGATTGTTCACCTCTGTGAGTTGAATGCAGTCATCACAGGAAACATTCTGAGAATGCTTCTGTCTAGGTTTGATGTGAAGATATACCCGTTTCGAAGGAAGGCCACAAAGTGGTCCAAATATCCACTTGCAGATTCTACAAAAAGAGTGTTTGAAAGCTGAACTATGAAAGCAAGGTTCAACTCTGTGAGTTGAATGCAAACATCACAAAGAAGTTTCTCACAATGCTTCCGTGTAGTTCTGGGAAGTTTATCCCGTTTCCAACGAAATCCTCAGAGAGGTCCAAATATCCACTTGCAGATTCTACAGAAAGTGGGTTTGGAAACTGCGCCATCTAAAGGAATGTTCAGCTCTGTTAGTTCAATGCAATGATCACTAAGAATTGTCTGTGAATGCTTCCGTTTGGTTTTTAGATGAAGTTATTTCCTTTACTACAGTAGGCCTCAAAGCAGTCCAAATCTCCAATCGCAGATTCTACAAAAAGATTGTTTACAACCTGCTCTATCTATAGGAATGTTCAACTCTGTGAGTCGAATGCAATCATCACAAAGTAGTTTCTGAGAATGCTTCCATCTATTTTTTATGTGAAGATTTTCCTTTTCCACCACAGGCCTCAAAGCCCTCCAAATGTCCACTTGCAGATTCTAGAATAAGAGGGTTTCAGAGCTGCTCTGTCAAGAGGAAAGTTCAATTCCTGAAGTGGAACACAAACATCACAGAGCAGTTTCTGAGAATGTTTCTGTTTAGTTTTTCTGTGAAGATGAACCCGTTTCCAACGAAATCTTCACAGAGGTCCACATATCCACTTGCAGAATCCAAAGAAAGAGAGTTTCAAAACTGCTCCATCAGCAGGATTGTTCACCTCTGTGAGTTGAATGCAGTCATCACAGGAAACATTCTGAGAATGCTTCTGTCTAGGTTTGATGTGAAGATATACCCGTTTCGAAGGAAGGCCACAAAGTGGTCCAAATATCCACTTGCAGATTCTACAAAAAGAGTGTTTGAAAGCTGAACTATGAAAGCAAGGTTCAACTCTGTGAGTTGAATGCAAACATCACAAAGAAGTTTCTCACAATGCTTCCGTGTAGTTCTGGGAAGTTTATCCCGTTTCCAACGAAATCCTCAGAGAAGTCCAAATATCCACTTGCAGATTCTACAGAAAGTGGGTTTGGAAACTGCTCCATCTAAAGGAATGTTCAGCTCTGTTAGTTCAATCCAATGATCACTAAGAATTGTCTGTGAATGCTTCCGTTTGGTTTTTAGATGAAGTTATTTCCTTTACTACAGTAGGCCTCAAAGCAGTCCAAATCTCCAATCGCAGATTCTACAAAAAGATTGTTTACAACCTGCTCTATCTATAGGAATGTTCAACTCTGTGAGTCGAATGCAATCATCACAAAGTAGTTTCTGAGAATGCTTCCATCTAGTTTTTATGTGAAGATTTTCCTTTTCCACCACAGGCCTCAAAGCCCTCCAAATGTCCACTTGCAGATTCTAGAAAAAGAGGGTTTCAGAGCTGCTCTGTCAAGAGGAAAGTTCAATTCTTGAAGTGGAACACAAACATCACAAAGCAGTTTCTGAGAATGCTCCTGTTTAGTTTTTCTGTGAAGATGAACCCGTTTCCAACGAAATCTTCACAGAGGTCCACATATCCACTTGCAGAATCCAAAGAAAGAGAGTTTCAAAACTGCTCCAACAGCAGGATTGTTCACCTCTGTGAGTTGAATGCAGTCATCACAGGAAACATTCTGAGAATGCTTCTGTCTAGGTTTGATGTGAAGATATACCCGTTTCGAAGGAAGGCCACAAAGTGGTCCAAATATCCACTTGCAGATTCTACAAAAAGAGTGTTTGAAAGCTGAACTATGAAAGCAAGGTTCAACTCTGTGAGTTGAATGCAAACATCACAAAGAAGTTTCTCACAATGCTTCCGTGTAGTTCTGGGAAGTTTATCCCGTTTCCAACGAAATCCTCAGAGAAGTCCAAATATCCACTTGCAGATTCTACAGAAAGTGTGTTTGGAAAATGCTCCATCTAAAGGAATGTTCAGCTCTGTTAGTTCAATCCAATGATCACTAAGAATTGTCTGTGAATGCTTCCGTTTGGTTTTTAGATGAAGTTATTTCCTTTACTACAGTAGGCCTCAAAGCAGTCCAAATCTCCAATCGCAGATTCTACAAAAAGATTGTTTACAACCTGCTCTATCTATAGGAATGTTCAACTCTGTGAGTCGAATGCAATCATCACAAAGTAGTTTCTGAGAATGCTTCCATCTAGTTTTTATGTGAAGATTTTCCTTTTCCACCACAGGCCTCAAAGCCCTCCAAATGTCCACTTGCAGATTCTAGAATAAGAGGGTTTCAGAGCTGCTCTGTTAAGAGGAAAGTTCAATTCCTGAAGTGGAACACAAACATCACAAAGCAGTTTCTGAGAATGCTCCTGTTTAGTTTTTCTGTGAAGATGAACCCGTTTCCAACGAAATCTTCACAGAGGTCCACATATCCACTTGCAGAATCCAAAGAAAGGGAGTTTCAAAACTGCTCCATCAGCAGGATTGTTCACCTCTGTGAGTTGAATGCAGTCATCACAGGAAACATTCTGAGAATGCTTCTGTCTAGGTTTGATGTGAAGATATACCCGTTTCGAAGGAAGGCCACAAAGTGGTCCAAATATCCACTTGCAGATTCTACAAAAAGAGTGTTTGAAAGCTGAACTATGAAAGCAAGGTTCAACTCTGTGAGTTGAATGCAAACATCACAAAGAAGTTTCTCAGAATGCTTCCCTGTAGTTCTGGGAAGTTTATCCCGTTTCCAACGAAATCCTCAGAGAAGTCCAAATATCCACTTGCAGATTCTACAGAAAGTGGGTTTGGAAACTGCTCCATCTAAAGGAATGTTCAGCTCTGTTAATTCAATGCAATGATCACTAAGAATTGTCTGTGAATGCTTCCGTTTGGTTTTTAGATGAAGTTATTTCCTTTACTACAGTAGGCCTCAAAGCAGTCCAAATCTCCAATCGCAGATTCTACAAAAAGATTGTTTACAACCTGCTCTATCTATAGGAATGTTCAACTCTGTGAGTCGAATGCAATCATCACAAAGTAGTTTCTGAGAATGCTTCCATCTAGTTTTTATGTGAAGATTTTCCTTTTCCACCACAGGCCTCAAATCCCTCCAAATGTCCACTTGCAGTTTCTAGAAAAAGAGGGTTTCAGAGCTGCTCTGTCAAGAGGAAAGTTCAATTCTTGAAGTGGAACACAAACATCACAAAGCAGTTTCTGAGAATGCTCCTGTTTAGTTTTTCTGTGAAGATGAACCCGTTTCCAACGAAATCTTCACAGAGTTGAACATATCCACTTGCAGAATCCAAAGAAAGAGAGTTTCAAAACTGCTCCATCAGCAGGATTGTTCACCTCTGTGAGTTGAATGCAGTCATCACAGGAAACATTCTGAGAATGCTTCTGTCTAGGTTTGATGTGAAGATATACCCGTTTCGAAGGAAGGCCACAAAGTGGTCCAAATATCCACTTGCAGATTCTACAAAAAGAGTGTTTGAAAGCTGAACTATGAAAGCAAGGTTCAACTCTGTGAGTTGAATGCAAACATCACAAAGAAGTTTCTCACAATGCTTCCGTGTAGTTCTGGGAAGTTTATCCCGTTTCCAACGAAATCCTCAGAGAAGTCCAAATATCCACTTACAGATTCTACAGAAAGTGTGTTTGGAAACTGCTCCATCTAAAGGAATGTTCAGCTCTGTTAGTTCAATCCAATAGATCACTAAGAATTGTCTGTGAATGCTTCCGTTTGGTTTTTAGATGAAGTTATTTCCTTTACTACAGTAGGCCTCAAAGCAGTCCAAATCTCCAATCGCAGATTCTACAAAAAGATTGTTTACAACCTGCTCTATCTATAGGAATGTTCAACTCTGTGAGTCGAATGCAATCATCACGAAGTAGTTTCTGAGAATGCTTCCATCTAGTTTTTATGGGAAGATTTTCCTTTTCCACCACAGGCCTCAAAGCCCTCCAAATGTCCACTTGCAGATTCTAGAAAAAGAGGGTTTCAGAGCTGCTCTGTCAAGAGGAAAGTTCAATTCTTGAAGTGGAACACAAACATCACAAAGCAGTTTCTGAGAATGCTCCTGTTTAGTTTTTCTGTGAAGATGAACCCGTTTCCAACGAAATCTTCACAGAGGTCCACATATCCACTTGCAGAATCCAAAGAAAGGGAGTTTCAAAACTGCTCCATCAGCAGGATTGTTCACCTCTGTGAGTTGAATGCAGTCATCACAGGAAACATTCTGAGAATGCTTCTGTCTAGGTTTGATGTGAAGATATACCCGTTTCGAAGGAAGGCCACAAAGTGGTCCAAATATCCACTTGCAGATTCTACAAAAAGAGTGTTTGAAAGCTGAACTATGAAAGCAAGGTTCAACTCTGTGAGTTGAATGCAAACATCACAGAGAAGTTTCTCAGAATGCTTCCGTGTAGTTCTGGGAAGTTTATCCCGTTTCCAACGAAATCCTCAGAGAAGTCCAAATATCCACTTGCAGATTCCACAGAAAGTGTGTTTGGAAACTGCGCCATCTAAAGGAATGTTCAGCTCTGTTAGTTCAATGCAATGATCACTAAGAATTGTCTGTGAATGCTTCCGTTTGGTTTTTAGATGAAGTTATTTCCTTTACTACAGTAGGCCTCAAAGCAGTCCAAATCTCCAATCGCAGATTCTACAAAAAGATTGTTTACAACCTGCTCTATCTATAGGAATGTTCAACTCTGTGAGTCGAATGCAATCATCACAAAGTAGTTTCTGAGAATGCTTCCATCAATTTTTTATGTGAAGATTTTCCTTTTCCACCACAGGCCTCAAAGCCCTCCAAATGTCCACTTGGAGATTCTAGAAAAAGAGGGTTTCAGAGCTGCTCTGTCAAGAGGAAAGTTCAATTCTTGAAGTGGAACACAAACATCACAAAGCAGTTTCTGAGAATGCTCCTGTTTAGTTTTTCTGTGAAGATGAACCCGTTTCCAACGAAATCTTCACAGAGGTCCACATATCCACTTGCAGAATCCAAAGAAAGAGAGTTTCAAAACTGCTCCATCAGCAGGATTGTTCACCTCTGTGAGTTGAATGCAGTCATCACAGGAAACATTCTGAGAATGCTTCTGTCTAGGTTTGATGTGAAGATATACCCGTTTCGAAGGAAGGCCACAAAGTGGTCCAAATATCCACTTGCAGATTCTACAAAAAGAGTGTTTGAAAGCTGAACTATGAAAGCAAGGTTCAACTCTGTGAGTTGAATGCAAACATCACAAAGAAGTTTCTCACAATGCTTCCGTGTAGTTCTGGGAAGTTTATCCCGTTTCCAACGAAATCCTCAGAGAGGTCCAAATATCCACTTGCAGATTCTACAGAAAGTGTGTTTGGAAACTGCGCCATCTAAAGGAATGTTCAGCTCTGTTAGTTCAATGCAATGATCACTAAGAATTGTCTGTGAATGCTTCCGTTTGGTTTTTAGATGAAGTTATTTCCTTTACTACTGTAGGCCTCAAAGCAGTCCAAATCTCCAATCGCAGATTCTACAAAAAGAGTGTTTACAAACTGCTCTCTCCATTGGAAGGTTCAACTCTGTGAGTCGAATGCAATAATCACAAAGTAGATTCTCAGAATAATTCCATCTAGTTTTTATGTGAAGATTTTCCTTTTCCACCACAGGCCTCAAAGCCCTCCAAATGTCCACTTGCAGATTCTAGAATAAGAGGGTTTCAGAGCTGCTCTGTCAAGAGGAAAGTTCAATTCCTGAAGTGGAACACAAACATCACAAAGCAGTTTCTGAGAATGCTTCTGTTTAGTTTTTCTGTGAAGATGAACCCGTTTCCATCGAAATCTTCACAGAGGTCCACATATCCACTTGCAGAATCCAAAGAAAGAGAGTTTCAAAACTGCTCCATCAGCAGGATTGTTCACCTCTGTGAGTTGAATGCAGTCATCACAGGAAACATTCTGAGAATGCTTCTGTCTAGGTTTGATGTGAAGATATACCCGTTTCGAAGGAAGGCCACAAAGTGGTCCAAATATCCACTTGCAGATTCTACAAAAAGAGTGTTTGAAAGCTGAACTATGAAAGCATGGTTCAACTCTGTGAGTTGAATGCAAACATCACAAAGAAGTTTCTCAGCATGCTTCCGTGTAGTTCTGGGAAGTTTATCCCGTTTCCAACGAAATCCTCAGAGAGGTCCAAATATCCACTTGCAGATTCTACAGAAAGTGTGTTTGGAAACTGCGCCATCTAAAGGAATGTTCAGCTCTGTTAGTTCAATGCAATGATCACTAAGAATTGTCTGTGAATGCTTCCGTTTGGTTTTTAGATGAAGTTATTTCCTTTACTACAGTAGGCCTCAAAGCAGTCCAAATCTCCAATCGCAGATTCTACAAAAAGATTGTTTACAACCTGCTCTATGTATAGGAATGTTCAACTCTGTGAGTCGAATGCAATCATCACAAAGTAGTTTCTGAGAATGCTTCCATCTAGTTTTAATGTGAAGATTTTCCTTTTGCACCACAGGCCTCAAAGCGCTCCAAATGTCCACTTGCAGATTCTAGAAAAAGAGGGTTTCAGAGCTGCTCTGTCAAGAGGAAAGTTCAATTCTTGAAGTGGAACACAAACATCACAAAGCAGTTTCTGAGAATGCTTCTGTTTAGTTTTTCTGTGAAGATGAACCCGTTTCCAACGAAATCTTCACAGAGGTCCACATATCCACTTGCAGAATCCAAAGAAAGAGAGTTTCAAAACTGCTCCATCAGCAGGATTGTTCACCTCTGTGAGTTGAATGCAGTCATCACAGGAAACATTCTGAGAATGCTTCTGTCTAGGTTTGATGTGAAGATATACCCGTTTCGAAGGAAGGCCACAAAGTGGTCAAATATCCACTTGCAGATCCTACAAAAAGAGTGTTTGAAAGCTGAACTATGAAAGCAATGTTCAACTCTGTGAGTTGAATGCAAACATCACAAAGAAGTTTCTCACAATGCTTCCGTGTAGTTCTGGGAAGTTTATCCCGTTTCCAACGAAATCCTCAGAGAGGTCCAAATATCCACTTGCAGATTCTACAGAAAGTGTGTTTGGAAACTGCTCCATCTAAAGGAATGTTCAGCTCTGTTAGTTCAATCCAATGATCACTAAGAATTGTCTGTGAATGCTTCCGTTTGGTTTTTAGATGAAGTTATTTCCTTTACTACAGTAGGCCTCAAAGCAGTCCAAATCTCCAATCGCAGATTGTACAAAAAGATTGTTTACAACCTGCCCTATCTATAGGAATGTTCAACTCTGTTAGTCGAATGCAATCATCACAAAGTAGTTTCTGAGAATGCTTCCATCTAGTTTTTATGTGAAGATTTTCCTTTTCCACCACAGGCCTCAAAGCCCTCCAAATGTCCACTTGCAGATTCTAGAAAAAGAGGGTTTCAGAGCTGCTCTGTCAAGAGGAAAGTTCAATTCTTGAAGTGGAACACAAACATCACAAAGTAGTTTCTGAGAATGCTTCTGTTTAGTTTTTCTGTGAAGATGAACCCGTTTCCAACGAAATCTTCACAGAGGTCCACATATCAACTAGCAGAATCCAAAGAAAGAGAGTTTCAAAAGTGCTCCATCAACAGGATTGTTCACCTCTGTGAGTTGAATGCAGTCATCACAGGAAACATTCTGAGAATGCTTCTGTCTAGGTTTGATGTGAAGATATACCCGTTTCGAAGGAAGGCCACAAAGTGGTCCAAATATCCACTTGCAGATTCTACAAAAAGAGTGTTTGAAAGCTGAACTATGAAAACAAGGTTCAACTCTGTGAGTTGAATGCAAACATCACAAAGAAGTTTCTCACAATGCTTCCGTGTAGTTCTGGGAAGTTTATCCCGTTTCCAACGAAATCCTCAGAGAAGTCCAAATATCCACTTGCAGATTCTACAGAAAGTGGGTTTGGAAACTGCTCCATCTAAAGGAATGTTCAGCTCTGTTAGTTCAATCCAATGATCACTAAGAATTGTCTGTGAATGCTTCCGTTTGGTTTTTAGATGAAGTAATTTCCTTTACTACAGTAGGCCTCAAAGCAGTCCAAATCTCCAATCGCAGATTCTACAAAAAGATTGTTTACAACCTGCTCTATCTATAGGAATGTTCAACTCTGTGAGTCGAATGCAATCATCACAAAGAAGTTTCTGAGAATGCTTCCATAAAGTTTTTATGTGAAGATTTTCCTTTTCCACCACAGGCCTCAAAGCCCTCCAAATGTCCACTTGCAGATTCTAGAAAAAGAGGGTTTCAGAGCTGCTCTGTCAAGAGGAAAGTTCAATTCTTTAAGTGGAACACAAACATCACAAAGCAGTTTCTGAGAATGCTCCTGTTTAGTTTTTCTGTGAAGATGAACCCGTTTCCAACGAAATCTTCACAGAGGTCCACATATCCACTTGCAGAATCCAAAGAAAGAGAGTTTCAAAAGTGCTCCATCAGCAGGATTGTTCACCTCTGTGAGTTGAATGCAGTCATCACAGGAAACATTCTGAGAATGCTTCTGTCTAGGTTTGATGTGAAGATATACCCGTTTCGAAGGAAGGCCACAAAGTGGTCCAAATATCCACTTGCAGATTCTACAAAAAGAGTGTTTGAAAGCTGAACTATGAAAGCAAGGTTCAACTCTGTGAGTTGAATGCAAACATCACAAAGAAGTTTCTCACAATGCTTCCGTGTAGTTCTGGGAAGTTTATCCCGTTTCCAACGAAATCCTCAGAGAGGTCCAAATATCCACTTGCAGATTCTACAGAAAGTGTGTTTGGAAACTGCGCCATCTAAAGGAATGTTCAGCTCTGTTATTTCAATGCAATGATCACTAAGAATTGTCTGTGAATGCTTCCGTTTGGTTTTTAGATGAAGTTATTTCCTTTACTACAGTAGGCCTCAAAGCAGTCCAAATCTCCAATCGCAGATTCTACAAAAAGATTGTTTACAACCTGCTCTATCTATAGGAATGTTCAACTCTGTGAGTCGAATGCAATCATCACAAAGTAGTTTCTGAGAATGCTTCCATCTAGTTTTTATGTGAAGATTTTCCTTTTCCACCACAGGCCTCAAAGCCCTCCAAATGTCCACTTGCAGATTCTAGAAAAAGAGGGTTTCAGAGCTGCTCTGTCAAGAGGAAAGTTCAATTCTTGAAGTGGAACACAAACATCACAAAGCAGTTTCTGAGAATGCTTCTGTTTAGTTTTTCTGTGAAGATGAACCCGTTTCCAACGAAATCTTCACAGAGGTCCACATATCAACTTGCAGAATCCAAAGAAAGAGAGTTTCAAAAGTGCTCAATCAACAGGATTGTTCACCTCTGTGAGTTGAATGCAGTCATCACAGGAAACATTCTGAGAATGCTTCTGTCTAGGTTTGATGTGAAGATATACCCGTTTCGAAGGAAGGCCACAAAGTGGTCCAAATATCCACTTGCAGATTCTACAAAAAGAGTGTTTGAAAGCTGAACTATGAAAGCAAGGTTCAACTCTGTGAGTTGAATGCAAACATCACAAAGAAGTTTCTCAGAATGCTTCCGTGTAGTTCTGGGAAGTTTATCCCGTTTCCAACGAAATCCTCAGAGAAGTCCAAATATCCACTTGCAGATTCTACAGAAAGTGTGTCTGGAAACTGCTCCATCTAAAGGAATGTTCAGCTCTGTTAGTTCAATGCAATGATCACTAAGAATTGTCTGTGAATGCTTCCGTTTGGTTTTTAGATGAAGTTTTTTCCTTTACTACAGTAGGCCCCAAAGCACTCCAAATCTCCAATCGCAGATTCTACAAAAAGATTGTTTACAACCTGCTCTATCTATAGGAATGTTCAACTCTGTGAGTCGAATGCAATCATCACAAAGTAGTTTCTGAGAATGCTTCCATAAAGTTTTTATGTGAAGATTTTCCTTTTCCACCACAGGCCTCAAAGCCCTCCAAATGTCCACTTGCAGATTCTAGAAAAAGAGGGTTCCAGAGCTGCTCTGTCAAGAGGAAAGTTCAATTCTTGAAGTGGAACACAAACATCACAAAGCAGTTTCTGAGAATGCTCCTGTTTAGTTTTTCTGTGAAGATGAACCCGTTTCCAACGAAATCTTCACAGAGGTCCACATATCCACTTGCAGAATCCAAAGAAAGAGAGTTTCAAAACTGCTCCATCAGCAGGATTGTTCACCTCTGTGAGTTGAATGCAGTCATCACAGGAAACATTCTGAGAATGCTTCTGTCTAGGTTTGATGTGAAGATATACCCGTTTCGAAGGAAGGCCACAAAGTGGTCCAAATATCCACTTGCAGATTCTACAAAAAGAGTGTTTGAAAGCTGAACTATGAAAGCAAGGTTCAACTCTGTGAGTTGAATGCAAACATCACAAAGAAGTTTCTCAGAATGCTTCCGTGTAGTGATGGGAAATTTATCCCGTTTCCAACGAAATCCTCACAGAGGTCCAAATATCCACTTGCGGATTCTACAGAAAGTGTGTTTGGAAACTGCTCCATCTAAAGGAATGTTCAGCTCTGTTAGTTCAATCCAATGATCACTAAGAATTGTCTGTGAATGCTTCCGTTTGGTTTTTAGATGAAGTTATTTCCTTTACTACAGTAGGCCTCAAAGCAGTCCAAATCTCCAATCGCAGATTCTACAAAAAGATTGTTTACAACCTGCTCTATCTATAGGAATGTTCAACTCTGTGAGTCGAATGCAATCATCACAAAGTAGTTTCTGAGAATGCTTCCATCTAGTTTTTATGTGAAGATTTTCCTTTTCCACCACAGGCCTCAAAGCCCTCCAAATGTCCACTTGCAGATTCTAGAATAAGAGGGTTTCAGAGCTGCTCTGTCAAGAGGAAAGTTCAATTCCTGAAGTGGAACACAAACATCACAAAGCAGTTTCTGAGAATGCTTCTGTTTAGTTTTTCTGTGAAGATGAACCCGTTTCCAACGAAATCTTCACAGAGGTCCACATATCCACTTGCAGAATCCAAAGAAAGAGAGTTTCAAAACTGCTCCATCAGCAGGATTGTTCACCTCTGTGAGTTGAATGCAGTCATCACAGGAAACATTCTGAGAATGCTTCTGTCTAGGTTTGATGTGAAGATATACCCGTTTCGAAGGAAGGCCACAAAGTGGTCCAAATATCCACTTGCAGATTCTACAAAAAGAGTGTTTGAAAGCTGAACTATGAAAGCAAGGTTCAACTCTGTGAGTTGAATGCAAACATCACAAAGAAGTTTCTCAGAATGCTTCCGTGTAGTTCTGGGAAGTTAATCCCGTTTCCAACGAAATCCTCAGAGAGGTCCAAATATCCACTTGCAGATTCTACAGAAAGTGTGTTTGGAAACTACGCCATCTAAAGGAATGTTCAGCTCTGTTAGATCAATGCAATGATCACTAAGAATTGTCTGTGAATGCTTCCGTTTGGTTTTTAGATGAAGTTATTTCCTTTACTACAGTAGGCCTCAAAGCAGTCCAAATCTCCAATCGCAGATTCTACAAAAAGATTGTTTACAACCTGCTCTATCTATAGGAATGTTCAACTCTGTGAGTCGAATGCAATCATCACAAAGTAGTTTCTGAGAATGCTTCCATAAAGTTTTTATGTGAAGATTTTCCTTTTCCACCACAGGCCTCAAAGCCCTCCAAATGTCCACTTGCAGATTCTAGAAAAAGAGGGTTTCAGAGCTGCTCTGTCAAGAGGAAAGTTCAATTCTTGAAGTGGAACACAAACATCACAATGCAGTTTCTGAGAATGCTCCTGTTTAGTTTTTCTGTGAAGATGAACCCTTTTCCAACGAAATCTTCACAGAGGTCCACATATCCACTTGCAGAATCCAAAGAAAGAGAGTTTCAACACTGCTCCATCAGCAGGATTGTTCACCTCTGTGAGTTGAATGCAGTCATCACAGGAAACATTCTGAGAATGCTTCTGTCTAGGTTTGATGTGAAGATATACCCGTTTCGAAGGAAGGCCACAAAGTGGTCCAAATATCCACTTGCAGATTCTACAAAAAGAGTGTTTGAAAGCTGAACTATGAAAGCAAGGTTCAACTCTGTGAGTTGAATGCAAACATCACAAAGAAGTTTCTCAGAATGCTTCCGTGTAGTTCTGGGAAGTTTATCCCGTTTCCAACGAAATCCTCAGAGAAGTCCAAATATCCACTTGCAGATTCTACAGAAAGTGTGTTTGGAAACTGCTCCATCTAAAGAAATGTTCAGCTCTGTTAGTTCAATGCAATGATCACTAAGAATTGTCTGTGAATGCTTCCGTTTGGTTTTTAGATGAAGTTATTTCCTTTACTACAGTAGGCCTCAAAGCAGTCCAAATCTCCAATCGCAGATTCTACAAAAAGATTGTTTACAACCTGCTCTATCTATAGGAATGTTCAACTCTGTGAGTCGAATGCAATCATCACAAAGTAGTTTCTGAGAATGCTTCCATCTAGTTTTTATGTGAAGATTTTCCTTTTCCACCACATGCCTCAAAGCCCTCCAAATGTCCACTTGCAGATTCTAGAAAAAGAGGGTTTCAGAGCTGCTCTGTCAAGAGGAAAGTTCAATTCCTGAAGTGGAACACAAACATCACAAAGCAGTTTCTGAGAATGCTTCTGTTTAGTTTTTCTGTGAAGATGAACCCGTTTCCAACGAAATCTTCACAGAGGTCCACATATCCACTTGCAGAATCCAAAGAAAGAGAGTTTCAAAACTGCTCCATCAGCAGGATTGTTCACCTCTGTGAGTTGAATGCAGTCATCACAGGAAACATTCTGAGAATGCTTCTGTCTAGGTTTGATGTGAAGATATACCCGTTTCGAAGGAAGGCCAGAAAGTGGTCCAAATATCCACTTGCAGATTCTACAAAAAGAGTGTTTGAAAGCTGAACTATGAAAGCAAGGTTCAACTCTGTGAGTTGAATGCAAACATCACAAAGAAGTTTCTCAGAATGCTTCCGTGTAGTTCTGGGAAGTTTATCCCGTTTCCAACGAAATCCTCAGAGAAGTCCAAATATCCACTTGCAGATTCTACAGAAAGTGTGTTTGGAAACTGCTCCATCTAAAGGAATGTTCAGCTCTGTTAGTTCAATCCAATGATCACTAAGAATTGTCTGTGAATGCTTCCGTTTGGTTTTTAGATGAAGTTATTTCCTTTACTACAGTAGGCCTCAAAGCAGTCCAAATCTCCAATCGCAGATTCTACAAAAAGATTGTTTACAACCTGCTCTATCTATAGGAATGTTCAACTCTGTGAGTCGAATGCAATCATCACAAAGTAGTTTCTGAGAATGCTTCCATCCAGTTTTTATGTGAAGATTTTCCTTTTCCACCACAGGCCTGAAAGCCCTCCAAATGTCCACTTGCAGATTCTAGAAAAAGAGGGTTTCAGAGCTGCTCTGTCAAGAGGAAAGTTCAATTCTTGAAGTGGAACACAAACATCACAAAGCAGTTTCTGAGAATGCTTCTGTTTAGTTTTTCTGTGAAGATGAACCCGTTTCCAACGAAATCTTCACAGAGGTCCACATATCCACTTGCAGAATCCAAAGAAAGAGAGTTTCAAAACTGCTCCATCAGCAGGATTGTTCACCTCTGTGAGTTGAATGCAGTCATCACAGGAAACATTCTGAGAATGCTTCTGTCTAGGTTTGATGTGAAGATATACCCGTTTCGAAGGAAGGCCACAAAGTGGTCCAAATATCCACTTGCAGATTCTACAAAAAGAGTGTTTGAAAGCTGAACTATGAAAGCAAGGTTCAACTCTGTGAGTTGCATGCAAACATCACAAAGAAGTTTCTCAGAATGCTTCCGTGTAGTTCTGGGAAGTTTATCCCGTTTCCAACGAAATCCTCAGAGAAGTCCAAATATCCACTTGCAGATTCTACAGAAAGTGTGTTTGGAAACTGCTCCACCTAAAGGAATGTTCAGCTCTGTTAGTTCAATCCAATGATCACTAAGAATTGTCTGTGAATGCTTCCGTTTGGTTTTTAGATGAAGTTATTTCCTTTACTACAGTAGGCCTCAAAGCAGTCCAAATCTCCAATCGCAGATTCTACAAAAACATTGTTTACAACCTGCTCTATCTATAGGAATGTTCAACTCTGTGAGTCGAATGCAATCATCACAAAGTAGTTTCTGAGAATGCTTCCATCTAGTTTTTATGTGAAGATTTTCCTTTTCCACCACAGGCCTCAAAGCCCTCCAAATGTCCACTTGCAGATTCTAGAATAAGAGGGTTGCAGAGCTGCTCTGTCAAGAGGAAAGTTCAATTCCTGAAGTGGAACACAAACATCACAAAGCAGTTTCTGAGAATGCTTCTGTTTAGTTTTTCTGTGAAGATGAACCCGTTTCCAACGAAATCTTCACAGAGGTCCACATATCCACTTGCAGAATCCAAAGAAAGAGAGTTTCAAAACTGCTCCATTAGCCGGATTGTTCACCTCTGTGAGTTGAATGCAGTCATCACAGGAAACATTCTGAGAATGCTTCTGTCTAGGTTTGATGTGAAGATATACCCGTTTCGAAGGAAGGCCACAAAGTGGTCCAAATATCCACTTGCAGATTCCACAAAAAGAGTGTTTGAAAGCTGAACTATGAAAGCAAGGTTCCACTCTGTGAGTTGAATGCAAACATCACAAAGAAGTTTCTCAGCATGCTTCCGTGTAGTTCTGGGAAGTTTATCCCTTTTCCAACGATATCCTCAGAGAGGTCCAAATATCCACTTGCAGATTCTACAGAAAGGGTGTTTGGAAACTGCGCCATCTAAAGCAATGTTGAGCTCTGTTAGTTCAATGCAATGATCACTAAGAATTGTCTGTGAATGCTTCCGTTTGGTTTTTAGATGAAGTTATTTCCTTTACTACAGTAGGCCTCAAAGCAGTCCAAATCTCCAATCGCAGATTCTACAAAAAGATTGTTTACAACCTGCTCTATCTATAGGAATGTTCAACTCTGTGAGTCGAATGCAATCATCACAAAGTAGTTTCTGAGAATGCTTCCATCTAGTTTTTATGTGAAGATTTTCCTTTTCCACCACAGGCCTCAAAGCCCTCCAAATGTCCACTTGCAGATTCTAGAAAAAGAGGGTTTCAGAGCTGCTCTGTCAAGAGGAAAGTTCAATTCCTGAAGTGGAACACAAACATCACAAAGCAGTTTCTGAGAATGCTCCTGTTTAGTTTTTCTGTGAAGATGAACCCGTTTCCAAAGAAATCTTCACAGAGGTCCACATATCCAGCTGCAGAATCCAAAGAAAGAGAGTTTCAAAACTGCTCCATCAGCAGGATTGTTCACCTCTGTGAGTTGAATGCAGTCATCACAGGAAACATTCCGAGAATGCTTCTGTCTAGGTTTGATGTGAAGATATACCCGTTTCGAAGGAAGGCCACAAAGTGGTCCAAATATCCACTTGCAGATTCTACAAAAAGAGTGTTTGAAAGCTGAACTATGAAAGCAAGGTTCAACTCTGTGAGTTGAATGCAAACATCACAAAGAAGTTTCTCAGAATGCTTCCCTGTAGTTCTGGGAAGCATATCCCGTTTCCAACGAAATCCTCAGAGAAGTCCAAATATCCACTTGCAGATTCTACAGAAAGTGGGTTTGGAAACTGCTCCATCTAAAGGAATGTTCAGCTCTGTTAGTTCAATGCAATGATCACTAAGAATTGTCTGTGAATGCTTCCGTTTGGTTTTTAGATGAAGTTATTTCCTTTACTACAGTAGGCCTCAAAGCAGTCCAAATCTCCAATCGCAGATTCTACAAAAAGATTGTTTACAACCTGCTCTATCTATAGGAATGTTCAACTCTGTGAGTCGAATGCAATCATCACAAAGTAGTTTCTGAGAATGCTTCCATCTAGTTTTTATGTGAAGATTTTCCTTTTCCACCACAGGCCTCAAAGCCCTCCAAATGTCCACTTGCAGATTCTAGAATAAGAGGGTTTCAGAGCTGCTCTGTCAAGAGGAAAGTTCAATTCCTGAAGTGGAACACAAACTTCACAAAGCAGTTTCTGAGAATGTTTCTTTTTAGTTTTTCTGGGAAGATGAACCCGTTTCCAACCAAATCTTCACAGAGGTCCACATATCCACTTGCAGAATCCAAAGAAAGAGAGTTTCAAAACTGCTCCATCAACAGGATTGTTCACCTCTGTGAGTTGAATGCAATCATCACAGGAAACATTCTGAGAATTCTTCTGTCTAGGTTTGATGTGAAGATATACCCGTTTCGAAGGAAGGCCAGAAAGTGGTCCAAATATCCACTTGCAGATTCTACAAAAAGAGTGTTTGAAAGCTGAACTATGAAAGCAAGGTTCAACTCTGTGAGTTGAATGCAAACATCACAAAGAAGTTTCTCAGAATGCTTCCGTGTAGTTCTGGGAAGTTTTCCCGTTTCCAACGAAATCCTCAGAGAAGTCCAAATATCCACTTGCAGATTCTACAGAAAGTGTGTTTGGAAACTGCTCCATCTAAAGGAATGTTCAGCTCTGTTAGTTCAATCCAATGATCACTAAGAATTGTCTGTGAATGCTTCCGTTTGGTTTTTAGATGAAGTTATTTCCTTTACTACAGCAGGCCTCAAAGCAGTCCAAATCTCCAATCGCAGATTCTATAAAAAGATTGTTTACAACCTGCTCTATCTATAGGAATGTTCAACTCTGTGAGTCGAATGCAATCATCACAAAGTAGTTTCTGAGAATGCTTCCATCTAGTTTTTATGTGAAGATTTTCCTTTTCCACCACAGGCCTCAAAGCCCTCCAAATGTCCACTTGCAGATTCTAGAATAAGAGGGTTTCAGAGCTGCTCTGTCAAGAGGAAAGTTCAATTCCTGAAGTGGAACACAAACATCACAAAGCAGTTTCTGAGAATGTTTCTGTTTAGTTTTTCTGTGAAGATGAACCCGTTTCCAACGAAATCTTCACAGAGGTCCACATATCCACTTGCAGAATCCAAAGAAAGAGAGTTTCAAAACTGCTCCATCAGCAGGATTGTTCACCTCTGTGAGTTGAATGCAGTCATCACAGGATACATTCTGAGAATGCTTCTGTCTAGGTTTGATGTGAAGATATACCCGTTTCGAAGGAAGGCCACAAAGTGGTCCAAATATCCACTTGCAGTTTCTACAAAAAGAGTGTTTGAAAGCTGAACTATGAAAGCAAGGTTCAACTCTGTGAGTTGAATGCAAACATCACAAAGAAGTTTCTCACAATGCTTCCGTGTAGTTCTGGGAAGTTTATCCCGTTTCCAACGAAATCCTCAGAGAGGTCCAAATATCCACTTGCAGATTCTACAGAAAGTGTGTTTGGAAACTGCTCCATCTAAAGGAATGTTCAGCTCTGTTAGTTCAATCCAATGATCACTAAGAATTGTCTGTGAATGCTTCCGTTTGGTTTTTAGATGAAGTTATTTCCTTTACTACAGTAGGCCTCAAAGCAGTCCAAATCTCCAATCGCAGATTCTACAAAAAGATTGTTTACAACCTGCTCTATCTATAGGAATGTTCAACTCTGTGAGTCGAATGCAATCATCACAAAGTAGTTTCTGAGAATGCTTCCATCTAGTTTTTATGTGAAGATTTTCCTTTTCCACCACAGGCCTCAAAGCCCTCCAAATGTCCACTTGCAGATTCTAGAAAAAGAGGGTTTCAGAGCTGCTCTGTCAAGAGGAAAGTTCAATTCTTGAAGTGGAACACAAACATCACAAAGCAGTTTCTGAGAATGCTCCTGTTTAGTTTTTCTGTGAAGATGAACCCGTTTCCAACGAAATCTTCACAGAGGTCCACATATCCACTTGCAGAATCCAAAGAAAGAGAGTTTCAAAACTGCTCCATCAACAGGATTGTTCACCTCTGTGAGTTGAATGCAGTCATCACAGGAAACATTCTGAGAATGCTTCTGTCTAGGTTTGATGTGAAGATATACCCGTTTCGAAGGAAGGCCACAAAGTGGTCCAAATATCCACTTGCAGATTCTACAAAAAGAGTGTTTGAAAGCTGAACTATGAAAGCAAGGTTCAACTCTGTGAGTTGAATGCAAACATCACAAAGAAGTTTCTCAGAATGCTTCCGTGTAGTTCTGGGAAGTTTATCCCGTTTCCAACGAAATCCTCAGAGAGGTCCAAATATCCACTTGCAGATTCTACAGAAAGTGTGTTTGGAAACTGCGCCATCTAAAGCAATGTTCAGCTCTGTTAGTTCAATGCAATGATCACTAAGAATTGTCTGTGAATGCTTCCGTTTGGTTTTTAGATGAAGTTATTTCCTTTACTACAGTAGGCCTCAAAGCAGTCCAAATCTCCAATCGCAGATTCTACAAAAAGATTGTTTACAACCTGCTCTATCTATAGGAATGTTCAACTCTGTGAGTCGAATGCAATCATCACAAAGTAGTTTCTGAGAATGCTTCCATCTAGTTTTTATGTGAAGATTTTCCTTTTCCACCACAGGCCTCAAAGCCCTCCAAATGTCCACTTGCAGATTCTAGAATAAGAGGGTTTCAGAGCTGTTCTGTCAAGAGGAAAGTTCAATTCCTGAAGTGGAACACAAACATCACAAAGCAGTTTCTGAGAATGCTTCTGTTTAGTTTTTCTGTGAAGATGAACCCGTTTCCAACGAAATCTTCACAGAGGTCCACATATCCACTTGCAGAATCCAAAGAAAGAGAGTTTCAAAACTGCTCCATCAACAGGATTGTTCACCTCTGTGAGTTGAATGCAGTCATCACAGGAAACATTCTGAGAATGCTTCTGTCTAGGTTTGATGTGAAGATATACCCGTTTCGAAGGAAGGCCACAAAGTGGTCCAAATATCCACTTGCAGATTCTACAAAAAGAGTGTTTGAAAGCTGAACTATGAAAGCAAGGTTCAACTCTGTGAGTTGAATGCAAACATCACAAAGAAGTTTCTCAGAATGCTTCCGTGTAGTTCTGGGAAGTTTATCCCGTTTCCAACGAAATCCTCAGAGAAGTCCAAATATCCACTTGCAGATTCTACAGAAAGTGGGTTTGGAAACTGCTCCATCTAAAGGAATGTTCAGCTCTGTTAGTTCAATCCAATGATCACTAAGAATTGTCTGTGAATGCTTCCGTTTGGTTTTTAGATGAAGTTATTTCCTTTACTACAGTAGGCCTCAAAGCAGTCCAAATCTCCAATCGCAGATTCTACAAAAAGATTGTTTACAACCTGCTCTATGTATAGGAATGTTCAACTCTGTGAGTCGAATGCAATCATCACAAAGTAGTTTCTGAGAATGCTTCCATCTAGTTTTTATGTGAAGATTTTCCTTTTCCACCACAGGCCTCAAAGCCCTCCAAATGTCCACTTGCAGATTCTAGAAAAAGAGGGTTTCAGAGCTGCTCTGTCAAGAGGAAAGTTCAATTCTTGAAGTGGAACACAAACATCACAAAGTAGTTTCTGAGAATGCTTCTGTTTAGTTTTTCTGTGAAGATGAACCCGTTTCCAACGAAATCTTCACAGAGGTCCACATATCAACTTGCAGAATCCAAAGAAAGAGAGTTTCAAAAGTGCTCCATCAACAGGATTGTTCACCTCTGTGAGTTGAATGCAGTCATCACAGGAAACATTCTGAGAATGCTTCTGTCTAGGTTTGATGTGAAGATATACCCGTTTCGAAGGAAGGCCACAAAGTGGTCCAAATATCCACTTGCAGATTCTACAAAAAGAGTGTTTGAAAGCTGAACTATGAAAGCAAGGTTCAACTCTGTGAGTTGAATGCAAACATCACAAAGAAGTTTCTCAGAATGCTTCCGTGTAGTTCTGGGAAGTTTATCCCGTTTCCAACGAAATCCTCAGAGATGTCCAAATATCCACTTGCAGATTCTACAGAAAGTGTGTTTGGAAACTGCTCCACCTAAAGGAATATTCAGCTCTGTTAATTCAATCCAATGATCACTAAGAATTGTCTGTGAATGCTTCCGTTTGGTTTTTAGATGAAGTTATTTCCTTTACTACAGTAGGCCTCAAAGCAGTCCAAATCTCCAATCGCAGATTCTACAAAAAGATTGTTTACAACCTGCTCTATCTATAGGAATGTTCAACTCTGTGAGTCGAATGCAATCATCACAAAGTAGTTTCTGAGAATGCTTCCATCTAGTTTTTATGTGAAGATTTTCCTTTTCCACCACAGGCCTCAAAGCCCTCCAAATGTCCACTTGCAGATTCTAGAAAAAGAGGGTTTCAGAGCTGCTCTGTCAAGAGGAAAGTTCAATTCTTGAAGTGGAACACAAACATCACAAAGCAGTTTCTGAGAATGTTCCTGTTTAGTTTTTCTGTGAAGATGAACCCGTTTCCAACGAAATCTTCACAGAGGTCCACATATCCACTTGCAGAATCCAAAGAAAGAGAGTTTCAAAACTGCTCCATCAGCAGGATTGTTCACCTCTGTGAGTTGAATGCAGTCATCACAGGAAACATTCTGAGAATGCTTCTGTCTAGGTTTGATGTGAAGATATACCCGTTTCGAAGGAAGGCCACAAAGTGGTCCAAATATCCACTTGCAGATTCTACAAAAAGAGTGTTTGAAAGCTGAACTATGAAAGCAAGGTTCAACTCTGTGAGTTGAATGCAAACATCACAAAGAAGTTTCTCACAATGCTTCCGTGTAGTTCTGGGAATTTTATCCCGTTTCCAACGAAATCCTCAGAGAAGTCCAAATATCCACTTGCAGATTCTACAGAAAGTGGGTTTGGAAACTGCTCCATCTAAAGGAATGTTCAGCTCTGTTAGTTCAATCCAATGATCACTAAGAATTGTCTGTGAATGCTTCCGTTTGGTTTTTAGATGAAGCTATTTCCTTTACTACAGTAGGCCTCAAAGCAGTCCAAATCTCCAATCGCAGATTCTACAAAAAGATTGTGTACAACCTGCTCTATCTATAGGAATGTTCAACTCTGTGAGTCGAATGCAATCATCAAAAAGTAGTTTCTGAGAATGCTTCCATCTAGTTTTTATGTGAAGATTTTCCTTTTCCACCACAGGCCTCAAAGCCCTCCAAATGTCCACTTGCAGATTCTAGAAAAAGAGGGTTTCAGAGCTGCTCTGTCAAGAGGAAAGTTCAATTCTTGAAGTGGAACACAAACATCACAAAGCAGTTTCTGAGAATGTTTCTGTTTAGTTTTTCTGTGAAGATGAACCCGTTTCCAACGAAATCTTCACAGAGGTCCACATATCCACTTGCAGAATCCAAAGAAAGAGAGTTTCAAAACTGCTCCATCAGCAGGATTGTTCACCTCTGTGAGTTGAATGCAGTCATCACAGGAAACATTCTGAGAATGCTTCTGTCTAGGTTTGATGTGAAGATATACCCGTTTCGAAGGAAGGCCACAAAGTGGTCCAAATATCCACTTGCAGATTCTACAAAAAGAGTGTTTGAAAGCTGAACTATGAAAGCAAGGTTCAACTCTGTGAGTTGAATGCAAACATCACAAAGAAGTTTCTCAGAATGCTTCCGTGTAATTCTGGGAAGCTTATCCCGTTTCCAACGAAATCCTCAGAGAGGTCCAAATATCCACTTGCAGATTCTACAGAAAGTGTGTTTGGAAACTGCGCCATCTAAAGGAATGTTCAGCTCTGTTAGTTCAATCCAATGATCACTAAGAATTGTCTGTGAATGCTTCCGTTTGGTTTTTAGATGAAGTTATTTCCTTTACTACAGTAGGCCTCAAAGCAGTCCAAATCTCCAATCGCAGATTCTACAAAAAGATTGTTTACAACCTGCTCTATCTATAGGAATGTTCAACTCTGTGAGTCGAATGCAATCATCACAAAGTAGTTTCTGAGAATGCTTCCATCTAGTTTTTATGTGAAGATTTTCCTTTTCCACCACAGGCCTCAAAGCCCTCCAAATGTCCACTTGCAGACTCTAGAAAAAGAGGGTTTCAGAGCTACTCTGTCAAGAGGAAAGTTCAATTCTTGAAGTGGAACACAAACATCACAAAGCAGTTTCTGAGAATGCTTCTGTTTAGTTTTTCTGTGAAGATGAACCCGTTTCCAACGAAATCTTCACAGAGGTCCACATATCCACTTGCAGAATCCAAAGAAAGGGAGTTTCAAAACTGCTCCATCAGCAGGATTGTTCACCTCTGTGAGTTGAATGCAGTCATCACAGGAAACATTCTGAGAATGCTTCTGTCTAGGTTTGACGTGAAGATATACCCGTTTCGAAGGAAGGCCACAAAGTGGTCCAAATATCCACTTGCAGATTCTACAAAAAGAGTGTTTGAAAGCTGAACTATGAAAGCAAGGTTCAACTCTGTGAGTTGAATGCAAACATCACAGAGAAGTTTCTCAGAATGCTTCCGTGTAGTTCTGGGAAGTTTATCCCGTTTCCAACGAAATCCTCAGAGAAGTCCAAATATCCACTTGCAGATTCTACAGAAAGTGTGTTTGGAAACTGCTCCATCTAAAGGAATGTTCAGCTCTGTTAGTTCAATCCAATGATCACTAAGAATTGTCTGTGAATGCTTCCGTTTGGTTTTTAGATGAAGTTATTTCCTTTACTACAGTAGGCCTCAAAGCAGTCCAAATCTCCAATCGCAGATTCTACAAAAAGATTGTTTACAACCTGCTCTACCTATAGGAATGTTCAACTCTGTGAGTCGAATGCAATCATCACAAAGTAGTTTCTGAGAATGCTTCCATCTAGTTTTCATGTGAAGATTTTCCTTTTCCACCACAGGCCTCAAAGCCCTCCAAATGTCCACTTGCAGATTCTAGAAAAAGAGTGTTTCAGAGCTGCTCTGTCAAGAGGAAAGTTCAATTCTTGAAGTGGAACACAAACATCACAAAGCAGTTTCTGAGAATGCTCCTGTTTAGTTTTTCTGTGAAGATGAACCCGTTTCCAACGAAATCTTCACAGAGGTCCACATATCCACTTGCAGAATCCAAAGAAAGAGAGTTTCAAAACTGCTCCATCAGCAGGATTGTTCACCTCTGTGAGTTGAATGCAGTCATCACAGGAAACATTCTGAGAATGCTTCTGTCTAGGTTTGATGTGAAGATATACCCGTTTCGAAGGAAGGCCACAAAGTGGTCCAAATATCCACTTGCAGATTCTACAAAAAGAGTGTTTGAAAGCTGAACTATGAAAGCAAGGTTCAACTCTGTGAGTTGAATGCAAACATCACAAAGAAGTTTCTCAGAATGCTTCCGTGTAGTTCTGGGAAGTTTATCCCGTTTCCAACGAAATCCTCAGAGAGGTCCAAATATCCACTTGCAGATTCTACAGAAAGTGTGTTTGGAAACTGCTCCATCTAAAGGAATGTTCAGCTCTGTTAGTTCAATCCAGTGATCACTAAGAATTGTCTGTGAATGCTTCCGTTTGGTTTTTAGATGAAGTTATTTCCTTTACTACAGTAGGCCTCAAAGCAGTCCAAATCTCCAATCGCAGATTCTACAAAAAGATTGTTTACAACCTGCTCTATCTATAGGAATGTTCAACTCTGTGAGTCGAATGCAATCATCACAAAGTAGTTTCTGAGAATGCTTCCATCTAGTTTTTATGTGAAGATTTTCCTTTTCCACCACAGGCCTCAAAGCCCTCCAAATGTCCACTTGCAGATTCTAGAATAAGAGGGTTTCAGAGCTGCTCTGTCAAGAGGAAAGTTCAATTCCTGAAGTGGAACACAAACATCACAAAGCAGTTTCTGAGAATGCTTCTGTTTAGTTTTTCTGTGAAGATGAACCCGTTTCCAACGAAATCTTCACAGAGGTCCACATATCCACTTGCAGAATCCAAAGAAAGAGAGTTTCAAAACTGCTCCATCAGCAGGATTGTTCACCTCTGTGAGTTGAATGCAGTCATCACAGGAAACATTCTGAGAATGCTTCTGTCTAGGTTTGATGTGAAGATATACCCGTTTCGAAGGAAGGCCACAAAGTGGTCCAAATATCCACTTGCAGATTCTACAAAAAGAGTGTTTGAAAGCTGAACTATGAAAGCAAGGTTCAACTCTGTGAGTTGAATGCAAACATCACAAAGAAGTTTCTCAGAATGCTTCCGTGTAGTTCTGGGAAGTTTATCCCGTTTCCAACGAAATCCTCAGAGAGGTCCAAATATCCACTTGCAGATTCTACAGAAAGTGTGTTTGGAAACTACGCCATCTAAAGGAATGTTCAGCTCTGTTAGATCAATGCAATGATCACTAAGAATTGTCTGTGAATGCTTCCGTTTGGTTTTTAGATGAAGTTATTTCCTTTACTACAGTAGGCCTCAAAGCAGTCCAAATCTCCAATCGCAGATTCTACAAAAAGATTGTTTACAACCTGCTTTATCTATAGGAATGTTCAACTCTGTGAGTCGAATGCAATCATCACAAAGTAGTTTCTGAGAATGCTTCCATCTAGTTTTTATGTGAAGATTTTCCTTTTCCACCACAGGCCTCAAAGCCCTCCAAATGTCCACTTGCAGATTCTAGAAAAAGAGGGTTTCAGAGCTGCTCTGTCGAGAGGAAAGTTCAATTCTTGAAGTGGAACACAAACATCACAAAGCAGTTTCTGAGAATGCTCCCTGTTTAGTTTTTCTGTGAAGATGAGCACGTTTCCAACGAAATCTTCACAGAGGGTCCACATATCCACTTGCAGAATCCAAAGAAAGAGAGTTTCAAAACTGCTCCATCAGCAGGATTGTTCACCTCTGTGAGTTGAATGCAGTCATCACAGGAAACATTCTGAGAATGCTTCTGTCTAGGTTTGATGTGAAGATATACCCGTTTCGAAAGAAGGCCACAAAGTGGTCCAAATATCCACTTGCAGATTCTACAAAAAGAGGGTTTGAAAGCTGAACTATGAAAGCAAGGTTCAACTCTGTGAGTTGAATGCAAACATCACAAAGAAGTTTCTCAGAATGCTTCCGTGTAGTTCTGGGAAGTTTATCCCGTTTCCAACGAAATCCTCAGAGAGGTCCAAATATCCACTTGCAGATTCTACAGAAAGTGTGTTTGGAAACTGTGCCATCTAAAGGAATGTTCAGCTCTGTTAGTTCAATCCAATAATCACTAAGAATTGTCTGTGAATGCTTCCGTTTGGTTTTTAGATGAAGTTATTTCCTTTACTACAGTAGGCCTCAAAGCAGTCCAAATCTCCGATCGCAGATTCTACAAAAAGATTGTTTACAACCTGCTCTATCTATAGGAATGTTCAACTCTGTGAGTCGAATGCAATCATCACAAAGTAGTTTCTGAGAATGCTTCCATCTAGTTTTTATGTGAAGATTTTCCTTTTCCACCACAGGCCTCAAAGCCCTCCAAATGTCCACTTGCAGATTCTAGAAAAAGAGGGTTTCAGAGCTGCTCTGTCAAGAGGAAAGTTCAATTCTTGAAGTGGAACACAAACATCACAAAGTAGTTTCTGAGAATGCTTCTGTTTAGTTTTTCTGTGAAGATGAACCCGTTTCCAACGAAAATTTCACAGAGGTCCACACATCCACTTGCAGAATCCAAAGAAAGAGAGTTTCAAAACTGCTCCATCAGCAGGATTGTTCACCTCTGTGAGTTGAATGCAGTCATCACAGGAAACATTCTGAGAATGCTTCTGTCTAGGTTTGATGTGAAGATATACCCGTTTCGAAGGAAGGCCACAAAGTGGTCCAAATATCCACTTGCAGATTCTACAAAAAGAGTGTTTGAAAGCTGAACTATGAAAGCAAGGTTCAACTCTATGAGTTGAATGGAAACATCACAAAGAAGTTTCTCAGAATGCTTCCGTGTAGTTCTGGGAAGTTTATCCCGTTTCCAACGAAATCCTCAGAGAAGTCCAAATATCCACTTGCAGATTCTACAGAAAGTGTGTTTGGAAACTGCGCCATCTAAAGGAATGTTCAGCTCTGTTAGTTCAATCCAATGATCACTAAGAATTGTCTGTGAATGCTTTCCCGTTTGGTTTTTAGATGAAGTTTTTTCCTTTACTACAGTAGGCCCCAAAGCACTCCAAATCTCCAATCGCAGATTCTACAAAAAGATTGTTTACAACCTGCTCTACCTATAGGAATGTTCAACTCTGTGAGTCGAATGCAATCATCACAAAGTAGTTTCTGAGAATGCTTCCATCTAGTTTTTATGGGAAGATTTTCCTTTTCCACCACAGGCCTCAAAGCCCTCCAAATGTCCACTTGCAGATTCTAGAAAAAGAGGGTTTCAGAGCTGCTCTGTCAAGAGGAAAGTTCAATTCTTGAAGTGGAACACAAACATCACAAAGCAGTTTCTGAGAATGCTCCTGTTTAGTTTTTCTGTGAAGATGAACCCGTTTCCAACGAAATCTTCACAGAGGTCCACATATCCACTTGCAGAATCCAAAGAAAGAGAGTTTCAAAACTGCTCCATCAGCAGGATTGTTCACCTCTGTGAGTTGAATGCAGTCATCACAGGAAACATTCTGAGAATGCTTCTGTCTAGGTTTGATGTGAAGATATACCCCTTTCGAAAGAAGGCCACAAAGTGGTCCTAATATCCACTTGCAGATTCTACAAAAAGAGTGTTTGAAAGCTGAAATATGAAAGCCATGTTCAACTCTGTGAGTTGAATGCAAACATCACAAAGAAGATTCTCAGAATGCTTCCGTGTAGTTCTGGGAAGTTTATCCCGTTTCCAACGAAATCCTCAGAGAGGTCCAAATATCCACTTGCAGATTCTACAGAAAGTGTGTTTGGAAACTGCTCCATCTAAAGGAATGTTCAGCTCTGTTAGTTCAATCCAATGATCACTAAGAATTGTCTGTGAATGCTTCCGTTTGGTTTTTAGATGAAGTTATTCCCTTTACTACAGTAGACCTCAAAGCAGTCCAAATCTCCAATCGCAGATTCTACAAAAAGATTGTTTACAACCTGCTCTATCTATAGGAATGTTCAACTCTGTGAGTCGAATGCAATCATCACAAAGTAGTTTCTGAGAATGCTTCCATCTAGTTTTTATGTGAAGATTTTCCTTTTCCACCACAGGCCTCAAAGCCCTCCAAATGTCCACTTGCAGATTCTAGAAAAAGTGGGTTTCAGAGCTGCTCTGTCAAGAGGAAAGTTCAATTCTTGAAGTGGAACACAAACATCACAAAGCAGTTTCTGAGAATGCTCCTGTTTAGTTTTTCTGTGAAGATGAACCCGTTTCCAACGAAATCTTCACAGAGGTCCACATATCCACTTGCAGAATCCAAAGAAAGAGAGTTTCAAAACTGCTCCATCAACAGGATTGTTCGCCTCTGTGAGTTGAATGCAGTCATCACAGGAAACATTCTGAGAATGCTTCTGTCTAGGTTTGATGTGAAGATATACCCGTTTCGAAGGAAGGCCACAAAGTGGTCCAAATATCCACTTGCAGATTCTACAAAAAGAGTGTTTGAAAGCTGAACTATGAAAGCAAGGTTCAACTCTGTGAGTTGAATGCAAACATCACAAAGAAGTTTCTCAGAATGCTTCCGTGTAGTTCTGGGAAGTTTATCCCGTTTCCAACGAAATCCTCAGAGAAGTCCAAATATCCACTTGCAGATTCTACAGAAAGTGTGTTTGGAAACTGCTCCATCTAAAGGAATGTTCAGCTCTGTTAGTTCAATCCAATGATCACTAAGAATTGTCTGTGAATGCTTCCGTTTGGTTTTTAGATGAAGTTATTTCCTTTACTACAGTAGGCCTCAAAGCAGTCCAAATCTCCAATCGCAGATTCTACAAAAAGATTGTTTACAACCTGCTCTATCTATAGGAATGTTCAACTCTGTGAGTCGAATGCAATCATCACAAAGTAGTTTCTGAGAATGCTTCCATCTAGTTTTTATGTGAAGATTTTCCTTTTCCACCACAGGCCTCAAAGCCCTCCAAATGTCCACTTGCAGATTCTAGAATAAGAGGGTTTCAGAGCTGCTCTGTCAAGAGGAAAGTTCAATTCCTGAAGTGGAACACAAACATCACAAAGCAGTTTCTGAGAATGCTTCTGTTTAGTTTTTCTGTGAAGATGAACTCGTTTCCAACGAAATCTTCACAGAGGTCCACATATCCACTTGCAGAATCCAAAGAAAGGGAGTTTCAAAATTGCTCCATCAGCAGGATTGTTCACCTCTGTGAGTTGAATGCAGTCATCACAGGAAACATTCTGAGAATGCTTCTGTCTAGGTTTGATGTGAAGATATACCCGTTTCGAAGGAAGGCCACAAAGTGGTCCAAATATCCACTTGCAGATTCTACAAAAAGAGTGTTTGAAAGCTGAACTATGAAAGCAAGGTTCAACTCTGTGAGTTGAATGCAAACATCACAAAGAAGTTTCTCAGAATGCTTCCGTGTAGTTCTGGGAAGTTTATCCCTTTTCCAACGAAATCCTCAGAGAGGTCCAAATATCCACTTGCAGATTCTACAGAAAGTGTGTTTGGAAACTACGCCATCTAAAGGAATGTTCAGCTCTGTTAGATCAATGCAATGATCACTAAGAATTGTCTGTGAATGCTTCCGTTTGGTTTTTAGATGAAGTTATTTCCTTTACTACAGTAGGCCTCAAAGCAGTCCAAATCTCCAATCGCAGATTCTACAAAAAGATTGTTTACAACCTGCTCTATCTATAGGAATGTTCAACTCTGTGAGTCGAATGCAATCATCACAAAGTAGTTTCTGAGAATGCTTCCATCTAGTTTTTATGTGAAGATTTTCCTTTTGCACCACAGGCCTCAAAGCCCTCCAAATGTCCACTTGCAGATTCTAGAAAAAGAGGGTTTCAGAGCTGCTCTGTCAAGAGGAAAGTTCAATTCTTGATGTGGAACACAAACATCACAAAGCAGTTTCTGAGAATGCTCCTGTTTAGTTTTTCTGTGAAGATGAACCCGTTTCCAACGAAATCTTCACAGAGGTCCACATATCCACTTGCAGAATCCAAAGAAAGAGAGTTTCAAAACTGCTCCATCAGCAGGATTGTTCACCTCTGTGAGTTGAATGCAGTCATCACAGGAAACATTCTGAGAATGCTTCTGTCTAGGTTTGATGTGAAGATGTACCCGTTTCAAAGGAAGGCCACAAAGTGGTCCAAATATCCACTTGCAGATTCTACAAAAAGAGTGTTTGAAAGCTGAACTATGAAAGCAAGGTTCAACTCTGTGAGTTGAATGCAAACATCAGAAATATGATTCTCACAATGCTTCCGTGTAGTTCTGGGAAGTTTATCCCGTTTCCAACGAAATCCTCAGAGAAGTCCAAATATCCACTTGCAGATTCTGCAGAAAGTGTGTTTGGAAACTGCTCCATCTAAAGGAATGTTCAGCTCTGTTAGCTCAATCCAATGATCACTAAGAATTGTCTGTGAATGCTTCCGTTTGGTTTTTAGATGAAGTTATTTCCTTTACTACAGTAGGCCTCAAAGCAGTCCAAATCTCCAATCGCAGATTCTACAAAAACATTGTTTACAACCTGCTCTATCTATAGGAATGTTCAACTCTGTGAGTCGAATGCAATCATCACAAAGTAGTTTCTGAGAATGCTTCCATCTAGTTTTTATGGGAAGATTTTCCTTTTCCACCACAGGCCTCAAAGCCCTCCAAATGTCCACTTGCAGATTCTAGAAAAAGAGGGTTTCAGAGCTGCTCTGTCAAGAGGAAAGTTCAATTCTTGAAGTGGAACACAAACATCACAAAGCAGTTTCTGAGAATGCTCCTGTTTAGTTTTTCTGTGAAGATGAACCCGTTTCCAACGAAATCTTCACAGAGGTCCACATATCCACTTGCAGAATCCAAAGAAAGAGAGTTTCAAAACTGCTCCATCAGCAGGATTGTTCACCTCTGTGAGTTGAATGCAGTCATCACAGGAAACATTCTGAGAATGCTTCTGTCTAGGTTTGATGTGAAGATATACCCGTTTCGAAGGAAGGCCACAAAGTGGTCCAAATATCCACTTGCAGATTCTACAAAAAGAGTGTTTGAAAGCTGAACTATGAAAGCAAGGTTCAACTCTGTGAGTTGAATGCAAACATCACAAAGAAGTTTCTCACAATGCTTCCGTGTAGTTCTGGGAAGTTTATCCCGTTTCCAACGAAATCCTCAGAGAAGTCCAAATATCCACTTGCAGATTCTACAGAAAGTGTGTTTGGAAACTGCGCCATCTAAAGGAATGTTCAGCTCTGTTAGTTCAATGCAATGATCACTAAGAATTGTCTGTGAATGCTTCCGTTTGGTTTTTAGATGAAGTTATTTCCTTTACTACAGTAGGCCTCAAAGCAGTCCAAATCTCCAATCGCAGATTCTACAAAAAGATTGTTTACAACCTGCTCTATCTATAGGAATGTTCAACTCTGTGAGTCGAATGCAATCATCACAAAGTAGTTTCTGAGAATGCTTCCATCTAGTTTTTATGTGAAGATTTTCCTTTTCCACCACAGGCCTCAAAGCCCTCCAAATGTCCACTTGCAGATTCTAGAATAAGAGGGTTTCAGAGCTGCTCTGTCAAGAGGAAAGTTCAATTCCTGAAGTGGAACACAAACATCACAAAGCAGTTTCTGAGAATGCTTCTGTTTAGTTTTTCTGTGAAGATGAACCCGTTTCCAACGAAATCTTCACAGAGGTCCACATATCCACTTGCAGAATCCAAAGAAAGAGAGTTTCAAAACTGCTCCATCAGCAGGATTGTTCACCTCTGTGAGTTGAATGCAGTCATCACAGGAAACATTCTGAGAATGCTTCTGTCTAGGTTTGATGTGAAGATATACCCGTTTCGAAGGAAGGCCACAAAGTGGTCCAAATATCCACTTGCAGATTCTACAAAAAGAGTGTTTGAAAGCTGAACTATGAAAGCAAGGTTCAACTCTGTGAGTTGAATGCAAACATCACAAAGAAGTTTCTCACAATGCTTCCGTGTAGTTCTGGGAAGTTTATCCCGTTTCCAACGAAATCCTCAGAGAGGTCCAAATATCCACTTGCAGATTCTACAGAAAGTGTGTTTGGAAACTGCGCCATCTAAAGGAATGTTCAGCTCTGTTAGTTCAATGCAATGATCACTAAGAATTGTCTGTGAATGCTTCCGTTTGGTTTTTAGATGAAGTTATTTCCTTTACTACAGTAGGCCTCAAAGCAGTCCAAATCTCCAATCGCAGATTCTACAAAAAGATTGTTTACAACCTGCTCTATGTATAGGAATGTTCAACTCTGTGAGTCGAATGCAATCATCACAAAGTAGTTTCTGAGAATGCTTCCATCTAGTTATTATGTGAAGATTTTCCTTTTCCAGCACAGGCCTCAAAGCCCTCCAAATGTCCACTTGCAGATTCTAGAATAAGAGGGTTTCAGAGCTGCTCTGTCAAGAGGAAAGTTGAATTCCTGAAGTGGAACACAAACATCACAAAGCAGTTTCTGAGAATGCTTCTTTTTAGTTTTTCTGTGAAGATGAACCCGTTTCCAACGAAATCTTCACAGAGGTCCACATATCTACTTGCAGAATCCAAAGAAAGAGAGTTTCAAAACTGCTCCATCAGCAGAATTGTTCACCTCTGTGAGTTGAATGCAGTCATCACAGGAAACATTCTGAGAATGCTTCTGTCTAGGTTTGATGTGAAGATATACCCGTTTCGAAGGAAGGCCACAAAGTGGTCCAAATATCCACTTGCAGATTCTACAAAAAGAGTGTTTGAAAGCTGAACTATGAAAGCAAGGTTCAACTCTATGAGTTGAATGGAAACATCACAAAGAAGTTTCTCAGAATGCTTCCGTGTAGTTCTGGGAAGTTTATCCCGTTTCCAACGAAATCCTCAGAGAGGTCCAAATATCCACTTGCAGATTCTACAGAAAGTGTGTTTGGAAACTGCGCCATCTAAAGGAATGTTCAGCTCTGTTAGTTCAATGCAATGATCACTAAGAATTGTCTGTGAATGCTTCCCGTTTGGTTTTTAGATGAAGTTATTTCCTTTACTACAGTAGGCCTCAAAGCAGTCGAAATCTCCAATCGCAGATTCTACAAAAAGATTGTTTACAACCTGCTCTATCTATAGGAATGTTCAACTCTGTGAGTCGAATGCAATCATCACAAAGTAGTTTGTGAGAATGCTTCCATCTAGTTTTTATGGGAAGATTTTCCTTTTCCACCACAGGCCTCAAAGCCCTCCAAATGTCCACTTGCAGATTCTAGAAAAAGAGGGTTTCAGAGCTGCTCTGTCAAGAGGAAAGTTCAATTCCTGAAGTGGAACACAAACATCACAAAGTAGTTTCTGAGAATGCTCCTGTTTAGTTTTTCTGTGAAGATGAACCCGTTTCCAACGAAATCTTCACAGAGGTCCACATATCCACTTGCAGAATCCAAAGAAAGAGAGTTTCAAAACTGCTCCATCAGCAGGATTGTTCACCTCAGTGAGTTGAATGCAGTCGTCACAGGAAACATTCTGAGAATGCTTCTGTCTATGTTTCATGTGAAGATATACCCGTTTCGAAGGAAGGCCACAAAGTGGTCCAAATATCCACTTGCAGATTCTACAAAAAGAGTGTTTGAAAGCTGAACTATGAAAGCAAGGTTCAACTCTGTGAGTTGAATGCAAACATCCAAAGAAGTTTCTCAGAATGCTTCCGTGTAGTTCTGGGAAGTTTATCCCGTTTCCAACGAAATCCTCAGAGAGGTCCAAATATCCACTTGCAGATTCTACAGAAAGTGTGTTTGGAAACTGCGCCCTCTAAGGGAATGTTCAGCTCTGTTAGTTCAATCCAATGATCACTAAGAATTGTCTGTGAATGCTTCCGTTTGGTTTTTAGATGAAGTTATTTCCTTTACTACAGTAGGCCTCAAAGCAGTCCAAATCTCCAATCGCAGATTCTACAAAAAGATTGTTTACAACCTGCTCTATCTATAGGAATGTTCAACTCTGTGAGTCGAATGCAATCATCACAAAGTAGTTTCTGAGAATGCTTCCATCTAGTTTTTATGTGAAGATTTTCCTTTTCCACCACAGGCCTCAAAGCCCTCCAAATGTCCACTTGCAGATTCTAGAATAAGAGGGTTTCAGAGCTGCTCTGTCAAGAGGAAAGTTCAATTCCTGAAGTGGAACACAAACTTCACAAAGCAGTTTCTGAGAATGCTTCTGTTTAGTTTTTCTGGGAAGATGAACCCGTTTCCAACGAAATCTTCACAGAGGTCCACATATCCACTTGCAGAATCCAAAGAAAGAGAGTTTCAAAACTGCTCCATCACCAGGATTGTTCACCTCTGTGAGTTGAATGCAGTCATCACAGGAAACATTCTGAGAATGCTTCTGTCTAGGTTTGATGTGAAGATATACCCGTTTCGAAGGAAGGCCACAAAGTGGTCCAAATATCCACTTTCTGTAGATTCTACAAAAAGAGTGTTTGAAAGCTGAACTATGAAAGCAAGGTTCAACTCTGTGAGTTGAATGCAAACATCACAAAGAAGTTTCTCAGAATGCTTCCGTGTAGTTCTGGGAAGTTTATCCCGTTTCCAACGAAATCCTCAGAGAAGTCCAAATATCCACTTGCAGATTCTACAGAAAGTGTGTTTGGAAACTGCTCCATCTAAAGGAATGTTCAGCTCTGTTAGTTCAATGCAATGATCACTAAGAATTGTCTGTGAATGCTTCCGTTTGGTTTTTAGATGATGTTATTTCCTTTACTACAGTAGGCCTCAAAGCAGTCCAAATCTCCAATCGCAGATTCTACAAAAAGATTGTTTACAACCTGCTCTATCTATAGGAATGTTCAACTCTGTGAGTCGAATGCAATCATCACAAAGTAGTTTCTGAGAATGCTTCCATCTAGTTTTTATGTGAAGATTTTCCTTTTCCACCACAGGCCTCAAAGCCCTCCAAATGTCCACTTGCAGATTCTAGAATAAGAGGGTTTCAGAGCTGCTCTGTCAAGAGGAAAGTTCAATTCCTGAAGTGGAACACAAACATCACAAAGCAGTTTCTGAGAATGCTTCTGTTTAGTTTTTCTGTGAAGATGAACCCGTTTCCAACGAAATCTTCACAGAGGTCCACATATCAACTTGCAGAATCCAAAGAAAGAGAGTTTCAAAAGTGCTACATCAACAGGATTGTTCAGCTCTGTGAGTTGAATGCAGTCATCACAGGAAACATTCTGAGAATGCTTCTGTCTAGGTTTGATGTGAAGATATACCCGTTTCGAAGGAAGGCCACAAAGTGGTCCAAATATCCACTTGCAGATTCTACAAAAAGAGTGTTTGAAAGCTGAACTATGAAAGCAAGGTTCAACTCTGTGAGTTGAATGCAAACATCACAAAGAAGTTTCTCACAATGCTTCCGTGTAGTTCTGGGAAGTTTATCCCGTTTCCAACGAAATCCTCAGAGAAGTCCAAATATCCACTTGCAGATTCTACAGAAAGTGTGTTTGGAAAATGCTCCATCTAAAGGAATGTTCAGCTCTGTTAGTTCAATGCAATGATCACTAAGAATTGTCTGTGAATGCTTCCGTTTGGTTTTTAGATGAAGTTATTTCCTTTACTACAGTAGGCCTCAAAGCAGTCCAAATCTCCAATCGCAGATTCTACAAAAAGATTGTTTACAACCTGCTCTATCTATAGGAATGTTCAACTCTGTGAGTCGAATGCAATCATCACAAAGTAGTTTCTGAGAATGCTTCCATCTAGTTTTTATGTGAAGATTTTCCTTTTCCACCACAGGCCTCAAAGCCCTCCAAATGTCCACTTGCAGGTTCTAGAAAAAGAGGGTTTCAGAGCTACTTTGTCAAGAGGAAAGTTCAATTCTTGAAGTGGAACACAAACATCACAAAGCAGTTTACTGAGAATGCTCCTGTTTAGTTTTTCTGTGAAGATGAACCCGTTTCCAACGAAATCTTCACAGAGGTCCACATATCCACTTGCAGAATCCAAAGAAAGAGAGTTTCAAAACTGCTCCATCAGCAGGATTGTTCACCTCTGTGAGTTGAATGCAGTCATCACAGGAAACATTCTGAGAATGCTTCTGTCTAGGTTTGATGTGAAGATATACCCGTTTCGAAGGAAGGCCACAAAGTGGTCCAAATATCCACTTGCAGAATCTACAAAAAGAGTGTTTGAAAGCTGAACTATGAAAGCAAGGTTCAACTCTGTGAGTTGAATGCAAACATCACAAAGAAGTTTCTCACAATGCTTCCGTGTAGTTCTGGGAAGTTTATCCCGTTTCCAACGAAATCCTCAGAGAAGTCCAAATATCCACTTGCAGATTCTACAGAAAGTGGGTTTGGAAACTGCTCCATCTAAAGGAATGTTCAGCTCTGTTAGTTCAATCCAATGATCACTAAGAATTGTCTGTGAATGCTTCCGTTTGGTTTTTAGATGAAGTTATTTCCTTTACTACAGTAGGCCTCAAAGCAGTCCAAATCTCCAATCGCAGATTCTACAAAAAGATTGTTTACAACCTGCTCTATCTATAGGAATGTTCAACTCTGTGAGTCGAATGCAATCATCACAAAGTAGTTTCTGAGAATGCTTCCATCTAGTTTTTATGTGAAGATTTTCCTTTTCCACCACAGGCCTCAAAGCCCTCCAAATATCCACTTGCAGATTCTAGAAAAAGAGGGTTTCAGAGCTGCTCTGTCAAGAGGAAAGTTCAATTCCTGAAGTGGAACACAAACATCACAAAGCAGTTTCTGAGAATGCTTCTGTTTAGTTTTTCTGTGAAGATGAACCCGTTTCCAACGAAATCTTCACAGAGGTCCACATATCAACTTGCAGAATCCAAAGAAAGAGAGTTTCAAAAGTGCTCCATCAACAGGATTGTTCACCTCTGTGAGTTGAATGCAGTCATCACAGGAAACATTCTGAGAATGCTTCTGTCTGTGTTTGATGTGAAGATATACCCGTTTCGAAGGAAGGCCACAAAGTGGTCCAAATATCCACTTGCAGATTCTACAAAAAGAGTGTTTGAAAGCTGGACTATGAAAGCAAGGTTCAACTCTGTGAGTTGAATGCAAACATCACAAAGAAGTTTCTCACAATGCTTCCGTGTGGTTCTGGGAAGTATATCCCGTTTCCAACGAAATCCTCAGAGAGGTCCAAATATCCACTTGCAGATTCTACAGAAAGTGTGTTTGGAAACTGCGCCATCTAAAGGAAAGTTCAGCTCTGTTAGTTCAATGCAATGATCACTAAGAATTGTCTGTGAATGCTTCCGTTTGGTTTTTAGATGAAGTTATTTCCTTTACTACAGTAGGCCTCAAAGCAGTCCAAATCTCCAATCGCAGATTCTACAAAAACATTGTTTACAACCTGCTCTATCTATAGGAATGTTCAACTCTGTGAGTCGAATGCAATCATCACAAAGTAGTTTCTGAGAATGCTTCCATCTAGTTTTTATGTGAAGATTTTCCTTTTCCACCACAGGCCTCAAAGCCCTCCAAATGTCCACTTGCAGATTCTAGAAAAAGAGGGTTTCAGAGCTGCTCTGTCAAGAGGAAAGTTCAATTCTTGAAGTGGAACACAAACATCACAAAGCAGTTTCTGAGAATGCTTCTGTTTAGTTTTTCTGTGAAGATGAACCCGTTTCCAACGAAATCTTCACAGAGGTCCACATATCCACTTGCAGAATCCAAAGAAAGAGAGTTTCAAAACTGCTCCATCAGCAGGATTGTTCACCTCTGTGAGTTGAATGCAGTCATCACAGGAAACATTCTGAGAATGCTTCTGTCTAGGTTTGATGTGAAGATATACCCGTTTCGAAGGAAGGCCACAAAGTGGTCCAAATATCCACTTGCAGATTCTACAAAAAGAGTGTTTGAAAGCTGAACTATGAAAGCAAGGTTCAACTCTGTGAGTTGAATGCAAACATCACAAAGAAGTTTCTCACAATGCTTCCGTGTAGTTCTGGGAAGTTTATCCCGTTTCCAACGAAATCCTCAGAGAGGTCCAAATATCCACTTGCAGATTCTACAGAAAGTGTGTTTGGAAACTGCTCCATCTAAAGGAATGTTCAGCTCTGTTAGTTCAATCCAATGATCACTAAGAATTGTCTGTGAATGCTTCCGTTTGGTTTTTAGATGAAGTTATTTCCTTTACTACAGTAGGCCTCAAAGCAGTCCAAATCTCCAATCGCAGATTCTACAAAAAGATTGTTTACAACCTGCTCTATCTATAGGAATGTTCAACTCTGTGAGTCGAATGCAATCATCACAAAGTAGTTTCTGAGAATGCTTCCATCTAGTTTTTATGTGAAGATTTTCCTTTTCCACCACAGGCCTCAAAGCCCTCCAAATGTCCACTTGCAGATTCTAGAAAAAGAGGGTTTCAGAGCTGCTCTGTCAAGAGGAAAGTTCAATTCTTGAAGTGGAACACAAACATCACAAAGTAGTTTCTGAGAATGCTTCTGTTTAGTTTTTCTGTGAAGATGAACCCGTTTCCAACGAAATCTTCACAGAGGTCCACATATCAACTTGCAGAATCCAAAGAAAGAGAGTTTCAAAAGTGCTCCATCAACAGGATTGTTCACCTCTGTGAGTTGAATGCAGTCATCACAGGAAACATTCTGAGAATGCTTCTGTCTAGGTTTGATGTGAAGATATACCCGTTTCGAAGGAAGGCCACAAAGTGGTCCAAATATCCACTTGCAGATTCTACAAAAAGAGTGTTTGAAAGCTGAACTATGAAAGCAAGGTTCAACTCTGTGAGTTGAATGCAAACATCACAAAGAAGTTTCTCAGAATGCTTCCGTGTAGTTCTGGGAAGTTTATCCCGTTTCCAACGAAATCCTCAGAGAGGTCCAAATATCCACTTGCAGATTCTACAGAAAGTGTGTTTGGAAACTACGCCATCTAAAGGAATGTTCAGCTCTGTTAGATCAATGCAATGATCACTAAGAATTGTCTGTGAATGCTTCCGTTTGGTTTTTAGATGAAGTTATTTCCTTTACTACAGTAGGCCTCAAAGCAGTCCAAATCTCCAATCGCAGATTCTACAAAAAGATTGTTTACAACCTGCTCTATCTATAGGAATGTTCAACTCTGTGAGTCGAATGCAATCATCACAAAGTAGTTTCTGAGAATGCTTCCATCTAGTTTTTATGGGAAGATTTTCCTTTTCCACCACAGGCCTCAAAGCCCTCCAAATGTCCACTTGCAGATTCTAGAAAAAGAGGATTTCAGAGCTGCTCTGTCAAAAGGAAAGTTCAATTCTTCAAGTGGAACACAAACATCACAAAGCAGTTTCTGAGAATGCTCCTGTTAATTTTTCTGTGAAGATGAACCCGTTTCCAACGAAATCTTCACAGAGGTCCACATATCCACTTGCAGAATCAAAAGAAAGGGAGTTTCAAAACGGCTCCATCAACAGGATTGTTCACCTCTGTGAGTTGAATGCAGTCATCACAGGAAACATTCTGAGAATGCTTCTGTCTAGGTTTGATGTGAAGATATACCCGTTTCGAAGGAAGGCCACAGAGTGGTCCAAATATCCACTTGCAGATTCTACAAAAAGAGTGTTTGAAAGCTGAACTATGAAAGCAAGGTTCAACTCTGTGAGTTGAATGCAAACATCACAAAGAAGTTTCTCAGAATGCTTCCGTGTAGTTCTGGGAAGTTTATCCCGTTTCCAACGAAATCCTCAGAGAGGTCCAAATATCCACTTGCAGATTCTACAGAAAGTGTGTTTGGAAACTGCGCCATCTAAGGGAATGTTCAGCTCTGTTAGTTCAATCCAATGATCACTAAGAATTGTCTGTGAATGCTTCCGTTTGGTTTTTAGATGAAGTTATTTCCTTTACTACAGTAGGCCTCAAAGCAGTCCAAATCTCCAATCGCAGATTCTACAAAAAGATTGTTTACAACCTGCTCTATCTATAGGAATGTTCAACTCTGTGAGTCGAATGCAATCATCACAAAGTAATTTCTGAGAATACTTCCATCTAGTTTTTATGTGAAGATTTTCCTTTTCCACCACAGGCCTCAAAGCCCTCCAAATGTCCACTTGCAGATTCTAGAAAAAGAGGGTTTCAGAGCTGCTCTGTCAAGAGGAAAGTTCAATTCTTGAAGTGGAACACAAACATCACAAAACAGTTTCTGAGAATGCTTCTGTTTAGTTTTTCTGTGAAGATGAACCCGTTTCCAACCAAATCTTCACAGAGGTCCACATATCCACTTGCAGAATCCAAAGAAAGAGAGTTTCAAAACTGCTCCATCAACAGGATTGTTCACCTCTGTGAGTTGAATGCAGTCATCACAGGAAACATTCTGAGAATGCTTCTGTCTAGGTTTGATGTGAAGATATACCCGTTTCGAAGGAAGGCCACAAAGTGGTCCAAATATCCACTTGCAGATTCTACAAAAAGAGTGTTTGAAAGCTGAACTAAGAAAGCAAGGTTCAACTCTGTGAGTTGAATGCAAACATCACAAAGAAGTTTCTCAGAATGCTTCCGTGTAGTTCTGGGAAGTTTATCCCGTTTCCAAGGAAATCCTCAGAGAAGTCCAAATATCCACTTGCAGATTCTACAGAAAGTGTGTTTGGAAACTGCTCCATCTAAAGGAATGTTCAGCTCTGTTAGTTCAATCCAATGATCACTAAGAATTGTCTGTGAATGCTTCCGTTTGGTTTTTAGATGAAGTTATTTCCTTTACTACAGTAGGCCTCAAAGCAGTCCAAATCTCCAATCGCAGATTCTACAAAAAGATTGTTTACAACCTGCTCTATCTATAGGAATGTTCAACTCTGTGAGTCGAATGCAATCATCACAAAGTAGTTTCTGAGAATGCTTCCATCTAGTTTTTATGTGAAGATTTTCCTTTTCCACCACAGGCCTCAAAGCCCTCCAAATGTCCACTTGCAGATTCTAGAAAAAGAGGGTTTCAGAGCTGCTCTGTCAAGAGGAAAGTTCAATTCTTGAAGTGGAACACAAACATCACAAAGCAGTTTCTGAGAATGCTCCTGTTTAGTTTTTCTGTGAAGATGAACCCGTTTCCAACGAAATCTTCACAGAGGTCCACATATCCACTTGCAGAATCCAAAGAAAGAGAGTTTCAAAACTGCTCCAACAGCAGGATTGTTCACCTCTGTGAGTTGAATGCAGTCATCACAGGAAACATTCTGAGAATGCTTCTGTCTAGGTTTGATGTGAAGATATACCCGTTTCGAAGGAAGGCCACAAAGTGGTCCAAATATCCACTTGCAGATTCTACAAAAAGAGTGTTTGAAAGCTGAACTATGAAAGCAAGGTTCAACTCTGTGAGTTGAATGCAAACATCACAAAGAAGTTTCTCAGAATGCTTCCGTGTAGTTCTGAGAAGTTTATCCCGTTTCCAACGAAATCCTCAGAGAGGTCCAAATATCCACTTGCAGATTCTACAGAAAGTTTGTTTGGAAACTACGCCATCTAAAGGAATGTTCAGCTCTGTTAGATCAATGAAATGATCACTAAGAATTGTCTGTGAATGCTTCCGTTTGGTTTTTAGATGAAGTTATTTCCTTTACTACAGTAGGCCTCAAAGCAGTCCAAATCTCCAATCGCAGATTCTACAAAAAGATTGTTTACAACCTGCTCTATCTATAGGAATGTTCAACTCTGTGAGTCGAATGCAATCATCACAAAGTAGTTTCTGAGAATGCTTCCATCTAGTTTTTATGTGAAGATTTTCCTTTTCCACCACAGGCCTCAAAGCCCTCCAAATGTCCACTTGCAGATTCTAGAAAAAGAGGGTTTCAGAGCTGCTCTGTCAAGAGGAAAGTTCAATTCCTGAAGTGGAACACAAACATCACAAAGCAGTTTCTGAGAATGCTTCTGTTTAGTTTTTCTGTGAAGATGAACCCGTTTCCAACGAAATCTTCACAGAGGTCCACATATCAACTTGCAGAATCCAAAGAAAGAGAGTTTCAAAAGTGCTCCATCAACAGGATTGTTCACCTCTGTGAGTTGAATGCAGTCATCACAGGAAACATTCTGAGAATGCTTCTGTCTGTGTTTGATGTGAAGATATACCCGTTTCGAAGGAAGGCCACAAAGTGGTCCAAATATCCACTTGCAGATTCTACAAAAATAGTGTTTGAAAGCTGAACTATGAAAGCAAGGTTCAACTCTGTGAGTTGAATGCAAACATCACAAAGAAGTTTCTCAGAATGCTTCCATGTAGTTCTGGGAAGTTTATCCCTTTTCCAACGAAATCCTCAGAGTAGTCCAAATATCCACTTGCAGATTCTACAGAAAGTGTGTTTGGAAAATGCTCCATCTAAAGGAATGTTCAGCTCTGTTAGTTCAATCCAATGATCACTAAGAATTGTCTGTGAATGCTTCCGTTTGGTTTTTAGATGAAGTTATTTCCTTTACTACAGTAGGCCTCAAAGCAGTCCAAATCTCCAATCGCAGATTCTACAAAAAGATTGTTTACAACCTGCTCTATCTATAGGAATGTTCAACTCTGTGAGTCGAATGCAATCATCACAAAGTAGTTTCTGAGAATGCTTCCATCTAGTTTTTATGTGAAGATTTTCCTTTTCCACCACAGGCCTCAAAGCCCTCCAAATGTCCACTTGCAGATTCTAGAAAAAGAGGGTTTCAGAGCTGCTCTGTCAAGAGGAAAGTTCAATTCTTGAAGTGGAACACAAACATCACAAAGCAGTTTCTGAGAATGCTTCTGTTTAGTTTTTCTGTGAAGATGAACCCGTTTCCAACGAAATCTTCACAGAGGTCCACATATCCACTTGCAGAATCCAAAGAAAGAGAGTTTCAAAACTGCTCCATCAGCAGGATTGTTCACCTCTGTGAGTTGAATGCAGTCATCACAGGAAACATTCTGAGAATGCTTCTGTCTAGGTTTGATGTGAAGATATACCCGTTTCGATGGAAGGCCACAAAGTGGTCCAAATATCCACTTGCAGATTCTACAAAAAGAGTGTTTGAAAGCTGAACTATGAAAGCAAGGTTCAACTCTGTGAGTTGAATGCAAACATCAGAAAGAAGTTTCTCAGAATGCTTCCGTGTAGTTCTGGGAAGTTTATCCCGTTTCCAACGAAATCCTCAGAGAAGTCCAAATATCCACTTGCAGATTCTACAGAAAGTGGGTTTGGAAACTGCTCCATCTAAAGGAATGTTCAGCTCTGTTAGTTCAATGCAATGATCACTAAGAATTGTCTGTGAATGCTTCCGTTTGGTTTTTAGATGAAGTTATTTCCTTTACTACAGTAGGCCTCAAAGCAGTCCAAATCTCCAATCGCAGATTCTACAAAAAGATTGTTTACAACCTGCTCTATCTATAGGAATGTTCAACTCTGTGAGTCGAATGCAATCATCACAAAGTAGTTTCTGAGAATGCTTCCATCTAGTTTTTATGTGAAGATTTTCCTTTTCCACCACAGGCCTCAAAGCCCTCCAAATGTCCACTTGCAGATTCTAGAATAAGAGGGTTTCAGAGCTGCTCTGTCAAGAGGAAAGTTCAATTCCTGAAGTGGAACACAAACATCACAAAGCAGTTTCTGAGAATGCTTCTGTTTAGTTTTTCTGTGAAGATGAACCCGTTTCCAACGAAATCTTCACAGAGGTCCACATATCCACTTGCAGAATCCAAAGAAAGAGAGTTTCAAAACTGCTCCATCAGCAGGATTGTTCACCTCTGTGAGTTGAATGCAGTCATCACAGGAAACATTCTGAGAATGCTTCTGTCTAGGTTTGATGTGAAGATATACCCTTTTCAAAGGAAGGCCACAAAGTGGTCCAAATATCCACTTGCAGATTCTACAAAAAGAGTGTTTGAAAGCTGAACTATGAAAGCAAGGTTCAACTCTGTGAGTTGAATGCAAACATCACAAAGAAGTTTCTCACAATGCTTCCGTGTAGTTCTGGGAAGTTTATCCCGTTTCCAACGAAATCCTCAGAGAAGTCCAAATATCCACTTGCAGATTCTACAGAAAGTGTGTTTGGAAAATGCTCCATCTAAAGGAATGTTCAGCTCTGTTAGTTCAATGCAATGATCACTAAGAATTGTCTGTGAATGCTTCCGTTTGGTTTTTAGATGAAGTTATTTCCTTTACTACAGTAGGCCTCAAAGCAGTCCAAATCTCCAATCGCAGATTCTACAAAAAGATTGTTTACAACCTGCTCTATCTATAGGAATGTTCAACTCTGTGAGTCGAATGCAATCATCACAAAGTAGTTTCTGAGAATGCTTTCCATCTAGTTTTTATGTGAAGATTTTCCTTTTCCACCACAGGCCTCAAAGCCCTCCAAATGTCCACTTGCAGATTCTAGAATAAGAGGGTTGCAGAGCTGCTCTGTCAAGAGGAAAGTTCAATTCCTGAAGTGGAACACAAACATCACAAAGCAGTTTCTGAGAATGCTTCTGTTTAGTTTTTCTGTGAAGATGAACCCGTTTCCAACGAAATCTTCACAGAGGTCCACATATCAACTTGCAGAATCCAAGGAAAGAGAGTTTCAAAACTGCTCCATCAACAGGATTGTTCACCTCTGTGAGTTGAATGCAGTCATCACAGGAAACATTCTGAGAATGCTTCTGTCTAGGTTTGATGTGAAGATATACCCGTTTCGAAGGAAGGCCACAAAGTGGTCCAAATATCCACTTGCAGATTCTACAAAAAGAGTGTTTGAAAGCTGAACTATGAAAGCAAGGTTCAACTCTGTGAGTTGAATGCAAACATCACAAAGAAGTTTCTCAGCATGCTTCCGTGTAGTTCTGGGAAGTTTATCCCGTTTCCAACGAAATCCTCAGAGAGGTCCAAATATCCACTTGCAGATTCTACAGAAAGTGTGTTTGGAAACTGCGCCATCTAAAGCAATGTTCAGCTCTGTTAGTTCAATGCAATGATCACTAAGAATTGTCTGTGAATGCTTCCGTTTGGTTTTTAGATGAAGTTATTTCCTTTACTACAGTAGGCCTCAAAGCAGTCCAAATCTCCAATCGCAGATTCTACAAAAAGATTGTTTACAACCTGCTCTATCTATAGGAATGTTCAACTCTGTGAGTCGAATGCAATCATCACAAAGTAGTTTCTGAGAATGCTTCCATCTCGTTTTTATGTGAAGATTTTCCTTTTCCACCACAGGCCTCAAAGCCCTCCAAATGTCCACTTGCAGATTCTAGAAAAAGAGGGTTTCAGAGCTGCTCTGTCAAGAGGAAAGTTCAATTCTTGAAGTGGAACACAAACATCACAAAGCAGTTTCTGAGAATGCTCCTGTTTAGTTTTTATGTGAAGATGAACCCGTTTCCAACGAAATCTTCACAGAGGTCCACATATCTACTTGCAGAATCCAAAGAAAGAGAGTTTCAAAACTGCTCCATCAGCAGGATTGTTCACCTCTGTGAGTTGAATGCAGTCATCACAAGAAACATTCTGAGAATGCTTCTGTCTAGGTTTGATGTGAAGATATACCCGTTTCGAAGGAAGGCCACAAAGTGGTCCAAATATCCTCTTGCAGATTCTACAAAAAGAGTGTTTGAAAGCTGAACTATGAAAGCAAGGTTCAACTCTGTGAGTTGAATGCAAACATCACAAAGAAGTTTCTCAGAATGCTTCCGTGTAGTTCTGGAAAGTTTATCCCGTTTCCAACGAAATCCTCAGAGAGGTCCAAATATCCAGTTGCAGATTCTACAGAAAGTGTGTTTGGAATCTGCTCCATCTAAAGGAATGTTCAGCTCTGTTAGTTCAATCCAATGATCACTAAGAATTGTCTGTGAATGCTTCCGTTTGGTTTTTAGATGAAGTTATTTCCTTTACTACAGTAGGCCTCAAAGCAGTCCAAATCTCCAATCGCAGATTCTACAAAAAGATTGTTTTCAACCTGCTCTATCTATAGGAATGTTCAACTCTGTGAGTCGAATGCAATCATCACAAAGTAGTTTCTGAGAATGCTTCCATCTAGTTTTTATGTGAAGATTTTCCTTTTCCACCACAGGCCTCAAAGCCCTCCAAATGTCCACTTGCAGATTCTAGAAAAAGTGGGTTTCATTGCTGCTCTGTCAAGAGGAAAGTTCAATTCTTGAAGTGGAACACAAACATCACAAAGCAGTTTCTGAGAATGCTCCTGTTTAGTTTTTCTGTGAAGATGAACCCGTTTCCAACGAAATCTTCACAGAGGTCCACATATCCACTTGCAGAATCCAAAGAAAGAGAGTTTCAAAACTGCTCCATCAGCAGGATTGTTCACCTCTGTGAGTTGAATGCAGTCATCACAGGAAACATTCCGAGAATGCTTCTGTCTAGGTTTGATGTGAAGATATACCCGTTTCGAAGGAAGGCCACAAAGTGGTCCAAACATCCACTTGCGGATTCTACAAAACGAGTGTTTGAAAGCTGAACTATGAAAGCAAGGTTCAACTCTGTGAGTTGAATGCAAACATCACAAAGAAGTTTCTCACAATTCTTCCGTGTAGTTCTGGGAAGTTTATCCCGTTTCCAACGAAATCCTCAGAGAGGTCCAAATATCCACTTGCAGATTCTACAGAAAGTGTGTTTGGAAACTGCTCCATCTAAAGGAATGTTCAGCTCTGTTAGTTCAATCCAATGATCACTAAGAATTGTCTGTGAATGCTTCCGTTTGGTTTTTAGATGAAGTTATTTCCTTTACTACAGTAGGCCTCAAAGCAGTCCAAATCTCCAATCGCAGATTCTACAAAAAGATTGTTTACAACCTGCTCTATCTATAGGAATGTTCAACTCTGTGAGTCGAATGCAATCATCACAAAGTAGTTTCTGAGAATGCTTCCATCTAGTTTTAATGTGAAGATTTTCCTTTTCCACCACAGGCCTCAAAGCCCTCCAAATGTCCACTTGCAGATTCTAGAATAAGAGGGTTTCAGAGCTGCTCTGTCAAGAGGAAAGTTCAATTCTTGAAGTGGAACACAAACATCACAAAGCAGTTTCTGAGAATGCTCCTGTTTAGTTTTTCTGTGAGGATGAACCCGTTTCCAACGAAATCTTCACAGAGGTCCACATATCCACTTGCAGAATCCAAAGAAAGAGAGTTTCAAAACTGCTCCATCAGCAGGATTGTTCACCTCTGTGAGTTGAATGCAGTCATCACATGAAACATTCTCAGAATGCTTCTGTGTAGGTTTGATGTGAAGATATACCCGTTTCGAAGGAAGGCCACAAAGTGGTCCAAATATCCACTTGCAGATTCTACAAAAAGAGTGTTTGAAAGCTGAACTATGAAAGCAAGGTTCAACTCTGTGAGTTGAATGCAAACATCACAAAGAAGTTTCTCAGAATGCTTCCGTGTAGTTCTGGGAAGTTTATCCCGTTTCCAACGAAATCCTCAGAGAAGTCCAAATATCCACTTGCAGATTCTGCAGAAAGTGTGTTTGGAAACTTCTCCATCTAAAGGAATGTTCAGCTCTGTTAGTTCAATCCAATGATCACTAAGAATTGTCTGTGAATGCTTCCGTTTGGTTTTTAGATGAATTTATTTCCTTTACTACAGTAGGCCTCAAAGCAGTCCAAATCTCCAATCGCAGATTCTACAAAAACATTGTTTACAACCTGCTCTATCTATAGGAATGTTCAACTCTGTGAGTCGAATGCAATCATCACAAAGTAGTTTCTGAGAATGCTTCCATCTAGTTTTTATGTGAAGATTTTCCTTTTCCACCACAGGCCTCAATGCCCTCCAAATGTCCACTTGCAGATTCTAGAAAAAGAGGGTTTCAGAGCTGCTCTGTCAAGAGGAAAGTTCAATTCTTGAAGTGGAACACAAACATCACAAAGCAGTTTCTGAGAATGCTCCTGTTTAGTTTTTCTGTGAAGATGAACCCGTTTCCAACGAAATCTTCACAGAGGTCCACATATCCACTTGCAGAATCCAAAGAAAGAGAGTTTCAAAACTGCTCCATCAGCAGGATTGTTCACCTCTGTGAGTTGAATGCAGTCATCACAGGAAACATTCTGAGAATGCTTCTGTCTAGGTTTGATGTGAAGATATACCCGTTTCGAAGGAAGGCCACAAAGTGGTCCAAATATCCACTTGCAGATTCTACAAAAAGAGTGTTTGAAAGCTGAACTATGAAAGCAAGGTTCAACTCTGTGAGTTGAATGCAAACATAACAAAGAAGTTTCTCAGAATCCTTCCGTGTAGTTCTGGGAAGTTTAGCCCTTTTCCAACGAAATCCTCAGAGAGGTCCAAATATCCATTTGCAGATTCTACAGAAAGTGTGTTTGGAAACTGTGCCATCTAAAGGAATGTTCAGCTCTGTTAGTTCAATCCAATGATCACTAAGAATTTTCTGTGAATGCTTCCGTTTGGTTTTTAGATGAAGTTATTTCCTTTACTACAGTAGGCCTCAAAGCAGTCCAAATCTCCAATTGCAGATTCTACAAAAAGATTGTTTACAACCTGCTCTATCTATAGGAATGTTCAACTCTGTGAGTCGAATGCAATCATCACAAAGTAGTTTCTGAGAATGCTTCCATCTAGTTTTTATGGGAAGATTTTCCTTTTCCACCACAGGCCTCAAAGCCCTCCAAATGTCCACTTGCAGATTCTAGAAAAAGAGGGTTTCAGAGCTGCTCTGTCAAGAGGAAAGTTCAATTCTTGAAGTGGAACACAAACATCACAAAGCAGTTTCTGAGAATGCTCCTGTTTAGTTTTTCTGTGAAGATGAACCCGTTTCCAACGAAATCTTCACAGAGGTCCACATATCCACTTGCAGAATCCAAAGAAAGAGAGTTTCAAAACTGCTCCATCAGCAGGATTGTTCACCTCTGTGAGTTGAATGCAGTCATCACAGGAAACATTCTGAGAATGCTTCTGTCTAGGTTTGATGTGAAGATATACCCGTTTCGAAGGAAGGCCACAAAGTGGTCCAAATATCCACTTGCAGATTCTACAAAAAGAGTGTTTGAAAGCTGAACTATGAAAGCAAGGTTCAACTCTGTGAGTTGAATGCAAACATCACAAAGAAGTTTCTCACAATGCTTCCGTGTAGTTCTGGGAAGTTTATCCCGTTTCCAACGAAATCCTCAGAGAGGTCCAAATATCCACTTGCAGATTCTACAGAAAGTGTGTTTGGAAACTGCGCCATCTAAAGGAATGTTCAGCTCTGTTAGTTCAATGCAATGATCACTAAGAATTGTCTGTGAATGCTTCCGTTTGGTTTTTAGATGAAGTTATTTCCTTTACTACAGTAGGCCTCAAAGCAGTCCAAATCTCCAATCGCAGATTCTACAAAAAGATTGTTTACAACCTGCTCTATCTATAGGAATGTTCAACTCTGTGAGTCGAATGCAATCATCACAAAGTAGTTTCTGAGAATGCTTCCATCTAGTTTTTATGTGAAGATTTTCCTTTTCCACCACAGGCCTCAAAGCCCTCCAAATGTCCACTTGCAGATTCTAGAATAAGAGGGTTTCAGAGCTGCTCTGTCAAGAGGAAAGTTCAATTCCTGAAGTGGAACACAAACATCACAAAGCAGTTTCTGAGAATGCTTCTGTTTAGTTTTTCTGTGAAGATGAACCCGTTTCCAACGAAATCTTCACACAGGTCCACATATCCACTTGCAGAATCCAAAGAAAGAGAGTTTCAAAACTGCTCCATCAGCAGGATTGTTCACCTCTGTGAGTTGAATGCAGTCATCACAGGAAACATTCTGAGAATGCTTCTGTCTAGGTTTGATGTGAAGATATACCCGTTTCGAAGGAAGGCCACAAAGTGGTCCAAATATCCACTTGCAGATTCTACAAAAAAGTGTTTGAAAGCTGAACTATGAAAGCAAGGTTCAACTCTGTGAGTTGAATGCAAACATCACAAAGAAGTTTCTCAGAATGCTTCCGTGTAGTTCTGGGAAGTTTATCCCGTTTCCAACGAAATCCTCAGAGAAGTCCACATATCCACTTGCAGATTCTACAGAAAGTGTGTTTGGAAACTGCACCATCTAAAGGAATGTTCAGCTCTGTTAGTTCAATGCAATGATCACTAAGAATTGTCTGTGAATGCTTCCGTTTGGTTTTTAGATGAAGTTATTTCCTTTACTACAGTAGGCCTCAAAGCAGTCCAAATCTCCAATTGCAGATTCTACAAAAAGATTGTTTACAACCTGCTCTATCTATAGGAATGTTCAACTCTGTGAGTCGAATGCAATCATCACAAAGTAGTTTCTGAGAATGCTTCCATCTAGTTTTTATGTGAAGATTTTCCTTTTACACCACAGGCCTCAAAGCCCTCCCAATATCCACTTGCAGATTCTACAAAAAGAGTGTTTGAAAGCTGAACTATGAAAGCAAGGTTCAACTCTGTGAGTTGAATGCAAACATCACAAAGAAGTTTCTCACAATGCTTCCGTGTAGTTCTGGGAAGTTTATCCCGTTTCCAACGAAATCCTCAGAGAAGTCCAAATATCCACTTGCAGATTCTACAGAAAGTGGGTTTGGCAACTGCTCCATCTAAAGGAATGTTCAGCTCTGTTAGTTCAATCCAATGATCACTAAGAATTGTCTGTGAATGCTTCCGTTTGGTTTTTAGATGAAGTTATTTCCTTTACTACAGTAGGCCTCAAAGAAATCCAAATCTCCAATCGCAGATTCTACAAAAACATTGTTTACAACCTGCTCTATCTATAGGAATGTTCAACTCTGTGAGTCGAATGCAATCATCACAAAGTAGTTTCTGAGAATGCTTCCATCTAGTTTTTATGTGAAGATTTTCCTTTTCCACCACAGGCCTCAAAGCCCTCCAAATGTCCACTTGCAGATTCTAGAAAAAGAGGGTTTCAGAGCTGCTCTGTCAAGAGGAAAGTTCAATTCTTGAAGTGGAACACAAACATCACAAAGCAGTTTCTGAGAATGCTCCTGTTTAGTTTTTCTGTGAAGATGAACCCGTTTCCAACGAAATCTTCACAGAGGTCCACATATCCACTTGCAGAATCCAAAGAAAGAGAGTTTCAAAACTGCTCCATCAGCAGGATTGTTCACCTCTGTGAGTTGAATGCAGTCATCACAGGAAACATTCTGAGAATGCTTCTGTCTAGGTTTGATGTGAAGATATACCCGTTTCGAAGGAAGGCCACAAAGTGGTCCAAATATCCACTTGCAGATTCTACAAAAAGAGTGTTTGAAAGCTGAACTATGAAAGCAAGGTTCAACTCTGTGAGTTGAATGCAAACACCACAAAGAAGTTTCTCACAATGCTTCCGTGTAGTTCTGGGAAGTTTATCCCGTTTCCAACGAAATCCTCAGAGAAGTCCAAATATCCACTTGCAGATTCTACAGAAAGTGTGTTTGGAAACTGCGCCATCTAAAGGAATGTTCAGCTCTGTTAGTTCAATGCAATGATCACTAAGAATTGTCTGTGAATGCTTCCGTTTGGTTTTTAGATGAAGTTATTTCCTTTACTACAGTAGGCCTCAAAGCAGTCCAAATCTCCAATCGCAGATTCTACAAAAAGATTGTTTACAACCTGCTCTATCTATAGGAATGTTCAACTCTGTGAGTCGAATGCAATCATCACAAAGTAGTTTCTGAGAATGCTTCCATCTAGTTTTTATGTGAAGATTTTCCTTTTCCACCACAGGCCTCAAAGCCCTCCAAATGTCCACTTGTAGATTCTAGAAAAAGAGGGTTTCAGAGCTGCTCTGTCAAGAGGAAAGTTCAATTCTTGAAGTGGAACACAAACATCACAAAGCAGTTTCTGAGAATGCTCCTGTTTAGTTTTTCTGTGAAGATGAACCCGTTTCCAACGAAATCTTCACAGAGGTCCACATACCCACTTGCAGAATCCAAAGAAAGAGAGTTTCAAAACTGCTCCATCAGCAGGGTTGTTCACCACTGTGAGTTCAATGCAGTCATCACAGGAAACATTCTGAGAATGCTTCTGTCTAGGTTTGATGTGAAGATATACCCGTTTCGAAGGAAGGCCACAAAGTGGTCCAAATATCCACTTGCAGATTCTACAAAAAGAGTGTTTGAAAGCTGAACTATGAAAGCAAGGTTCAACCCTGTGAGTTGAATGCAACCATCACAAAGAAGTTTCTCAGAATGCTTCCGTGTAGTTCTGGGAAGTTTATCCCGTTTCCAACGAAATCCTCAGAGAGGTCCAAATATCCACTTGCAGATTCTACAGAAAGTGTGTTTTTTAAACTGCGCCATCTTAAGGAACGTTCAGCTCTGTTACTTCAATCCAATGATCACTAAGAATTGTCTGTGAATGCTTCCGTTTGGTTTTTAGATGAAGTTATTTCCTTTACTACAGTAGGCCTCAAAGCAGTCCAAATCTCCAATCGCAGATTCTACAAAAAGATTGTTTTCAACCTGCTCTATCTATAGGAATGTTCAACTCTGTGAGTCGAATGCAATCATCACAAAGTAGTTTCTGAGAATGCTTCCATCTAGTTTTTATGTGAAGATTTTCCTTTTCCACCACAGGCCTCAAAGCCCTCCAAATGTCCACTTGCAGATTCTAGAAAAAGAGGGTTTCAGAGCTGCTCTGTCAAGAGGAAAGTTCAATTCTAGAAGTGGAACACAAACATCACAAAGCAGTTTCTGAGAATGCTCCTGTTTAGTTTTTCTGTGAAGATGAACCCGTTTCCAACGAAATCTTCACAGAGGTCCACATATCCACTTGCAGAATCCAAAGAAAGAGAGTTTCAAAACTGCTCCATCAGCAGGATTGTTCACCTCTGTGAGTTGAATGCAGTCATCACAGGAAACATTCTGAGAATGCTTCTGTCTAGGTTTGATGTGAAGATATACCCGTTTCGAAGGAAGGCCACAAAGTGGTCCAAATATCCACTTGCAGATTCTACAAAAAGAGTGTTTGAAAGCTGAACTATGAAAGCAAGGTTCAACTCTGTGAGTTGAATGCAAACATCACAAAGAAGTTTCTCACAATGCTTCCGTGTAGTTCTGGGAAGTTTATCCCGTTTCCAACGAAATCCTCAGAGAGGTCCAAATATCCACTTGCAGATTCTACAGAAAGTGTGTTTGGAATCTGCGCCATCTAAAGGAATGTTCAGCTCTGTTAGTTCAATGCAATGATCACTAAGAATTGTCTGTGAATGCTTCCGTTTGGTTTTTAGATGAAGTTATTTCCTTTACTACAGTAGGCCTCAAAGCAGTCCAAATCTCCAATCGCAGATTCTACAAAAAGATTGTTTACAACCTGCTCTATCTATAGGAATGTTCAACTCTGTGAGTCGAAAGCCATCATCACAAAGTAGTTTCTGAGAATGCTTCCATCTAGTTTTTATGTGAAGATTTTCCTTTTCCACCACAGGCATCAAAGCCCTCCAAATGTCCACTTGCAGATTCTAGAAGAAGAGGGTTTCAGAGCTGCTCTGTCAAGAGGAAAGTTCAATTCTTGAAGTGGAACACAAACATCACAAAGCAGTTTCTGAGAATGCTCCTGTTTAGTTTTTCTGTGAAGATGAACCCGTTTCCAACGAAATCTTCACAGAGGTCCACATATCCACTTGCAGAATCCAAAGAAAGAGAGTTTCAAAACTGCTCCATCAACAGGATGGTTCACCTCTGTGAGGTGAATGCAGTCATCACAGGAAACATTCTGAGAATGCTTCTGTCCAGGTTTCATGTGAAGATATACCCGTTTCGAAGGAAGGCCACAAAGTGGTCCAAATATCCACTTGCAGATTCTACAAAAAGAGTGTGTGAAAGCTGAACTATGAAAGCAAGTTTCAACTCTGTGAGTTGAATGCAAACATCACAAAGAAGTTTCTCAGAATGCTTCCGTGTAGTTCTGGGAAGCTTATCCCGTTTCCAACGAAATCCTCAGAGAGGTCCAAATATCCACTTGCAGATTCTACAGAAAGTGTGTTTGGAAACTGCACCATCTAACGGAATTTTCAGCTCTGTTAGTTCAATCCAATGATCACTAAGAATTGTCTGTGAATGCTTCCGTTTGGTTTTTAGATGAAGTTATTTCCTTTACTACAGTAGGCCTCAAAGCAGTCCAAATCTCCAATCGCAGATTCTACAAAAAGATTGTTTACAACCTGCTCTATCTATAGGAATGTTCAACTCTGTGAGTCGAATGCAATCATCACAAAGGAGTTTCTGAGAATGCTTCCATCTAGTTTTTATGGGAAGATTTTCCTTTTCCACCACAGGCCTCAAAGCCCTCCAAATGTCCACTTGCAGATTCTAGAAAAAGAGGGTTTCAGAGCTGCTCTGTCAAGAGGAAAGTTCAATTCTTGAAGTGGAACACAAACATCACAAAGCAGTTTCTGAGAATGCTCCTGTTTATTTTTTCTGTGAAGATGAACCCGTTTCCAACGAAATCTTCACAGAGGTCCACATATCCACTTGCAGAATCCAAAGAAAGAGAGTTTCAAAACTGCTCCATCAGCAGGATTTTTCACCTCTGTGAGTTGAATGCAGTCATCACAGGAAACATTCTGAGAATGCTTCTGTCTAGGTTTGATGTGAAGATATACCCGTTTCGAAGGAAGGCCACAAAGTGGTCCAAATATCCACTTGCAGATTCTACAAAAAGAGTGTTTGAAAGCTGAACTATGAAAGCAAGGTTCAACTCTGTGAGTTGAATGCAAACATCACAAAGAAGTTTCTCAGAATGCTTCCGTGTAGTTCTGGGAATTTTATCCCGTTTCCAACGAAATCCTCAGAGAGGTCCAAATATCCACTTGCAGATTCTACAGAAAGTGTGTTTGGAACCTGCGCCATCTAAAGGAATGTTCAGCTCTGTTAGTTCAATGCAATGATCACTAAGAATTGTCTGTGAATGCTTCCGTTTGGTTTTTAGATGAAGTTATTTCCTTTACTACAGTAGGCCTCAAAGCAGTCCAAATCTCCAATCGCAGATTCTACAAAAACATTGTTTACAACCTGCTCTATCTATAGGAATGTTCAACTCTGTGAGTCGAATGCAATCATCACAAAGTAGTTTCTGAGAATGCTTCCATCTAGTTTTTATGTGAAGATTTTCCTTTTCCACCACAGGCCTCAAAGCCCTCCAAATGTCCACTTGCAGATTCTAGAAAAAGAGGGTTTCAGAGCTGCTCTGTCAAGAGGAAAGTTCAATTCTTGAAGTGGAACACAAACATCACAAAGCAGTTTCTGAGAATGCTCCTGTTTAGTTTTTCTGTGAAGATGAACCCGTTTCCAACGAAATCTTCACAGAGGTCCACATATCCACTTGCAGAATCCAAAGAAAGAGAGTTTCAAAACTGCTCCATCAGCAGGATTGTTCACCTCTGTGAGTTGAATGCAGTCATCACAGGAAACATTCTGAGAATGCTTCTGTCCAGGTTTGATGTGAAGATATACCCGTTTCGAAGGAAGGCCACAAAGTGGTCCAAATATCCACTTGCAGATTCTACAAAAAGAGTGTTTGAAAGCTGAACTATGAAAGCAAGGTTCAACTCTGTGAGTTGAATGCAAACATCACAAAGAAGTTTCTCAGAATGCTTCCGTGTAGTTCTGATAAGTTTATGCCGTTTCCAACGAAATCCTCCGAGAAGTACAAATATCCACTTGCAGATTCTACAGAAAGTGTGTTTGGAAACTGCTCCATCTAAAGGAATGTTCAGCTCTGTTAGTTCAATCCAATATCACTTAGAATTATCTGTGAATGCTTCCGTTTGGTTTTTAGATGAAGTTATTTCCTTTACTACAGTAGGCCTCAAAGCAGTCCAAATCTCCAATCGCAGATTCTACAAAAAGATTGTTTACAACCTGCTCTATCTATAGGAATGTTCAACTCTGTGAGTCGAATGCAATCATCACAAAGGAGTTTCTGAGAATGCTTCCATCTAGTTTTTATGAGAAGAGTTTCCTTTTCCACCACAGGCCTCAAAGCCCTCCAAATGTCCACTTGCAGATTCTAGAAAAAGAGGGTTTCAGAGCTGCTCTGTCAAGAGGAAAGTTCAATTCTTGAAGTGGAACACAAACATCACAAAGCAGTTTCTGAGAATGCTTCTGTTTAGTTTTTCTGTGAAGATGAACCCGTTTCCAACGAAATCTTCACAGAGGTCCACATATCCACTTGCAGAATCCAAAGAAAGAGAGTTTCAAAACTGCTCCATCAGCAGGATTGTTCACCTCTGTGAGTTGAATGCAGTCATCACAGGAAACATTCTGAGAATGCTTCTGTCTAGGTTTGATGTGAAGATATACCCGTTTCGAAGGAAGGCCACAAAGTGGTCCAAATATCCACTTGCAGATTCTACAAAAAGAGTGTTTGAAAGCTGAACTATGAAAGCAAGGTTCAACTCTGTGAGTTGAATGCAAACATCACAAAGAAGTTTCTCACAATGCTTCCCTGTAGTTCTGGGAAGTTTATCCCGTTTCCAACGAAATCCTCAGAGAAGTCCAAATATCCACTTGCAGATTCTCCAGAAAGTGGGTTTGGAAACTGCGCCATCTAAAGGAATGTTCAGCTCTGTTAGTTCAATCCAATGATCACTAAGAATTGTCTGTGAATGCTTCCGTTTGGTTTTTAGATGAAGTTATTTCCTTTACTACAGTAGGCCTCAAAGCAGTCCAAATCTCCAATCGCAGATTCTACAAAAAGATTGTTTACAACCTGCTCTATCTATAGGAATGTTCAACTCTGTGAGTCGAATGCAATCATCACAAAGTAGTTTCTGAGAATGCTTCCATCTAGTTTTTATGTGAAGATTTCCCTTTTCCACCACAGGCCTCAAAGCCCTCCAAATGTCCACTTGCAGATTCTAGAATAAGAGGGTTTCAGAGCTGCTCTGTCAAGAGGAAAGTTTAATTCCTGAAGTGGAACATAAACATCACAAAGCAGTTTCTGAGAATGCTTCTGTTTAGTTTTTCTGTGAAGATGAACCCGTTTCCAACGAAATCTTCACAGAGGTCCACATATCCACATGCAGAATCCAAAGAAAGAGAGTTTCAAAACTGCTCCATCAGCAGGATTGTTCACCTCTGTGAGTTGAATGCAGTCATCACAGGAAACATTCTGAGAATGCTTCTGTCTAGGTTTGATGTGAAGATATACCCGTTTCGAAGGAAGGCCACAAAGTGGTCCAAATATCCACTTGCAGATTCCACAAAAAGAGTGTTTGAAAGCTGAACTATGAAAGCAAGGTTCAACTCTGTGAGTTGAATGCAAACATCACAAAGAAGTTTCTCACAATGCTTTCCGTGTAGTTCTGGGAAGTTTATCCCGTTTCCAACGAAATCCTCAGAGAGGTCCAAATATCCACTTGCAGATTCTACAGAAAGTGTGTTTGGAAACTGCTCCATCTAAAGGAATGTTCAGCTCTGTTAGTTCTATCCAATGATCACTAAGAACTGTCTGTGAATGCTTCCGTTTGGTTTTTAGATGAAGTTATTTCCTTTACTACAGTAGGCCACAAAGCAGTCCAAATCTCCAATCGCAGATTCTACAAAAAGATTGTTTACAACCTGCTCTATCTATAGGAATGTTCAACTCTGTGAGTCGAATGCAATCATCACAAAGTAGTTTCTGAGAATGCTTCCATCTAGTTTTTATGTGAAGATTTTCCTTTTCCCCCACAGGCCTCAAAGCCCTCCAAATGTCCACTTGCAGATTCTAGAAAAAGAGGGTTTCAGAGCTGCTCTTTCAAGAGGAAAGTTCAATTCCTGAAGTGGAACACAAACATCACAAAGCAGTTTCTGTGAATGCTTCTGTTTAGTTTTTCTGTGAAGATGAACCCGTTTCCAACGAAATCTTCACAGAGGTCCACATATCCACTTGCAGAATCCAAAGAAAGAGAGTTTCAAAACTGCTCCATCAGCAGGATTGTTCACCTCTGTGAGTTGAATGCAGTCATCACAGGAAACATTCTGAGAATGCTTCTGTCTAGGTTTGATGTGAAGATATACCCGTTTCGAAGGAAGGCCACAAAGTGGTCCAAATATCCACTTGCAGATTCCACAAAATGAGTGTTTGAAAGCTGAACTATGAAAGCAAGGTTCAACTCTGTGAGTTGAATGCAAACACCACAAAGAAGTTTCTCACAATGCTTCCGTGTAGTTCTGGGAAGTTTATCCCGTTTCCAACGAAATCCTCAGACAAGTCCAAATATCCACTTGCAGATTCTACAGAAAGTGTGTTTGGAAACTGCTCCATCTAAAGGAATGTTCAGCTCTGTTAGTTCAATCCAATGATCACTAAGAATTGTCTGTGAATGCTTCCGTTTGGTTTTTAGATGAAGTTATTTCCTTTACTACAGTAGGCCTCAAAGCAGTCCAAATCTCCAATCGCAGATTCTACAAAAAGATTGTTTACAACCTGCTCTATCTATAGGAATGTTCAACTCTGTGAGTCGAATGCAATCATCACAAAGTAGTTTCTGAGAATGCTTCCATCTAGTTTTTATGTGAAGATTTTCCTTTTCCACCACAGGCCTCAAAGCCCTCCAAATGTCCACTTGCAGATTCTAGAATAAGAGGGTTTCAGAGCTGCTCTGTCAAGAGGAAAGTTCAATTCTTGAAGTGGAACACAAACATCACAAAGCAGTTTCTGAGAATGCTCCTGTTTAGTTTTTCTGTGAAGATGAACCCGTTTCCAACGAAATCTTCACAGAGGTCCACATATCCACTTGCAGAATCCAAAGAAAGAGAGTTTCAAAACTGCTCCATCAGCAGGATTGTTCACCTCTGTGAGTTGAATGCAGTCATCACAGGAAACATTCTGAGAATGCTTCTGTCTAGGTTTGATGTGAAGATATACCCGTTTCGAAGGAAGGCCACAAAGTGGTCCAAATATCCACTTGCAGATTCTACAAAAAGAGTGTTTGAAAGCTGAACTATGAAAGCAAGGTTCAACTCTGTGAGTTGAATGCAAACATCACAAAGAAGTTTCTCACAATGCTTCCGTGTAGTTCTGGGAAGTTTATCCCGTTTCCAACGAAATTCTCAGAGAAGTCCAAATATCCACTTGCAGATTCTACAGAAAGTGGGTTTGGAAACTGCGCCATCTAAAGGAATGTTCAGCTCTGTTAGTTCAATCCAATGATCACTAAGAATTGTCTGTGAATGCTTCCGTTTGGTTTTTAGATGAAGTTATTTCCTTTACTACAGTAGGCCTCAAAGCAGTCCAAATCTCCAATCGCAGATTCTACAAAAAGATTGTTTACAACCTGCTCTATCTATAGGAATGTTCAACTCTGTGAGTCGAATGCAATCATCACAAAGAAGTTTCTGAGAATGCTTCCATAAAGTTTTTATGTGAAGATTTTCCTTTTCCACCACAGGCCTCAAAGCCCTCCAAATGTCCACTTGCAGATTCTAGAAAAAGAGGGTTTCAGAGCTGCTCTGTCAAGAGGAAAGTTCAATTCTTTAAGTGGAACACAAACATCACAAAGCAGTTTCTGAGAATGCTTCTGTTTAGTTTTTCTGTGAAGATGAACCCGTTTCCAACGAAATCTTCACAGAGGTCCACATATCCACTTGCAGAATCCAAAGAAAGAGAGTTTCAAAACTGCTCCATCAGCAGGATTGTTCACCTCTGTGAGTTGAATGCAGTCATCACAGGAAACATTCTGAGAATGCTTCTGTCTAGGTTTGATGTGAAGATATACCCGTTTCGAAGGAAGGCCACAAAGTGGTCCAAATATCCACTTGCAGATTCTACAAAAAGAGTGTTTGAAAGCTGAACTATGAAAGCAAGCTTCAACTCTGTGAGTTGAATGCAAACATCACAAAGAAGTTTCTCACAATGCTTCCCTGTAGTTCTGGGAAGTTTATCCCGTTTCCAACGAAATCCTCAGAGAGGTCCAAATATCCACTTGCAGATTCTACAGAAAGTGTGTTTGGAAACTGCGCCATCTAAAGGAATGTTCAGCTCTGTTAGTTCAATGCAATGATCACTAAGAATTGTCTGTGAATGCTTCCTTTTGGTTTTTAGATGAAGTTATTTCCTTTACTACAGTAGGCCTCAAAGCAGTCCAAATCTCCAATCGCAGATTCTACAGAAAGATTGTTTACACCCTGCTCTATCTATAGGAATGTTCAACTCTGTGAGTCGAAAGCCATCATCACAAAGTAGTTTCTGAGAATGCTTCCATCTAGTTTTTATGTGAAGATTTTCCTTTTCCACCACAGGCCTCAAAGCCCTCCAAATGTCCACTTGAAGATTCTAGAATAAGAGGGTTTCAGAGCTGCTCTGTCAAGAGGAAAGTACAATTCCTGAAGTGGAACACAAACATCACAAAGCAGTTTCTGAGAATGCTTCTGTTTAGTTTTTCTGTGAAGATGAACCCGTTTCCAACGAAATCTACACAGAGGTCCACATATCCACTTGCAGAATCCAAAGAAAGAGAGTTTCAAAACTGCTCCATGAGCAGGATTGTTCACATCTGTGAGTTGAATGCAGTCATCACAGGAAACATTCTGAGAATGCTTCTGTCTAGGTTTGATGTGAAGATATACCCGTTTCGAAGGAAGGCCACAAAGTGGTCCAAATATCCACTTGCAGATTCTACAAAAAGAGTGTTTGAAAGCTGAACTATGAAAGCAAGGTTCAACTCTGTGAGTTGAATGCAAACATCACAAAGAAGTTTCTCACAATGCTTCCGTGTAGTTCTGGGAAGTTTATCCCCTTTCCAACGAAATCCTCAGAGAGGTCCAAATATCCACTTGCAGATTCTACAGAAAGTGTGTTTGGAAACTGCTCCATCTAAAGGAATGTTCAGCTCTGTTAGTTCAATCCAATGATCACTAAGAATTGTCTGTGAATGCTTCCGTTTGGTTTTTAGATGAAGTTATTTCCTTTACTACAGTAGGCCTCAAAGCAGTCCAAATCTCCAATCGCAGATTCTACAAAAAGATTGTTTACAACCTGCTCTATCTATAGGAATGTTCAACTCTGTGAGTCGAATGCAATCATCACAAAGTAGTTTCTGAGAATGCTTCCATCTAGTTTTTATGTGAAGATTTTCCTTTTCCACCACAGGCCTCAAAGCCCTCCAAATGTCCACTTGCAGATTCTAGAAAAAGAGGGTTTCAGAGCTGCTCTTTCAAGAGAAAAGTTCAATTCCTGAAGTGGAACACAAACATCACAAAGCAGTTTCTGAGAATGCTTCTGTTTAGTTTTTCTGTGAAGATGAACCCGTTTCCAATGAAATCTTCATAGAGGTCCACATATCCACTTGCAGAATCCAAAGAAAGAGAGTTTCAAAACTGCTCCATCAACAGGATTGTTCACCTCTGTGAGTTGAATGCAGTCATCACAGGAAACATTCTGAGAATGCTTCTGTCTAGGTTTGATGTGAAGATATACCCGTTTCGAAGGAAGGCCACAAAGTGGTCCAAATATCCACTTGCAGATTCTACAAAAAGAGTGTTTGAAAGCTGAACTATGAAAGCAAGGTTCAACTCTGTGAGTTGAATGCAAACATCACAAAGAAGTTTCTCACAATGCTTCCGTGTAGTTCTGGGAAGTTTATCCCGTTTCCAACGAAATCCTCAGAGAGGTCCAAATATCCACTTGCAGATTCTACAGAAAGTGTGTTTGGAAACTGCGCCATCTAAAGGAATGTTCAGCTCTGTTAGTTCAATCCAATGATCACTAAGAATTGTCTGTGAATGCTTCCGTTTGGTTTTTAGATGAAGTTATTTCCTTTACTACAGTAGGCCTCAAAGCAGTCCAAATCTCCAATCGCAGATTCTACAAAAAGATTGTTTACAACCTGCTCTATCTATAGGAATGTTCAACTCTGTGAGTCGAATGCAGTCATCACAAAGTAGTTTCTGAGAATGCTTCCATCTAGTTTTTATGTGAAGATTTTCCTTTTCCACCACAGGCCTCAAAGCCCTCCAAATGTCCACTTGCAGATTCTAGAAAAAGAGGGTTTCAGAGCTGCTCTGTCAAGAGGAAAGTTCAATTCTTGAAGTGGAACACAAACATCACAAAGCAGTTTCTGAGAATGCTTCTGTTTAGTTTTTCTGTGAAGATGAACCCGTTTCCAACGAAATCTTCACAGAGGTCCACATATCAACTTGCAGAATCCAAAGAAAGAGAGTTTCAAAACTGCTCCATCAACAGGATTGTTCACCTCTGTGAGTTGAATGCAGTCATCACAGGAAACATTCTGAGAATGCTTCTGTCTATGTTTGATGTGAAGATATACCCGTTTCGAAGGAAGGCCACAAAGTGGTCCAAATATCCACTTGCTGATTCTACAAAAAGAGTGTTTGAAAGCTGAACTATGAAAGCAAGGTTCAACTCTGTGAGTTGAATGCAAACATCACAAAGAAGTTTCTCACAATGCTTCCGTGTAGTTCTGGGAAGTTTATCCCGTTTCCAACGAAATCCTCAGAGAAGTCCAAATATCCACTTGCAGATTCTACAGAAAGTGTGTTTGGAAAATGCTCCATCTAAAGGAATGTTCAGCTCTGTTAGTTCAATGCAATGATCACTAAGAATTGTCTGTGAATGCTTCCGTTTGGTTTTTAGATGAAGTTATTTCCTTTACTACAGTAGGCCTCAAAGCAGTCCAAATCTCCAATCGCAGATTCTACAAAAAGATTGTTTACAACCTGCTCTATCTATAGGAATGTTCAACTCTGTGAGTCGAATGCAATCATCACAAAGTAGTTTCTGAGAATGCTTCCATCTAGTTTTTATGTGAAGATTTTCCTTTTCCACCACAGGCCTCAAAGCCCTCCAAATGTCCACTTGCAGATTCTAGAAAAAGAGGGTTTCAGAGCTGCTCTGTCAAGAGGAAAGTTCAATTCTTGAAGTGGAACACAAACATCACAAAGCAGTTTCTGAGAATGCTCCTGTTTAGTTTTTCTGTGAAGATGAACCCGTTTCCAACGAAATCTTCACAGAGGTCCACATATCAACTTGCAGAATCCAAAGAAAGAGAGTTTCAAAACTGCTCCATCAGCAGGATTGTTCACCTCTGTGAGTTGAACGCAATCATCACAGGAAACATTCTGAGAATGCTTCTGTCTAGGTTTGATGTGAAGATATACCCGTTTCGAAGGAAGGCCACAAAGTGGTCCAAATATCCACTTGCAGATTCTACAAAAAGAGTGTTTGAAAGCTGAACTATGAAAGCAAGGTTCAACTCTGTGAGTTGAATGCAAACATCACAAAGAAGTTTCTCAGAATGCTTCCGTGTAGTTCTGGGAAGTTTATCCCGTTTCCAACGAAATCCTCAGAGAGGTCCAAATATCCACTTGCAGATTCTACAGAAAGTGTGTTTGGAAACTGCTCCATCTAAAGGAATGTTCAGCTCTGTTAGTTCAATCCAATGATCACTAAGAATTGTCTGTGAATGCTTCCGTTTGGTTTTTAGATGAAGTTATTTCCTTTACTACAGTAGGCCTCAAAGCAGTCCAAATCTCCAATCGCAGATTCTACAAAAAGATTGTTTACAACCTGCTCTATCTATAGGAATGTTCAACTCTGTGAGTCGAATGCAATCATCACAAAGTAGTTTCTGAGAATGCTTCCATCTAGTTTTTATGTGAAGATTTTCCTTTTCCACCACAGGCCTCAAAGCCCTCCAAATGTCCACTTGCAGATTCTAGAAAAAGAGGGTTTCAGAGCTGCTCTGTCAAGAGGAAAGTTCAGTTCCTGAAGTGGAACACAAACATCACAAAGCAGTTTCTGAGAATGCTTCTGTTTAGTTTTTCTGTGAAGATGAACCCGTTTCCAACGAAATCTTCACAGAGGTCCACATATCAACTTGCAGAATCCAAAGAAAGAGAGTTTCAAAAGTGCTCCATCAACAGGATTGTTCACCTCTGTGAGTTGAATGCAGTCATCACAGGAAACATTCTGAGAATGCTTCTGTCTGTGTTTGATGTGAAGATACACCCGTTTCGAAGGAAGGCCACAAAGTGGTCCAAATATCCACTTGCAGATTCTACAAAAGGAGTGTTTGAAAGCTGAACTATGAAAGCAAGGTTCAACTCTGTGAGTTGAATGCAAACATCACAAAGAAGTTTCTCAGAATGCTTCCGTGTAGTTCTGGGAAGTTTATCCCGTTTCCAACGAAATCCTCAGAGAAGTCCAAATATCCACTTGCAGATTCTACAGAAAGTGGGTTTGGAAACTGCTCCATCTAAAGGAATATTCAGCTCTGTTAGTTCAATCCAATGATCACTAAGAATTGTCTGTGAATGCTTCCGTTTGGTTTTTAGATGAAGTTATTTCCTTTACTACAGTAGGCCTCAAAGCAGTCCAAATCTCCAATCGCAGATTCTACAAAAAGATTGTTTACAACCTGCTCTATCTATAGGAATGTTCAACTCTGTGAGTCGAATGCAATCATCACAAAGTAGTTTCTGAGAATGCTTCCATCTAGTTTTTATGTGAAGATTTTCCTTTTCCACCACAGGCCTCAAAGCCCTCCAAATGTCCACTTGCAGATTCTAGAATAAGAGGATTTCAGAGCTGCTCTGTCAAGAGGAAAGTTCAATTCCTGAAGTGGAACACAAACATCACAAAGCAGTTTCTGATAATGCTTCTGTTTAGTTTTTCTGTGAAGATGAACCCGTTTCCAACGAAATCTTCACAGAGGTCCACATATCCACTTGCAGAATCCAAAGAAAGAGAGTTTCAAAACTGCTCCATCAACAGGATTGTTCACCTCTGTGAGTTGAATGCAGTCATCACAGGAAACATTCTGAGAATGCTTCTGTCTAGGTTTGATGTGAAGATATACCCGTTTCGAAGGAAGGCCACAAAGTGGTCCAAATATCCACTTGCAGATTCTACAAAAAGAGTGTTTGAAAGCTGAACTATGAAAGCAAGGTTCAACTCTGTGAGTTGAATGCAAACATCACAAAGAAGTTTCTCACAATGCTTCCGTGTAGTTCTGGGAAGTTTATCCCGTTTCCAACGAAATCCTCAGAGAAGTCCAAATATCCACTTGCAGATTCTACAGAAAGTGTGTTTGGAAACTGCTCCATCTAAAGGAATGTTCAGCTCTGTTAGTTCAATCCAATGATCACTAAGAATTGTCTGTGAATGCTTCCGTTTGGTTTTTAGATGAAGTTATTTCCTTTACTACAGCAGGCCTCAAAGCAGTCCAAATCTCCAATCGCAGATTCTACAAAAAGATTGTTTACAACCTGCTCTATCTATAGGAATGTTCAACTCTGTGAGTCGAATGCAATCATCACAAAGTAGTTTCTGAGAATGCTTCCATCTAGTTTTTATGTGAAGATTTTCCTTTTCCACCACAGGCCTCAAAGCCCTCCAAATGTCCACTTGCAGATTCTAGAAAAAGAGGGTTTCAGAGCTGCTCTGTCAAGAGGAAAGTTCAATTCTTGAAGTGGAACAGAAACATCACAAAGCAGTTTCTGGGAATGCTTCTGTTTAGTTTTTCTGTGAAGATGAACCCGTTTCCAACGAAATCTTCACAGAGGTCCACATATCCACTTGCAGAATCCAAAGAAAGAGAGTTTCAAAACTGCTCCATCAGCAGGATTGTTCACCTCTGTGAGTTGAATGCAGTCATCACAGGAAACATTCTGAGAATGCTTCTGTCTAGGTTTGATGTGAAGATATACCCGTTTCGAAGGAAGGCCACAAAGTGGTCCAAATATCCACTTGCAGATTCTACAAAAAGAGTGTTTGAAAGCTGAACTATGAAAGCAAGGTTCAACTCTGTGAGTTGAATGCAAACATCACAAAGAAGTTTCTCAGAATGCTTCCGTGTAGTTCTGGGAAGTTTATCCCGTTTCCAACGAAATCCTCAGAGAGGTCCAAATATCCACTTGCAGATTCTACAGAAAGTGTGTTTGGAAACTGCGCCATCTAAAGGAATGTTCAGCTCTGTTAGTTCAATGCAATGATCACTAAGAATTGTCTGTGAATGCTTCCGTTTGGTTTTTAGATGAAGTTATTTCCTTTACTACAGTAGGCCTCAAAGCAGTCCAAATTTCCAATCGCAGATTCTACAAAAAGATTGTTTACAACCTGCTCTATCTATAGGAATGTTCAACTCTGTGAGTCGAATGCAATCATCACAAAGTAGTTTCTGAGAATGCTTCCATCTAGTTTTTATGTGAAGATTTTCCTTTTCCACCACAGGCCTCAAAGCCCTCCAAATGTCCACTTGCAGATTCTAGAATAAGAGGGTTTCAGAGCTGCTCTGTCAAGAGGAAAGTTCAATTCCTGAAGTGGAACACAAACATAACAAAGCAGTTTCTGAGAATGCTTCTGTTTAGTTTTTCTGTGAAGATGAACCCGTTTCCAACGAAATCTTCACAGAGGTCCACATATCCACTTGCAGAATCCAAAGAAAGAGAGTTTCAAAACTGCTCCATCAGCAGGATTGTTCACCTCTGTGAGTTGAATGCAGTCATCACAGGAAACATTCTGAGAATGCTTCTGTCTAGGTTTGATGTGAAGATATACCCGTTTCGAAGGAAGGCCACAAAGTGGTCCAAATATCCACTTGCAGATTCTACAAAAAGAGTGTTTGAAAGCTGAACTATGAAAGCAAGGTTCAACTCTGTGAGTTGAATGCAAACATCACAAAGAAGTTTCTCACAATGCTTCCGTGTAGTTCTGGGTAGTTTATCCCGTTTCCAACGAAATCCTCAGAGAAGTCCAAATATCCACTTGCAGATTCTACAGAAAGTGGGTTTGGAAACTGCTCCATCTAAAGGAATGTTCAGCTCTGTTAGTTCAATCCAATGATCACTAAGAATTGTCTGTGAATGCTTCCGTTTGGTTTTTAGATGAAGTAATTTCCTTTACTACAGTAGGCCTCAAAGCAGTCCAAATCTCCAATCGCAGATTCTACAAAAAGATTGTTTACAACCTGCTCTATCTATAGGAATGTTCAACTCTGTGAGTCGAATGCAATCATCACAAAGAAGTTTCTGAGAATGCTTCCATCTAGTTTTTATGTGAAGATTTTCCTTTTCCACCACAGGCCTCAAAGCCCTCCAAATGTCCACTTGCAGATTCTAGAATAAGAGGGTTTCAGAGCTGCTCTTTCAAGAGGAAAGTTCAATTCCTGAAGTGGAACACAAACATCACAAAGCAGTTTCTGAGAGTGCTTCTGTTTAGTTTTTCTGTGAAGATGAACCCGTTTCCAACGAAATCTTCACAGAGGTCCACATATCCACTTGCAGAATCCAAAGAAAGAGAGTTTCAAAACTGCTCCATCAGCAGGATTGTTCACCTCTGTGAGTTGAATGCAGTCATCACAGGAAACATTCTGAGAATGCTTCTGTCTAGGTTTGATGTGAAGATATACCCTTTTCAAAGGAAGGCCACAAAGTGGTCCAAATATCCACTTGCAGATTCTACAAAAAGAGTGTTTGAAAGCTGAACTATGAAAGCAAGGTTCAACTCTGTGAGTTGAATGCAAACATCACAAAGAAGTTTCTCACAATGCTTCCGTGTAGTTCTGGGAAGTTTATCCCGTTTCCAACGAAATCCTCAGAGAAGTCCAAATATCCACTTGCAGATTCTACAGAAAGTGTGTTTGGAAACTGCTCAATCTAAAGGAATGTTCAGCTCTGTTAGTTCAATGCAATGATCACTAAGAATTGTCTGTGAATGCTTCCGTTTGGTTTTTAGATGAAGTTATTTCCTTTACTACAGTAGGCCTCAAAGCAGTCCAAATGTCCAATCGCAGATTCTACAAAAAGATTGTTTACAACCTGCTCTATCTATAGGAATGTTCAACTCTGTGAGTCGAATGCAATCATCACAAAGTAGTTTCTGAGAATGCTTCCATCTAGTTTTTATGTGAAGATTTTCCTTTTCCACCACAGGCCTCAAAGCCCTCCAAATGTCCACTTGCAGATTCTAGAATAAGAGGGTTTCAGAGCTGCTCTGTCAAGAGGAAAGTTCAATTCCTGAAGTGGAACACAAACATCACAAAGCAATTTCTGAGAATGCTTCTGTTTAGTTTTTCTGTGAAGATGAACCCGTTTCCAACGAAATCTTCACAGAGGTCCACATATCCACTTGCAGAATCCAAAGAAAGAGAGTTTCAAAACTGCTCCATCAGCAGGATTGTTCACCTCTGTGAGTTGAATGCAGTCATCACAGGAAACATTCTGAGAATGCTTCTGTCTAGGTTTGATGTGAAGATATACCCGTTTCGAAGGAAGGCCACAAAGTGGTCCAAATATCCACTTGCAGATTCTACAAAAAGAGTGTTTGAAAGCTGAACTATGAAAGCAAGGTTCAACTCTGTGAGTTGAATGCAAACATCACAAAGAAGTTTCTCAGAATGCTTCCGTGTAGTTCTGGGAAGTTTATCCCGTTTCCAACGAAATCCTCAGAGAGGTCCAAATATCCACTTGCAGATTCTACAGAAAGTGTGTTTGGAAACTGCGCCATCTAAAGGAATGTTCAGCTCTGTTAGTTCAATGCAATGATCACTAAGAATTGTCTGTGAATGCTTCCGTTTGGTTTTTAGATGAAGTTATTTCCTTTACTACAGTAGGCCTCAAAGCAGTCCAAATCTCCAATCGCAGATTCTACAAAAACATTGTTTACAACCTGCTCTATCTATAGGAATGTTCAACTCTGTGAGTCGAATGCAATCATCACAAAGTAGTTTCTGAGAATGCTTCCATCTAGTTTTTATGTGAAGATTTTCCTTTTCCACCACAGGCCTCAAAGCCCTCCAAATGTCCACTTGCAGATTCTAGAAAAAGAGGGTTTCAGAGCTGCTCTGTCAAGAGGAAAGTTCAATTCTTGAAGTGGAACACAAACATCACAAAGCAGTTTCTGAGAATGCTCCTGTTTAGTTTTTCTGTGAAGATGAACCCGTTTCCAATGAAATCTTCACAGAGGTCCACATATCCACTTGCAGAATCCAAAGAAAGAGAGTTTCAAAACTGCTCCATCAGCAGGATTGTTCACCTCTGTGAGTTGAATGCAGTCATCACAGGAAATATTCTGAAAATGCTTCTGTCTAGGTTTGATGTGAAGATATACCCGTTTCGAAGGAAGGCCACAAAGTGGTCCAAATATCCACTTGCAGATTCTACAAAAAGAGTGTTTGAAAGCTGAACTATGAAAGCAAGGTTCAACTCTGTGAGTTGAATGCAAACATCACAAAGAAGTTTCTCAGAATGCTTCCGTGTAGTTCTGGGAAGTTTATCCCGTTTCCAACGAAATCCTCAGAGAGGTCCAAATATCGACTTGCAGATTCTACAGAAAGTGTGTTTGGAAACTGCTCCATCTAAAGGAATGTTCAGCTCTGTTAGTTCAATACAATGATCACTAAGAATTGCCTGTGAATGCTTCCGTTTGGTTTTTAGATGAAGTTATTTCCTTTACTACAGTAGGCCTCAAAGCAGTCCAAATCTCCAATCGCAGATTCTACAAAAAGATTGTTTACAACCTGCTCTATCTATAGGAATGTTCAACTCTGTGAGTCGAATGCAATCATCACAAAGTAGTTTCTGAGAATGCTTCCATCTAGTTTTTATGTGAAGATTTTCCTTTTCCACCACAGGCCTCAAAGCCCTCCAAATGTCCACTTGCAGATTCTAGAATAAGAGGATTTCAGAGCTGCTCTGTCAAGAGGAAAGTTCAATTCCTGAAGTGGAACACAAACATCACAAAGCAGTTTCTGAGAATGCTTCTGTTTAGTTTTTCTGTGAAGATGAACCCGTTTCCAACGAAATCTTCACAGAGGTCCACATATCCACTTGCAGAATCCAAAGAAAGAGAGTTTCAAAACTGCTCCATCAGCAGGATTGTTCACCTCTGTGAGTTGAATGCAGTCATCACAGGAAACATTCTGAGAATGCTTCTGTCTAGGTTTGATGTGAAGATATACCCGTTTCGAAGGAAGGCCACAAAGTGGTCCAAATATCCACTTGCAGATTCTACAAAAAGAGTGTTTGAAAGCTGAACTATGAAAGCAAGGTTCAACTCTGTGAGTTGAATGCAAACATCACAAAGAAGTTTCTCACAATGCTTCCGTGTAGTTCTGGGAAGTTTATCCCGTTTCCAACGAAATCCTCAGAGAGGTCCAAATATCCACTTGCAGATTCTACAGAAAGTGTGTTTGGAAACTGCGCCATCTAAAGGAATGTTCAGCTCTGTTAGTTCAATCCAATGATCACTAAGAATTGTCTGTGAATGCTTCCGTTTGGTTTTTAGATGAAGTTATTTCCTTTACTACAGTAGGCCTCAAAGCAGTCCAAATCTCCAATCGCAGATTCTACAAAAAGATTGTTTACAACCTGCTCTATCTATAGGAATGTTCAACTCTGTGAGTCGAATGCAATCATCACAAAGTAGTTTCTGAGAATGCTTCCATCTAGTTTTTATGTGAAGATTTTCCTTTTCCACCACAGGCCTCAAAGCCCTCCAAATGTCCACTTGCAGATTCTAGAAAAAGAGGGTTTCAGAGCTGCTCTGTCAAGAGGAAAGTTCAATTCTTGAAGTGGAACACAAACATCACAAAGTAGTTTCTGAGAATGCTTCTGTTTAGTTTTTCTGTGAAGATGAACCCGTTTCCAACGAAATCTTCACAGAGGTCCACATATCAACTTGCAGAATCCAAAGAAAGAGAGTTTCAAAACTGCTCCATCAACAGGATTGTTCACCTCTGTGAGTTGAATGCAGTCATCACAGGAAACATTCTGAGAATGCTTCTGTCTAGGTTTGATGTGAAGATATACCCGTTTCGAAGGAAGGCCACAAAGTGGTCCAAATATCCACTTGCAGATTCTACAAAAAGAGTGTTTGAAAGCTGAACTATGAAAGCAAGGTTCAACTCTGTGAGTTGAATGCAAACATCACAAAGAAGTTTCTCAGAATGCTTCCGTGTAGTTCTGGGAAGTTTATCCCGTTTCCAACGAAATCCTCAGAGAAGTCCAAATATCCACTTGCAGATTCTACAGAAAGTGGGTTTGGAAACTGCTCCATCTAAAGGAATGTTCAGCTCTGTTAGTTCAATCCAATGATCACTAAGAATTGTCTGTGAATGCTTCCGTTTGGTTTTTAGATGAAGTTATTTCCTTTACTACAGTAGGCCTCAAAGCAGTCCAAATCTCCAATCGCAGATTCTACAAAAAGATTGTTTACAACCTGCTCTATCTATAGGAATGTTCAACTCTGTGAGTCGAATGCAATCATCACAAAGTAGTTTCTGAGAATGCTTCCATCTAGTTTTTATGTGAAGATTTTCCTTTTCCACCACAGGCCTCAAAGCCCTCCAAATGTCCACTTGCAGATTCTAGAATAAGAGGGTTTCAGAGCTGCTCTGTCAAGAGGAAAGTTCAATTCCTGAAGTGGAACACAAACATCACAAAGCAGTTTCTGAGAATGCTTCTGTTTAGTTTTTCTGTGAAGATGAACCCGTTTCCAACGAAATCTTCACAGAGGTCCACATATCAACTTGCAGAATCCAAAGAAAGAGAGTTTCAAAAGTGCTCCATCAACAGGATTGTTCACCTCTGTGAGTTGAATGCAGTCATCACAGGAAACATTCTGAGAATGCTTCTGTCTAGGTTTGATGTGAAGATATACCCGTTTCGAAGGAAGGCCACAAAGTGGTCCAAATATCCACTTGCAGATTCTACAAAAAGAGTGTTTGAAAGCTGAACTATGAAAGCAAGGTTCAACTCTGTGAGTTGAATGCAAACATCACAAAGAAGTTTCTCAGCATGCTTCCGTGTAGTTCTGGGAAGTTTATCCCGTTTCCAACGAAATCCTCAGAGAGGTCCAAATATCCACTTGCAGATTCTACAGAAAGTGGGTTTGGAAACTGCGCCATCTAAAGCAATGTTCAGCTCTGTTAGTTCAATGCAATGATCACTAAGAATTGTCTGTGAATGCTTCCGTTTGGTTTTTAGATGAAGTTATTTCCTTTACTACAGTAGGCCTCAAAGCAGTCCAAATCTCCAATCGCAGATTCTACAAAAAGATTGTTTACAACCTGCTCTATCTATAGGAATGTTCAACTCTGTGAGTCGAATGCAATCATCACAAAGTAGTTTCTGAGAATGCTTCCATCTAGTTTTTATGTGAAGATTTTCCTTTTCCACCACAGGCCTCAAAGCCCTCCAAATGTCCACTTGCAGATTCTAGAAAAAGAGGGTTTCAGAGCTGCTCTGTCAAGAGGAAAGTTCAATTCTTGAAGTGGAACACAAACATCACAAAGTAGTTTCTGAGAATGCTTCTGTTTAGTTTTTCTGTGAAGATGAACCCGTTTCCAACGAAATCTTCACAGAGGTCCACATATCCACTTGCAGAATCCAAAGAAAGAGAGTTTCAAAACTGCTCCATCAGCAGGATTGTTCACCTCTGTGAGTTGAATGCAGTCATCACAGGAAACATTCTGAGAATGCTTCTGTCTAGGTTTGATGTGAAGATATACCCGTTTCGAAGGAAGGCCACAAAGTGGTCCAAATATCCACTTGCAGATTCTACAAAAAGAGTGTTTGAAAGCTGAACTATGAAAGCAAGGTTCAACTCTGTGAGTTGAATGCAAACATCACAAAGAAGTTTCTCACAATGCTTCCGTGTAGTTCTGGGAAGTTTATCCCGTTTCCAACGAAATCCTCAGAGAGGTCCAAATATCCACTTGCAGATTCTACAGAAAGTGTGTTTGGAAACTGCGCCATCTAAAGGAATGTTCAGCTCTGTTAGTTCAATGCAATGATCACTAAGAATTGTCTGTGAATGCTTCCGTTTGGTTTTTAGATGAAGTTATTTCCTTTACTACAGTAGGCCTCAAAGCAGTCCAAATCTCCAATCGCAGATTCTACAAAAAGATTGTTTACAACCTGCTCTATCTATAGGAATGTTCAACTCTGTGAGTCGAATGCAATCATCACAAAGTAGTTTCTGAGAATGCTTCCATCTAGTTTTTATGTGAAGATTTTCCTTTTCCACCACAGGCCTCAAAGCCCTCCAAATGTCCACTTGCAGATTCTAGAAAAAGAGGGTTTCAGAGCTGCTCTGTCAAGAGGAAAGTTCAATTCCTGAAGTGGAACACAAACATCACAAAGCAGTTTCTGAGAATGCTTCTGTTTAGTTTTTCTGTGAAGATGAACCCGTTTCCAACGAAATCTTCACAGAGGTCCACATATCCACTTGCAGAATCCAAAGAAAGAGAGTTTCAAAACTGCTCCATCAGCAGGATTGTTCACCTCTGTGAGTTGAATGCAGTCATCACAGGAAACATTCTGAGAATGCTTCTGTCTAGGTTTGATGTGAAGATATACCCGTTTCGAAGGAAGGCCACAAAGTGGTCCAAATATCCACTTGCAGATTCTACAAAAAGAGTGTTTGAAAGCTGAACTAAGAAAGCAAGGTTCAACTCTGTGAGTTGAATGCAAACATGACAAAGAAGTTTCTCAGAATGCTTCCGTGTAGTTCTGGGAAGTTTATCCCGTTTCCAACGAAATCGTCAGAGAGGTCCAAATATCCACTTGCAGATTCTACAGAAAGTGTGTTTGGAAACTGCTCCATCTAAAGGAATGTTCAGCTCTGTTAGTTCAATGCAATGATCACTAAGAATTGTCTGTGAATGCTTCCGTTTGGTTTTTAGATGAAGTTATTTCCTTTACTACAGTAGGCCTCAAAGCAGTCCAAATCTCCAATCGCAGATTCTACAAAAAGATTGTTTACAACCTGCTCTATCTATAGGAATGTTCAACTCTGTGAGTCGAATGCAATCATCACAAAGTAGTTTCTGAGAATGCTTCCATCTAGTTTTTATGTGAAGATTTTCCTTTTCCACCACAGGCCTCAAAGCCCTCCAAATGTCCACTTGCAGATTCTAGAATAAGAGGGTTTCAGAGCTGCTCTGTCAAGAGGAAAGTTCAATTCTTGAAGTGGAACACAAACATCACAAAGCAGTTTCTGAGAATGCTTCTGTTTAGTTTTTCTGTGAAGATGAACCCGTTTCCAACGAAATCTTCACAGAGGTCCACATATCCACTTGCAGAATCCAAAGAAAGAGAGTTTCAAAACTGCTCCATCAGCAGGATTGTTCACCTCTGTGAGTTGAATGCAGTCATCACAGGAAACATTCTGAGAATGCTTCTGTCTAGGTTTGATGTGAAGATATACCCGTTTCGAAGGAAGGCCACAAAGTGGTCCAAATATCCACTTGCAGATTCTACAAAAAGAGTGTTTGAAAGATGAACTATGAAAGCAAGTTTCAACTCTGTGAGTTGAATGCAAACATCACAAAGAAGTTTCTCAGCATGCTTCCGTGTAGTTCTGGGAAGTTTATCCCGTTTCCAACGAAATCCTCAGAGAAGTCCAAATATCCACTTGCACATTCTACAGAAAGTGTGTTTGGAAACTGCTCCATCTAAAGGAATGTTCAGCTCTGTTAGTTCAATGCAATGATCACTAAGAATTGTCTGTGAATGCTTCCGTTTGGTTTTTAGATGAAGTTATTTCCTTTACTACAGTAGGCCTCAAAGCAGTCCAAATCTCCAATCGCAGATTCTACAAAAAGATTGTTTACAACCTGCTCTATCTATAGGAATGTTCAACTCTGTGAGTCGAATGCAATCATCACAAAGTAGTTTCTGAGAATGCTTCCATGTAGCTTTATGTGAAGATTTTCCTTTTCCACCACAGGCCTCAAAGCCCTTCAAATATCCACTTGCAGATTCTAGAATAAGAGGGTTTCAGAGCTGCTCTGTCAAGAGGAAAGTTCAATTCCTGAAATGGAACACAAACATCACAAAGCAGTTTCTGAGAATGCTTCTGTTTAGTTTTTCTGTGAAGATGAACCCGTTTCCAACGAAATCTTCACAGAGGTCCACATATCCACTTGCAGAATCCAAAGAAAGAGAGTTTCAAAACTGCTCCATCAACAGGATTGTTCACCTCTGTGAGTTGAATGCAGTCATCACAGGAAACATTCTGAGAATGCTTCTGTCTAGGTTTGATGTGAAGATATACACGTTTCGAAGGAAGGCCACAAAGTGGTCCAAATATCCACTTGCAGATTCTACAAAAAGAGTGTTTGAAAGCTGAACTATGAAAGCAAGTTTCAACTCTGTGAGTTGAATGCAAACATCACAAAGAATTTTCTCACAATGCTTCCGTGTAGTTCTGGGAAGTTTATCCCGTTTCCAACGAAATCCTCAGAGAGGTCCAAATATCCACTTGCAGATTCTACAGAAAGTGTGTTTGGAAACTGCTCCATCTAAAGGAATGTTCAGCTCTGTTAGTTCAATCCAATGATCACTAAGAATTGTCTGTGAATGCTTCCGTTTGGTTTTTAGATGAAGTTATTTCCTTTACTACAGTAGGCCTCAAAGCAGTCCAAATCTCCAATCGCAGATTCTACAAAAAGATTGTTTACAACCTGCTCTATGTATAGGAATGTTCAACTCTGTGAGTCGAATGCAATCATCACAAAGTAGTTTCTGAGAATGCTTCCATCTAGTTTTTATGTGAAGATTTTCCTTTTCCACCACAGGCCTCAAAGCCCTCCAAATGTCCACTTGCAGATTCTAGAAAAAGAGGGTTTCAGAGCTGCTCTGTCAAGAGGAAAGTTCAATTCTTGAAGTGGAACACAAACATCACAAAGCAGTTTCTGAGAATGTTTCTGTTTAGTTTTTCTGTGAAGATGAACCCGTTTCCAACGAAATCTTCACAGAGGTCCACATATCCACTTGCAGAATCCAAAGAAAGAGAGTTTCAAAACTGCTCCATCAGCAGGATTGTTCACCTCTGTGAGTTGAATGCAGTCATCACAGGAAACATTCTGAGAATGCTTCTGTCTAGGTTTGATGTGAAGATATACCCGTTTCGAAGGAAGGCCACAAAGTGGTCCAAATATCCACTTGCAGATTCTACAAAAAGAGTGTTTGAAAGCTGAACTATGAAAGCAAGGTTCAACTCTGTGAGTTGAATGCAAACATCACAAAGAAGTTTCTCACAATGCTTCCGTGTAGTTCTGGGAAGTTTATCCCATTTCCAACGAAATCCTCAGAGAAGTCCAAATATCCACTTGCAGATTCTACAGAAAGTGGGTTTGGAAACTGCTCCATCTAAAGGAATGTTCAGCTCTGTTAGTTCAATCCAATGATCACTAAGAATTGTCTGTGAATGCTTCCGTTTGGTTTTTAGATGAAGTTATTTCCTTTACTACAGTAGGCCTCAAAGCAGTCCAAATCTCCAATCGCAGATTCTACAAAAAGATTGTTTACAACCTGCTCTATCTATAGGAATGTTCAACTCTGTGAGTCGAATGCAATCATCACAAAGTAGTTTCTGAGAATGCTTCCATCTAGTTTTTATGTGAAGATTTTCCTTTTCCACCACAGGCCTCAAAGCCCTCCAAATGTCCACTTGCAGATTCTAGAATAAGAGGGTTTCAGAGCTGCTCTGTCAAGAGGAAAGTACAATTCCTGAAGTGGAACACAAACATCACAAAGCAGTTTCTGATAATGCTTCTGTTTAGTTTTTCTGTGAAGATGAACCCGTTTCCAACGAAATCTTCACAGAGGTCCACATATCCACTTGCAGAATCCAAAGAAAGAGAGTTTCAAAACTGCTCCATCAGCAGGATTGTTCACCTCTGTCAGTTGAATGCAGTCATCACAGGAACCATTCTGAGAATGCATCTGTCTAGGTTTGATGTGAAGATATACCCGTTTCTAAGGAAGGCCACAAAGTGGTCCAAATATCCACTTGCAGATTCTACAAAAAGAGTGTTTGAAAGCTGAACTATGAAAGCAAGGTTCAACTCTGTGAGTTGAATGCAAACATCACAAAGAAGTTTCTAAGAATGCTTCCGTGTAGTTCTGGGAAGTTTATCCCGTTTCCAAACGAAATCCTCAGAGAAGTCCAAATATCCACTTGCAGATTCTACAGAAAGTGTGTTTGGAAACTGCTCCATCTAAAGGAATGTTCAGCTCTGTTAGTTCAATGCAATGATCACTAAGAATTGTCTGTGAATGCTTCCGTTTGGTTTTTAGATGAAGTTATTTCCTTTACTACAGTAGGCCTCAAAGCAGTCCAAATCTCCAATCGCAGATTCAACAAAAAGATTGTTTACAACCTACTCTATCTATAGGAATGTTCAACTCTGTGAGTCGAATGCAATCATCACAAAGTAGTTTCTGAGAATGCTTCCATCTAGTTTTTATGTGAAGATTTTCCTTTTCCACCACAGGCCTCAAAGCCCTCCAAATGTCCACTTGCAGATTCTAGAATAAGAGGATTTCAGAGCTGCTCTGTCAAGAGGAAAGTTCAATTCCTGAAGTGGAACACAAACATCACAAAGCAGTTTCTGAGAATGCTTCTGTTTAGTTTTTCTGTGAAGATGAACCCGTTTCCAACGAAATCTTCACAGAGGTCCACATATCCACTTGCAGAATCCAAAGAAAGAGTTTCAAAACTGCTCCATCAGCAGGATTGTTCACCTCTGTGAGTTGAATGCAGTCATCACAGGAAACATTCTGAGAATGCTTCTGTCTAGGTTTGATGTGAAGATATACCCGTTTCGAAGGAAGGCCACAAAGTGGTCCAAATATCCACTTGCAGATTCTACAAAAAGAGTGTTTGAAAGCTGAACTATGAAAGCAAGGTTCAACTCTGTGAGTTGAATGCAAACATCACAAAGAAGTTTCTCAGAATGCTTCCGTGTAGTTCTGGGAAGTTTATCCCGTTTCCAACGAAATCCTCAGAGAGGTCCAAATATCCACTTGCAGATTCTACAGAAAGTGTGTTTGGAAACTGCTCCATCTAAAGGAATGTTCAGCTCTGTTAGTTCAATCCAATGATCACTAAGAATTGTCTGTGAATGCTTCCGTTTGGTTTTTAGATGAAGTTATTTCCTTTACTACAGTAGGCCTCAAAGCAGTCCAAATCTCCAATCGCAGATTCTACAAAAAGATTGTTTTCAACCTGCTCTATCTATAGGAATGTTCAACTCTGTGAGTCGAATGCAATCATCACAAAGTAGTTTCTGAGAATGCTTCCATCTAGTTTTTATGTGAAGATTTTCCTTTTCCACCACAGGCCTCAAAGCCCTCCAAATGTCCACTTGCAGATTCTAGAAAAAGAGGGTTTCAGAGCTGCTCTGTCAAGAGGAAAGTTCAATTCTTGAAGTGGAACACAAACATCACAAAGCAGTTTCTGAGAATGCTCCTGTTTAGTTTTTCTGTGAAGATGAACCCGTTTCCAACGAAATCTTCACAGAGGTCCACATATCCACCTGCAGAATCCAAAGAAAGAGAGTTTCAAAACTGCTCCATCAGCAGGATTGTTCACCTCTGTGAGTTGAATGCAGTCATCACAGGAAACATTCTGAGAATGCTTCAGTCTAGGTTTGATGTGAAGATATACCCGTTTCGAAGGAAGGCCACAAAGTGGTCCAAATATCCACTTGCAGATTCTACAAAAAGAGTGTTTGAAAGCTGAACTATGAAAGCAAGGTTCAACTCCGTGAGTTGAATGCAAACATCACAAAGAAGTTTCTCAGAATGCTTCCGTGTAGTTCTGGGAAGTTTATCCCGTTTCCAACGAAATCCTCAGAGAGGTCCAAATATCCACTTGCAGATTCTACAGAAAGTGTGTTTGGAAACTGCGCCATCTAAAGGAATGTTCAGCTCTGTTAGTTCAATCCAATGATCACTAAGAATTGTCTGTGAATGCTTCCGTTTGGTTTTTAGATGAAGTTATTTCCTTTACTACAGTAGGCCTCAAAGCAGTCCAAATCTCCAATCGCAGATTCTACAAAAAGATTGTTTTCAACCTGCTCTATCTATAGGAATGTTCAACTCTGTGAGTCGAATGCAATCATCACAAAGTAGTTTCTGAGAATGCTTCCATCTAGTTTTTATGTGAAGATTTTCCTTTTCCACCACAGGCCTCAAAGCCCTCCAAATGTCCACTTGCAGATTCTAGAAAAAGAGGGTTTCAGAGCTGCTCTGTCAAGAGGAAAGTTCAATTCTTGAAGTGGAACACAAACATCATAAAGCAGTTTCTGAGAATGCTCCTGTTTAGTTTTTCTGTGAAGATGAACCCGTTTCCAACGAAATCTTCAAAGAGGTCCACATATCCACTTGCAGAATCCAAAGAAAGAGAGTTTCAAAACTGCTCCATCAGTAGGATTGTTCACCTCTGTGAGTTGAATGCAGTCATCTCAGGAAACATTCTGAGAATGTTTCTGTCTAGGTTTGATGTGAAGATATACCCGTTTCGAAGGAAGGCCAGAAAGTGGTCCAAATATCCACTTGCAGATTCTACAAAAAGAGTGTTTGAAAGCTGAACTATGAAAGCAAGGTTCAACTCTGTGAGTTGAATGCAAACATCACAAAGAAGTTTCTCAGAATGCTTCCGTGTAGTTCTGGGAAGTTTATCCCGTTTCCAACGAAATCCTCAGAGAGGTCCAAATATCCACTTGCAGATTCTACAGAAAGTGTGTTTGGAAACTGCTCCATCTAAAGGAATGTTCAGCTCTGTTAGTTCAATCCAATGATCACTAAGAATTGTCTGTGAATGCTTCCGTTTGGTTTTTAGATGAAGTTATTTCCTTTACTACAGTAGGCCTCAAAGCAGTCCAAATCTCCAATCGCAGATTCTACAAAAAGATTGTTTACAACCTGCTCTATCTATAGGAATGTTCAACTCTGTGAGTCGAATGCCATCATCACAAAGTAGTTTCTGAGAATGCTTCCATCTAGTTTTTATGTGAAGATTTTCCTTTTCCACCACAGGCCTCAAAGCCCTCCAAATGTCCACTTGCAGATTCTACAAAAAGAGGGTTTCAGAGCTGCTCTGTCAAGAGGAAAGTTCAATTCCTGAAGTGGAACACAAACATCACAAAGCAGTTTCTGAGAATGCTCCTGTTTAGTTTTTCTGTGAAGATGAACCCGTTTCCAACGAAATCTTCAAAGAGGTCCACATATCCACTTGCAGAATCCAAAGAAAGAGAGTTTCAAAACTGCTCCATCAGCAGGATTGTTCACCTCTGTGAGTTGAATGCAGTCATCACAGGAAACATTCTGAGAATGCTTCTGTCTAGGTTTGATGTGAAGATATACCCGTTTCGAAGGAAGGCCAGAAAGTGGTCCAAATATCCACTTGCAGATTCTACAAAAAGAGTGTTTGAAAGCTGAACTATGAAAGCAAGGTTCAACTCTGTGAGTTGAATGCAAACATCACAAAGAAGTTTCTCAGAATGCTTCCGTGTAGTTCTGGGAAAGTTTATCCCCTTTCCAAAGAAATCCTCAGAGAGGTCCAAATATCCACTTGCAGATTCTACAGAAAGTGTGTTTGGAAACTGCTCCATCTAAAGGAATGTTCAGCTCTGTTAGTTCAATCCAATGATCACTAAGAATTGTCTGTGAATGCTTCCGTTTGGTTTTTAGATGAAGTTATTTCCTTTACTACAGTAGGCCTCAAAGCAGTCCAAATCTCCAATCGCAGATTCTACAAAAAGATTGTTTACAACCTGCTCTATCTATAGGAATGTTCAACTCTGTGAGTCGAATGCAATCATCACAAAGTAGTTTCTGAGAATGCTTCCATCTAGTTTTTATGTGAAGATTTTCCTTTTCCACCACAGGCCTCAAAGCCCTCCAAATGTCCACTTGCAGATTCTAGAAAAAGAGGGTTTCAGAGCTGCTCTGTCAAGAGGAAAGTTCAATTCTTGAAGTGGAACACAAACATCAGAAAGCAGTTTCTGAGAATGCTTCTGTTTAGTTTTTCTGTGAAGATGAACCCGTTTCCAACGAAATCTTCACAGAGGTCCACATATCAACTTGCAGAATCCAAAGAAAGAGAGTTTCAAAACTGCTCCATCAACAGGATTGTTCACCTCTGTGAGTTGAATGCAGTCATCACAGGAAACATTCTGAGAATTCTTCTGTCTAGGTTTGATGTGAAGATATACCCGTTTCGAAGGAAGGCCACAAAGTGGTCCAAATATCCACTTGCAGATTCTACAAAAAGAGTGTTTGAAAGCTGAACTATGAAAGCAAGGTTCAACTCTGTGAGTTGAATGCAAACATCACAAAGAAGTTTCTCAGAATGCTTCCGTGTAGTTCTGGGAAGTTTATCCCGTTTCCAACGAAATCCTCAGAGAGGTCCAAATATCCACTTGCAGATTCTACAGAAAGTGTGTTTGGAAACTACGCCATCTAAAGGAATGTTCAGCTCTGTTAGATCAATGCAATGATCACTAAGAATTGTCTGTGAATGCTTCCGTTTGGTTTTTAGATGAAGTTATTTCCTTTACTACAGTAGGCCTCAAAGCAGTCCAAATCTTTAATCGCAGATTCTACAAAAACATTGTTTACAACCTGCTCTATCTATAGGAATGTTCAACTCTGTGAGTCGAATGCAATCATCACAAAGTAGTTTCTGAGAATGCTTCCATCTAGTTTTTATGTGAAGATTTTCCTTTTGCACCACAGGCCTCAAAGCCCTCCAAATGTCCACTTGCAGATTCTAGAAAAAGAGGGTTTCAGAGCTGCTCTGTCAAGAGGAAAGTTCAATTCTTGATGTGGAACACAAACATCACAAAGCAGTTTCTGAGAATGCTCCTGTTTAGTTTTTCTGTGAAGATGAACCCGTTTCCAACGAAATCTTCACAGAGGTCCACATATCCACTTGCAGAATCCAAAGAAAGAGAGTTTCAAAACTGCTCCATCAGCAGGATTGTTCACCTCTGTGAGTTGAATGCAGTCATCACAGGAAACATTCTGAGAATGCTTCTGTCTAGGTTTGATGTGAAGATATACCCGTTTCGAAGGAAGGCCACAAAGTGGTCCAAATATCCACTTGCAGATTCTACAAAAAGAGTGTTTGAAAGCTGAACTATGAAAGCAAGGTTCAACTCTGTGAGTTGAATGCAAACATCACAAAGAAGTTTCTCACAATGCTTCCGTGTAGTTCTGGGAAGTTTATCCCGTTTCCAACGAAATCCTCAGAGAGGTCCAAATATCCACTTGCAGATTCTACAGAAAGTGTGTTTGGAAACTGCGCCATCTAAAGGAATGTTCAGCTCTCTTAGTTCAATCCAATGATCACAAAGAATTGTCTGTGAATGCTTCCGTTTGGTTTTTAGATGAAGTTATTTCCTTTACTACAGTAGGCCTCAAAGCAGTCCAAATCTCCAATCGCAGATTCTACAAAAAGATTGTTTACAACCTGCTCTATCTATAGGAATGTTCAACTCTGTGAGTCGAATGCAATCATCACAAAGTAGTTTCTGAGAATGCTTCCATCTAGTTTTTATGTGAAGATTTTCCTTTTCCACCACAGGCCTCAAAGCCCTCCAAATGTCCACTTGCAGATTCTAGAATAAGAGGGTTTCAGAGCTGCTCTGTCAAGAGGAAAGTTCAATTCCTGAAGTGGAACACAAACATCACAAAGCAGTTTCTGAGAATGCTTCTGTTTAGTTTTTCTGTGAAGATGAACCCGTTTCCAACGAAATCTTCACAGAGGTCCACATATCCACTTGCAGAATCCAAAGAAAGAGAGTTTCAAAACTGCTCCATCAGCAGGATTGTTCACCTCTGTGAGTTGAATGCAGTCATCACAGGAAACATTCTCAGAATTCTTCTGTCTAGGTTTGATGTGAAGATATACCCGTTTCGAAGGAAGGCCACAAAGTGGTCCAAATATCCACTTGCAGATTCTACAAAAAGAGTGTTTGAAAGCTGAACTATGAAAGCAAGGTTCAACTCTGTGAGTTGAATGCAAACATCACAAAGAAGTTTCTCAGAATGCTTCCGTGTACTTCTGGGAAGTTTATCCCGTTTCCAACGAAATCCTCAGAGAGGTCCAAATATCCACTTGCAGATTCTACAGAAAGTGTGTTTGGAAACTGCTCCATCTAAAGGAATGTTCAGCTCTGTTAGTTCAATCCAATGATCACTAAGAATTGTCTGTGAATGCTTCCGTTTGGTTTTTAGATGAAGTTATTTCCTTTACTACAGTAGGCCTCAAAGCAGTCCAAATCTCCAATCGCAGATTCTACAAAAAGATTGTTTACAACCTGCTCTATCTATAGGAATGTTCAACTCTGTGAGTCGAATGCAATCATCACAAAGTAGTTTCTGAGAATGCTTCCATCTAGTTTTTTATGTGAAGATTTTCCTTTTCCACCACAGGCCTCAAAGCCCTCCAAATGTCCACTTGCAGATTCTAGAATAAGAGGGTTTCAGAGCTGCTCTGTCAAGAGGAAAGTTCAATTCCTGAAGTGGAACACAAACATCACAAAGCAGTTTCTGAGAATGCTTCTGTTTAGTTTTTCTGTGAAGATGAACCCGTTTCCAACGAAATCTTCACAGAGGTCCACATATCCACTTGCAGAATCCAAAGAAAGAGAGTTTCAAAACTGCTCCATCAGCAGGATTGTTCACCTCTGTGAGTTGAATGCAGTCATCACAGGAAACATTCTGAGAATGCTTCTGTCTAGGTTTGATGTGAAGATATACCCGTTTCGAAGGAAGGCCACAAAGTGGTCCAAATATCCACTTGCAGATTCTACAAAAAGAGTGTTTGAAAGCTGAACTATGAAAGCAAGGTTCAACTCTGTGAGTTGAATGCAAACATCACAAAGAAGTTTCTCACAATGCTTCCGTGTAGTTCTGGGAAGTTTATCCCGTTTCCAACGAAATCCTCAGAGAAGTCCAAATATCCACTTGCAGATTCTACAGAAAGTGTGTTTGGAAACTGCGCCATCTAAAGGAATGTTCAGCTCTGTTAGTTCAATGCAATGATCACTAAGAATTGTCTGTGAATGCTTCCGTTTGGTTTTTAGATGAAGTTATTTCCTTTACTACAGTAGGCCTCAAAGCAGTCCAAATCTCCAATCGCAGATTCTACAAAAACATTGTTTACAACCTGCTCTATCTATAGGAATGTTCAACTCTGTGAGTCGAATGCAATCATCACAAAGTAGTTTCTGAGAATGCTTCCATCTAGTTTTTATGTGAAGATTTTCCTTTTCCACCACAGGCCTCAAAGCCCTCCAAATGTCCACTTGCAGATTCTAGAAAAAGAGGGTTTCAGAGCTGCTCTGTCAACAGGAAAGTTCAATTCTTGAAGTGGAACACAAACATCACAAAGTAGTTTCTGAGAATGCTTCTGTTTAGTTTTTCTGTGAAGATGAACCCGTTTCCAATGAAATCTTCACAGAGGTCCACATATCAACTTGCGGAATCCAAAGAAAGAGAGTTTGAAAAGTGCTCCATCAACAGGATTGTTCACCTCTGTGAGTTGAATGCAGTCATCACAGGAAACATTCTGAGAATGCTTCTGTCTAGGTTTGATGTGAAGATATACCCGTTTCGAAGGAAGGCCACAAAGTGGTCCAAATATCCACTTGCAGATTCTACAAAAAGAGTGTTTGAAAGCTGAACTATGAAAGCAAGGTTCAACTCTGTGAGTTGAATGCAAACATCACAAAGAAGTTTCTCAGAATGCTTCCCTGTAGTTCTGGGAAGTTTATCCCGTTTCCAACGAAATCCTCAGAGAAGTCCAAATATCCACTTGCAGATTCTACAGAAAGTGTGTTTGGAAACTGCTCCATCTAAAGGAATGTTCAGCTCTGTTAGTTCAATCCAATGATCACTAAGAATTGTCTGTGAATGCTTCCGTTTGGTTTTTAGATGAAGTAATTTCCTTTACTACAGTAGGCCTCAAAGCAGTCCAAATCTCCAATCGCAGATTCTACAAAAAGATTGTTTACAACCTGCTCTACCTATAGGAATGTTCAACTCTGTGAGTCGAATGCAATCATCAGAAAGTAGTTTCTGAGAATGCTTCCATCTAGTTTTTATGTGAAGATTTTCCTTTTCCACCACAGGCCTCAAAGCCCTCCAAATGTCCACTTGCAGATTCTAGAAAAAGAGGGTTTCAGAGCTGCTCTGTCAAGAGGAAAGTTCAATTCTTGAAGTGGAACACAAACATCACAAAGCAGTTTCTGAGAATGCTTCTGTTTAGTTTTTCTGTGAAGATGAACCCGTTTCCAACGAAATCTTCACAGAGGTCCACATATCTACTTGCAGAACCCAAAGAAAGAGAGTTTCAAAACTGCTCCATCAGCAGGATTGTTCACCTCTGTGAGTTGAATGCAGTCATCACAGGAAACATTCTGAGAATGCTTCTGTCTAGGTTTGATGTGAAGATATACCCGTTTCGAAGGAAGGCCACAAAGTGGTCCAAATATCCACTTGCAGATTCTACAAAAAGAGTGTTTGAAAGCTGAACTATGAAAGCAAGGTTCAACTCTGTGAGTTGAATGCAAACATCACAAAGAAGTTTCTCACAATGCTTCCGTGTAGTTCTGGGAAGTTTATCCCGTTTCCAACGAAATCCTCAGAGAAGTCCAAATATCCACTTGCAGATTCTACAGAAAGTGTGTTTGGAAACTGCGCCACCTAAAGGAATGTTCAGCTCTGTTAGTTCAATGCAATGATCACTAAGAATTGTCTGTGAATGCTTCCGTTTGGTTTTTAGATGAAGTTATTTCCTTTACTACAGTAGGCCTCAAAGCAGTCCAAATCTCCAATCGCAGATTCTACAAAAAGATTGTTTACAACCTGCTCTATCTATAGGAATGTTCAACTCTGTGAGTCGAATGCAATCATCACAAAGTAGTTTCTGAGAATGCTTCCATCTAGTTTTTATGTGAAGATTTTCCTTTTCCACCACAGGCCTCAAAGCCCTCCAAATGTCCACTTGCAGATTCTAGAAAAAGAGGGTTTCAGAGCTGCTCTGTCAAGAGGAAAGTTCAATTCTTGAAGTGGAACACAAACATCACAAAGCAGTTTCTGAGAATGCTCCTGTTTAGTTTTTCTGTGAAGATGAACCCGTTTCCAACGAAATCTTCAAAGAGGTCCACATATCCACTTGCAGAATCCAAAGAAAGAGAGTTTCAAAACTGCTCCATCAACAGGATTGTTCACCTCTGTGAGTTGAATGCAGTCATCACAGGAAACATTCTGAGAATGCTTCTGTCTAGGTTTGATGTGAAGATATACCCGTTTCGAAGGAAGGCCACAAAGTGGTCCAAATATCCACTTGCAGATTCTACAAAAAGAGGGTTTGAAAGCTGAACTATGAAAGCAAGGTTCAACTCTGTGAGTTGAATGCAAACATCACAAAGAAGTTTCTCAGAATGCTTCCGTGTAGTTCTGGGAAGTTTATCCCGTTTCCAACGAAATCCTCAGAGAAGTCCAAATATCCACTTGCAGATTCTACAGAAAGTGTGTTTGGAAACTGCGCCATCTAAAGGAATGTTCAGCTCTGTTAGTTCAATGCAATGATCACTAAGAATTGTCTGTGAATGCTTCCGTTTGGTTTTTAGATGAAGTTATTTCCTTTACTACAGTAGGCCTCAAAGCAGTCCAAATCTCCAATCGCAGATTCTACAAAAAGATTGTTTACAACCTGCTCTATCTATAGGAATGTTCAACTCTGTGAGTCGAATGCAATCATCACAAAGTAGTTTCTGAGAATGCTTCCATCTAGTTTTTATGTGAAGATTTTCCTTTTCCACCACAGGCCTCAAAGCCCTCCAAATGTCCACTTGCAGATTCTAGAATAAGAGGGTTTCAGAGCTGCTCTGTCAAGAGGAAAGTTCAATTCCTGAAGTGGAACACAAACATCACAAAGCAGTTTCTGAGAATGCTTCTGTTTAGTTTTTCTGTGAAGATGAACCCGTTTCCAACGAAATCTTCACAGAGGTCCACATATCCACTTGCAGAATCCAAAGAAAGAGAGTTTCAAAACTGCTCCATCAGCAGGATTGTTCACCTCTGTGAGTTGAATGCAGTCATCACAGGAAACATTCTGAGAATGCTTCTGTCTAGGTTTGATGTGAAGATATACCCGTTTCGAAGGAAGGCCACAAAGTGGTCCAAATATCCCCTTGCAGATTCTACAAAAAGAGTGTTTGAAAGCTGAACTATGAAAGCAAGGTTCAACTCTGTGAGTTGAATGCAAACATCACAAAGAAGTTTCTCAGAATGCTTCCGTGTAGTTCTGGGAAGTTTATCCCGTTTCCAACGAAATCCTCAGAGAAGTCCAAATATCCACTTGCAGATTCTACAGAAAGTGTGTTTGGAAACTGCTCCATCTAAAGGAATGTTCAGCTCTGTTAGTTCAATGCAATGATCACTAAGAATTGTCTGTGAATGCTTCCGTTTGGTTTTTAGATGAAGTTATTTCCTTTACTACAGTAGGCCTCAAAGCAGTCCAAATCTCCAATCGCAGATTCTACAAAAAGATTGTTTACAACCTGCTCTATCTATAGGAATGTTCAACTCTGTGAGTCGAATGCAATCATCACAAAGTAGTTTCTGAGAATGCTTCCATCTAGTTTTTATGTGAAGATTTTCGTTTTCCACCACAGGCCTCAAAGCCCTCCAAATGTCCACTTGCAGATTCTAGAATAAGAGGGTTTCAGAGCTGCTCTGTCAAGAGGAAAGTTCAATTCCTGAAGTGGAACACAAACATAACAAAGCAGTTTCTGAGAATGCTTCTGTTTAGTTTTTCTGTGAAGATGAACCCGTTTCCAACGAAATCTTCACAGAGGTCCACATATCCACTTGCAGAATCCAAAGAAAGAGAGTTTCAAAACTGCTCCATCAGCAGGATTGTTCACCTCTGTGAGTTGAATGCAGTCATCACAGGAAACATTCTGAGAATGCTTCTGTCTAGGTTTGATGTGAAGATATACCCGTTTCGAAGGAAGGCCACAAAGTGGTCCAAATATCCACTTGCCATTTCTACAAAAGGAGTGTTTGAAAGCTGAACTATGAAAGCAAGGTTCAACTCTGTGAGTTGAATGCAAACATCACAAAGAAGTTTCTCACAATGCTTCCGTGTAGTTCTGGGAAGTTTATCCCGTTTCCAACGAAATCCTCAGAGAAGTCCAAATATCCACTTGCAGATTCTACAGAAAGTGTGTTTGGAAACTGCTCCATCCAAAGGAATGTTCAGCTCTGTTAGTTCAATCCAATGATCACTAAGAATTGTCTGTGAATGCTTCCGTTTGGTTTTTAGATGAAGTTATTTCCTTTACTACAGTAGGCCTCAAAGCAGTCCAAATCTCCAATCGCAGATTCTACAAAAAGATTGTTTACAACCTGCTCTATCTATAGGAATGTTCAACTCTGTGAGTCGAAAGCCATCATCACAAAGTAGTTTCTGAGAATGCTTCCATCTAGTTTTTATGGGAAGATTTTCCTTTTCCACCACAGGCCTCAAAGCCCTCCAAATGTCCACTTGCAGATTCTAGAAAAAGAGGGTTTCAGAGCTGCTCTGTCAAGAGGAAAGTTCAATTCTTGAAGTGGAACACAAACATCACAAAGCAGTTTCTGAGAATGCTTCTGTTTAGTTTTTCTGTGAAGATGAACCCGTTTCCAACGAAATCTTCACAGAGGTCCACATATCCACTTGCAGAATCCAAAGAAAGAGAGTTTCAAAACTGCTCCATCAGCAGGATTGTTCACCTCTGTGAGTTGAATGCAGTCATCACAGGAAACATTCTGAGAATGCTTCTGTCTAGGTTTGATGTGAAGATATACCCGTTTCGAAGGAAGGCCACAAAGTGGTCCAAATATCCACTTGCAGATTCTACAAAAAGAGTGTTTGAAAGCTGAACTATGAAAGCAAGGTTCAACTCTGTGAGTTGAATGCAAACATCACAAAGAAGTTTCTCAGAATGCTTCCGTGTAGTTCTGGGAAGTTTATCCCGTTTCCAACGAAATCCTCAGAGAAGTCCAAATATCCACTTGCAGATTCTACAGAAAGTGTGTTTGGAAACTGCTCCATCTAAAGGAATGTTCAGCTCTGTTAGTTCAATCCGAATGAATACAAAGAATTGTCTGTGAATGCTTCTGTTTGGTTTTTAGATGAAGTTATTTCCTTTACTACAGTAGGCCTCAAAGCAGTCCAAATCTCCAATCGCAGATTCTACAAAAAGATTGTTTACAACCTGCTCTATCTATAGGAATGTTCAACTCTGTGAGTCGAATGCAATCATCACAAAGTAGTTTCTGAGAATGCTTCCATCTAGTTTTTATGTGAAGATTTTCCTTTTCCACCACAGGCCTCAAAGCCCTCCAAATGTCCACTTGCAGATTCTAGAATAAGAGGGTTTCAGAGCTGCTCTGTCAAGAGGAAAGTTCAATTCCTGAAGTGGAACACAAACATCACAAAGCAGTTTCTGAGAATGCTTCTGTTTAGTTTTTCTGTGAAGATGAACCCGTTTCCAACGAAATCTTCACAGAGGTCCACATATCCACTTGCAGAATCCAAAGAAAGAGAGTTTCAAAACTGCTCCATCAGCAGGATTGTTCACCTCTGTGAGTTGAATGCAGTCATCACAGGAAACATTCTGAGAATGCTTCTGTCTAGGTTTGATGTGAAGATATACCCGTTTCGAAGGAAGGCCACAAAGTGGTCCAAATATCCACTTGCAGATTCTACAAAAAGAGGGTTTGAAAGCTGAACTATGAAAGCAAGGTTCAACTCTGTGAGTTGAATGCAAACATCACAAAGAAGTTTCTCAGAATGCTTCCGTGTAGTTCTGGGAAGTTTATCCCGTTTCCAACGAAATCCTCAGAGAGGTCCAAATATCCACTTGCAGATTCTACAGAAAGTGTGTTTGGAAACTGCGCCATCTAAAGGAATGTTCAGCTCTGTTAGTTCAATCCAATGATCACTAAGAATTGTCTGTGAATGCTTCCGTTTGGTTTTTAGATGAAGTTATTTCCTTTACTACAGTAGGCCTCAAAGCAGTCCAAATCTCCAATCGCAGATTCTACAAAAAGATTGTTTACAACCTGCTCTATCTATAGGAATGTTCAACTCTGTGAGTCGAATGCAATCATCACAAAGTAGTTTCTGAGAATGCTTCCATCTAGTTTTTATGTGAAGATTTTCCTTTTCCACCACAGGCCTCAAAGCCCTCCAAATGTCCACTTGCAGATTCTAGAATAAGAGGGTTTCAGAGCTGCTCTGTCAAGAGGAAAGTACAATTCCTGAAGTGGAACACAAACATCACAAAGCAGTTTCTGAGAATGCTTCTGTTTAGTTTTTCTGTGAAGATGAACCCGTTTCCAACGAAATCTTCACAGAGGTCCACATATCCACTTGCAGAATCCAAAGAAAGAGAGTTTCAAAACTGCTCCATCAGCAGGATTGTTCACCTCTGTGAGTTGAATGCAGTCATCACAGGAAACATTCTGAGAATGCTTCTGTCTAGGTTTGATGTGAAGATATACCCGTTTCGAAGGAAGGCCACAAAGTGGTCCAAATATCCACTTGCAGATTCTACAAAAAGAGTGTTTGAAAGCTGAACTATGAAAGCAAGGTTCAACTCTGTGAGTTGAATGCAAACATCACAAAGAAGTTTCTCAAAATGCTTCCGTGTAGTTCTGGGAAGTATATCCCGTTTCCAACGAAATCCTCAGAGAGGTCCAAATATCCACTTGCAGATTCTACAGAAAGTGTGTTTGGAAACTGCGCCATCTAAAGGAAAGTTCAGCTCTGTTAGTTCAATGCAATGATCACTAAGAATTGTCTGTGAATGCTTCCGTTTGGTTTTTAGATGAAGTTATTTCCTTTACTACAGTAGGCCACAAAGCAGTCCAAATCTCCAATCGCAGATTCTACAAAAAGATTGTTTACAACCTGCTCTATCTATAGGAATGTTCAACTCTGTGAGTCGAATGCAATCATCACAAAGTAGTTTCTGAGAATGCTTCCATCTAGTTTTTATGTGAAGATTTTCCTTTTCCACCACAGGCCTCAAAGCCCTCCAAATGTCCACTTGCAGATTCTAGAATAAGAGGGTTTCAGAGCTGCTCTGTCAAGAGGAAAGTTCAATTCCTGAAGTGGAACACAAACATCACAAAGCAGTTTCTGAGAATGCTTCTGTTTAGTTTTTCTGTGAAGATGAACCCGTTTCCAACGAAATCTTCACAGAGGTCCACATATCCACTTGCAGAATCCAAAGAAAGAGAGTTTCAAAACTGCTCCATCAGCAGGATTGTTCACCTCTGTGAGTTGAATGCAGTCATCACAGGAAACATTCTGAGAATGCTTCTGTCTAGGTTTGATGTGAAGATATACCCGTTTCGAAGGAAGGCCACAAAGTGGTCCAAATATCCACTTGCAGATTCTACAAAAAGAGTGTTTGAAAGCTGAACTATGAAAGCAAGGTTCAACTCTGTGAGTTGAATGCAAACATCACAAAGAAGTTTCTCACAATGCTTCCGTGTAGTTCTGGGAAGTTTATCCCGTTTCCAACGAAATCCTCAGAGAAGTCCAAATATCCACTTGCAGATTCTACAGAAAGTGGGTTTGGAAACTGCTCCATCTAAAGGAATGTTCAGCTCTGTTAGTTCAATCCAATGATCACTAAGAATTGTCTGTGAATGCTTCCGTTTGGTTTTTAGATGAAGTAATTTCCTTTACTACAGTAGGCCTCAAAGCAGTCCAAATCTCCAATCGCAGATTCTACAAAAAGATTGTTTACAACCTGCTCTATCTATAGGAATGTTCAACTCTGTGAGTCGAATGCAATCATCACAAAGAAGTTTCTGAGAATGCTTCCATAAAGTTTTTATGTGAAGATTTTCCTTTTCCACCACAGGCCTCAAAGCCCTCCAAATGTCCACTTGCAGATTCTAGAAAAAGAGGGTTTCAGAGCTGCTCTGTCAAGAGGAAAGTTCAATTCTTTAAGTGGAACACAAACATCACAAAGCAGTTTCTGAGAATGCTCCTGTTTAGTTTTTCTGTGAAGATGAACCCGTTTCCAACGAAATCTTCACAGAGGTCCACATATCCACTTGCAGAATCCAAAGAAAGAGAGTTTCAAAACTGCTCCATCAGCAGGATTGTTCACCTCTGTGAGTTGAATGCAGTCATCACAGGAAACATTCTGAGAATGCTTCTGTCTAGGTTTGATGTGAAGATATACCCGTTTCGAAGGAAGGCCAGAAAGTGGTCCAAATATCCACTTGCAGATTCTACAAAAAGAGTGTTTGAAAGCTGAACTATGAAAGCAAGGTTCAACTCTGTGAGTTGAATGCAAACATCACAAAGAAGTTTCTCAGAATGCTTCCGTGTAGTTCTGGGAAGTTTATCCCGTTTCCAACGAAATCCTCAGAGAGGTCCAAATATCCACTTGCAGATTCTACAGAAAGTGTGTTTGGAAACTGCGCCATCTAAAGGAATGTTCAGCTCTGTTAGTTCAATGCAATGATCACTAAGAATTGTCTGTGAATGCTTCCGTTTGGTTTTTAGATGAAGTTATTTCCTTTACTACAGTAGGCCTCAAAGCAGTCCAAATCTCCAATTGCAGATTCTACAAAAAGATTGTTTACAACCTGCTCTATCTATAGGAATGTTCAACTCTCTGAGTCGAATGCAATCATCACAAAGTAGTTTCTGAGAATGCTTCCATCTAGTTTTTATGTGAAGATTTTCCTTTTCCACCACAGGCCTCAAAGCCCTCCAAATGTCCACTTGCAGATTCTAGAAAAAGAGGGTTTCAGAGCTGCTCTGTCAAGAGGAAAGTTCAATTCTTGAAGTGGAACACAAACATCACAAAGTAGTTTCTGAGAATGCCTCTGTTTAGTTTTTCTGTGAAGATGAACCCGTTTCCAACGAAATCTTCGCAGAGGTCCACATATCAACTTGCAGAATCCAAAGAAAGAGAGTTTCAAAAGTGCTCCGTCAACAGGATTGTTCACCTCTGTGAGTTGAATGCAGTCATCACAGGAAACATTCTGAGAATGCTTCTGTCTAGGTTTGATGTGAAGATATACCCGTTTCGAAGGAAGGCCACAAAGTGGTCCAAATATCCACTTGCAGATTCTACAAAAAGAGTGTTTGAAAGCTGAACTATGAAAGCAAGGTTCAACTCTGTGAGTTGAATGCAAACATCACAAAGAAGTTTCTCAGAATGCTTCCGTGTAGTTCTGGGAAGTTTATCCCGTTTCCAACGAAATCCTCAGAGAAGTCCAAATATCCACTTGCAGATTCTACAGAAAGTGGGTTTGGAAACTGCTCCATCTAAAGGAATGTTCAGCTCTGTTAGTTCAATCCAATGATCACTAAGAATTGTCTGTGAATGCTTCCGTTTGGTTTTTAGATGAAGTTATTTCCTTTACTACAGTAGGCCTCAAAGCAGTCCAAATCTCCAATCGCAGATTCTACAAAAAGATTGTTTACAACCTGCTCTATCTATAGGAATGTTCAACTCTGTGAGTCGAATGCAATCATCACAAAGTAGTTTCTGAGAATGCTTCCATCTAGTTTTTATGTGAAGATTTTCCTTTTCCACCACAGGCTTCAAAGCCCTCCAAATGTCCACTTGCAGATTCTAGAAAAAGAGGGTTTCAGAGCTGCTCTGACAAGAGGAAAGTTCAATTCCTGAAGTGGAACACAAACATCACAAAGCAGTTTCTGAGAATGCTTCTGTTTAGTTTTTCTGTGAAGATGAACCCGTTTCCAACGAAATCTTCACAGAGGTCCACATATCCACTTGCAGAATCCAAAGAAAGAGAGTTTCAAAACTGCTCCATCAGCAGGATTGTTCACCTCTGTGAGTTGAATGCAGTCATCACAGGAAACATTCTGAGAATGCTTCTGTCTAGGTTTGATGTGAAGATATACCCGTTTCGAAGGAAGGCCACAAAGTGGTCCAAATATCCACTTGCAGATTCTACAAAAAGAGTGTTTGAAAGCTGAACTATGAAAGCAAGGTTCAACTCTGTGAGTTGAATGCAAACATCACAAAGAAGTTTCTCAGAATGCTTCCCTGTAGTTCTGGGAAGTTTATCCCGTTTCCAACGAAATCCTCAGAGAAGTCCAAATATCCACTTGCAGATTCTACAGAAAGTGTGTTTGGAAACTGCTCCATCTAAAGGAATGTTCAGCTGTGTTAGTTCAATGCAATGATCACTAAGAATTGTCTGTGAATGCTTCCGTTTGGTTTTTAGATGAAGTTATTTCCGTTACTACAGTAGGCCTCAATGCAGTCCAAATATCCAATCGCAGATTCTACAAAAAGATTGTTTACAACCTGCTCTATCTATAGGAATGTTCAACTCTTTGAGTCGAATGCAATCATCACAAAGTAGTTTCTGAGAATGCTTCCATCTAGTTTTTATGTGAAGATTTTCCTTTTCCACCACAGGCCTCAAAGCCCTCCAAATGTCCACTTGCAGATTCTAGAAAAAGAGGGTTTCAGAGCTGCTCTGTCAAGAGGAAAGTTCAATTCTTGAAGTGGAACACAAACATCACAAAGCAGTTTCTGAGAATGCTTCTGTTTAGTTTTTCTGTGAAGATGAACCCGTTTCCAACGAAATCTTCACAGAGGTCCACATATCAACTTGCAGAATCCAAAGAAAGAGAGTTTCAAAACTGCTTCATCAACAGGATTGTTCACCTCTGTGAGTTGAATGCAGTCATCACAGGAAACATTCTGAGAATGCTTCTGTCAAGGTTTGATGTGAAGATATACCCGTTTCGAAGGAAGGCCACAAAGTGGTCCATATATCCACTTGCAGATTCTACAAAAAGAGTGTTTGAAAGCTAAACTATGAAAGCAAGGTTCAACTCTGTGAGTTGAATGCAAACATCACAAAGAAGTTTCTCCCAATGCTTCCGTGTAGTTCTGGGAAGTTTATCCCGTTTCCAACAAAATCCTCAGAGAGGTCCAAATATCCACTTGCAGATTCTACAGAAAGTGTGTTTGGAAACTGCGCCATCTAAAGGAATGTGCAGCTCTGTTAGTTCAATCCAATGATCACTAAGAATTGTCTGTGAATGCTTCCGTTTGGTTTTTAGATGAAGTTATTTCCTTTACTACAGTAGGCCTCAAAGCAGTCCAAATCTCCAATCGCAGATTCTACAAAAAGATTGTTTACAACCTGCTCTATCTATAGGAATGTTCAACTCTTTGAGTCGAATGCAATCATCACAAAGTAGTTTCTGAGAATGCTTCCATCTAGTTTTTATGTGAAGATTTTCCTTTTCCACCACAGGCCTCAAAGCCCTCCAAATGTCCACTTGCAGATTCTAGAATAAGAGGGTTTTAGAGCTGCTCTGTCAAGAGGAAAGTTCAATTCCTGAAGTGGAACACAAACATCACAAAGCAGTTTCTGAGAATGCTTCTGTTTAGTTTTTCTGTGAAGATGAACCCGTTTCCAACGAAATCTTCACAGAGGTCCACATATCCACTTGCAGAATCCAAAGAAAGAGAGTTTCAAAACTGCTCCATCAACAGGATTGTTCACCTCTGTGAGTTGAATGCAGTCATCACAGGAAACATTCTGAGAATGCTTCTGTCTAGGTTTGATGTGAAGATATACCCGTTTCGAAGGAAGGCCACAAAGTGGTCCAAATATCCACTTGCAGATTCTACAAAAAGAGTGTTTGAAAGCTGAACTATGAAAGCAAGGTTCAACTCTGTGAGTTGAATGCAAACATCACAAAGAAGTTTCTCAGAATGCTTCCGTGTAGTTCTGGGAAGTTTATCCCGTTTCCAACGAAATCCTCAGAGAAGTCCAAATATCCACTTTCAGATTCTACAGAAAGTGTGTTTGGAAACTGCTCCATCTAAAGGAATGTTCAGCTCTGTTAGTTCAATCCAATGATCACTAAGAATTGTCTGTGAATGCTTCCGTTTGGTTTTTAGATGAAGTTATTTCCTTTACTACAGTAGGCCTCAAAGCAGTCCAAATCTCCAATCGCAGATTCTACAAAAAGATTGTTTACAACCTGCTCTATCTATAGGAATGTTCAACTCTGTGAGTCGAATGCAATCATCACAAAGTAGTTTCTGAGAATGCTTCCATCTAGTTTTTATGTGAAGAGTTTCCTTTTCCACCACAGGCCTCAAAGCCCTCCAAATGTCCACTTGCAGATTCTAGAAAAAGAGGGTTTCAGAGCTGCTCTGTCAAGAGGAAAGTTCAATTCTTGAAGTGGAACACAAACATCACAAAGCAGTTTCTGAGAATGCTCCTGTTTAGTTTTTCTGTGAAGATGAACCCGTTTCCAACGAAATCTTCACAGAGGTCCACATATCCACTTGCAGAATCCAAAGAAAGAGAGTTTCAAAACTGCTCCATCAGCAGGATTGTTCACCTCTGTGAGTTGAATGCAGTCATCACAGGAAACATTCTGAGAATGCTTCTGTCTAGGTTTGATGTGAAGATATACCCGTTTCGAAGGAAGGCCACAAAGTGGTCCAAATATCCACTTGCAGATTCTACAAAAAGAGTGTTTGAAAGCTGAACTATGAAAGCAAGGTTCAACTCTGTGAGTTGAATGCAAACATCACAAAGAAGTTTCTCAGAATGCTTCCGTGTAGTTCTGGGAAGTTTATCCCGTTTCCAACGAAATCCTCAGAGAAGTCCAAATATCCACTTGCAGATTCTACAGAAAGTGGGTTTGGAAACTGCTCCATCTAAAGGAATGTTCAGCTCTGTTAGTTCAATCCAATGATCACTAAGAATTGTCTGTGAATGCTTCCGTTTGGTTTTTAGATGAAGTTATTTCCTTTACTACAGTAGGCCTCAAAGCAGTCCAAATCTCCAATCGCAGATTCTACAAAAAGATTGTTTACAACCTGCTCTATCTATAGGAATGTTCAACTCTGTGAGTCGAATGCAATCATCACAAAGTAGTTTCTGAGAATGCTTCCATCTAGTTTTTATGTGAAGATTTTCCTTTTCCACCACAGGCCTCAAAGCCCTCCAAATGTCCACTTGCAGATTCTAGAATAAGAGGGTTTCAGAGCTGCTCTGTCAAGAGGAAAGTTCAATTCCTGAAGTGGAACACAAACATCACAAAGCAGTTTCTGAGAATGCTTCTGTTTAGTTTTTCTGTGAAGATGAACCCGTTTCCAACGAAATCTTCACAGAGGTCCACATATCCACTTGCAGAATCCAAAGAAAGAGAGTTTCAAAACTGCTCCATCAGCAGGATTGTTCACCTCTGTGAGTTGAATGCAGTCATCACAGGAAACATTCTGAGAATGCTTCTGTCAAGGTTAGATGTGAAGATATACCCGTTTCCAAGGAAGGCCACAAAGTTGTCCAAATATCCACTTGCAGATTCTACAAAAAGAGTGTTTGAAAGCTGAACTATGAAAGCAAGGTTCAACTCTCTGAGTTGAATGCAAACATCACAAAGAAGTTTCTCAGAATACTTCCGTGTAGTTCTGGGAAGTTTATCCCGTTTCCAACGAAATCCTCAGAGAAGTCCAAATATCCACTTGCAGATTCTACAGAAAGTGTGTTTGGAAACTGCGCCATCTAAAGGAATGTTCAGCTCTGTTAGTTCAATGCAATGATCACTAAGAATTGTCTGTGAATGCTTCCGTTTGGTTTTTAGATGAAGTTATTTCCTTTACTACAGTAGGCCTCAAAGCAGTCCAAATCTCCAATCGCAGATTCTACAAAAAGATTGTTTACAACCTGCTCTATCTATAGGAATGTTCAACTCTGTGAGTCGAATGCAATCATCACAAAGTAGTTTCTGAGAATGCTTCCATCTAGTTTTTATGTGAAGATTTTCCTTTTCCACCACAGGCCTCGAAGCCCTCCAAATGTCCACTTGCAGATTCTAGAAAAAGAGGGTTTCAGAGCTGCTCTGTCAAGAGGAAAGTTCAATTCTTGAAGTGGAACACAAACATCACAAAGCAGTTTCTGAGAATGCTCCTGTTTAGTTTTTCTGTGAAGATGAACACGTTTCCAACGAAATCTTCACAGAGGTCCACATATCCACTTGCAGAATCCAAAGAAAGAGAGTTTCAAAACTGCTCCATCAACAGGATTGTTCACCTCTGTGAGTTGAATGCAGTCATCACAGGAAACATTCTGAGAATGCTTCTGTCTAGGTTTGATGTGAAGATATACCCGTTTCAAAGGAAGGCCACAAAGTGGTCCAAATATCCACTTGCAGATTCTACAAAAAGAGTGTTTGAAAGCTGAACTATGAAAGCAAGGTTCAACTCTGTGAGTTGAATGCAAACATCACAAAGAAGTTTCTCAGAATGCTTCCGTGTAGTTCTGGGAAGTTTATCCCGTTTCCAACGAAATCCTCAGAGAAGTCCAAATATCCACTTGCAGATTCTGCAGAAAGTGTGTTTGGAAACTGCTCCATCTAAAGGAATGTTCAGCTCTGTTAGTTCAATCCAATGATCACTAAGAATTGTCTGAATGCTTCCGTTTGGTTTTTAGATGAAGTTATTTCCTTTACTACAGTAGGCCTCAAAGCAGTCCAAATCTCCAATCGCAGATTCTACAAAAAGATTGTTTACAACGTGCTCTATCTATAGGAATGTTCAACTCTGTGAGTCGAATGCAATCATCACAAAGTAGTTTCTGAGAATGCTTCCATCTAGTTTTTATGTGAAGATTTTCCTTTTCCACCACAGGCCTCAAAGCCCTCCAAATGTCCACTTGCAGATTCTAGAAAAAGAGGGTTTCAGAGCTGCTCTGTCAAGAGGAAAGTTCAATTCTTGAAGTGGAACACAAACATCACAAAGCAGTTTCTGAGAATGCTTCTGTTTAGTTTTTCTGTGAAGATGAACCGGTTTCCAACGAAATCTTCACAGAGGTCCACATATCCACTTGCAGAATCCAAAGAAAGAGAGTTTCAAAACTGCTCCATCAACAGGATTGTTCACCTCTGTGAGTTGAATGCAGTCATCACAGGAAACATTCTGAGAATGCTTCTGTCTAGGTTTGATGTGAAGATATACCCGTTTCGAAGGAAGGCCACAAAGTGGTCCAAATATCCACTTGCAGATTCTACAAAAAGAGTGTTTGAAAGCTGAACTATGAAAGCAAGGTTCAACTCTGTGAGTTGAATGCAAACATCACAAAGAAGTTTCTCACAATGCTTCCCTGTAGTTCTGGGAAGTTTATCCCGTTTCCAACGAAATCCTCTGAGAAGTCCAAATATCCACTTGCAGATTCTACAGAAAGTGTGTTTGGAAACTGCTCCATCTAAAGGAATGTTCAGCTCTGTTAGTTCAATCCAATGATCACTAAGAATTGTCTGTGAATGCTTCCGTTTGGTTTTTAGATGAAGTTATTTCCTTTACTACAGTAGGCCTCAAAGCAGTCCAAATCTCCAATCGCAGATTCTACAAAAAGATTGTTTACAACCTGCTCTATCTATAGGAATGTTCAACTCTGTGAGTCGAATGCAATCATCACAAAGTAGTTTCTGAGAATGCTTCCATCTAGTTTTTATGTGAAGATTTTCCTTTTCCACCACAGGCCTCAAAGCCCTCCAAATGTCCACTTGCAGATTCTAGAATAAGAGGGTTTTAGAGCTGCTCTGTCAAGAGGAAAGTTCAATTCCTGAAGTGGAACACAAACATCACAAAGCAGTTTCTGAGAATGCTTCTGTTTAGTTTTTCTGTGGATGAACCCGTTTCCAACGAAATCTTCACAGAGGTCCACATATCCACTTGCAGAATCCAAAGAAAGAGAGTTTCAAAACTGCTCCATCAGCAGGATTGTTCACCTCTGTGAGTTGAATGCAGTCATCACAGGAAACATTCTGAGAATGCTTCTGTCTAGGTTTGATGTGAAGATATACCCGTTTCGAAGGAAGGCCACAAAGTGGTCCAAATATCCACTTGCAGATTCTACAAAAAGAGTGTTTGAAAGCTGAACTATGAAAGCAAGGTTCAACTCTGTGAGTTGAATGCAAACATCACAAAGAAGTTTCTCAGAATGCTTCCGTGTAGTTCTGGGAAGTATATCCCGTTTCCAACGAAATCCTCAGAGAAGTCCAAATATCCACTTGCAGATTCTACAGAAAGTGGGTTTGGAAACTGCTCCATCTAAAGGAATGTTCAGCTCTGTTAGTTCAATGCAATGATCACTAAGAATTGTCTGTGAATGCTTCCGTTTGGTTTTTAGATGAAGTTATTTCCTTTACTACAGTAGGCCTCAAAGCAGTCCAAATCTCCAATCGCAGATTCTACAAAAAGATTGTTTACAACCTGCTCTATCTATAGGAATGTTCAACTCTGTGAGTCGAATGCAATCATCACAAAGTAGTTTCTGAGAATGCTTCCATCTAGTTTTTATGGGAAGATTTTCCTTTTCCACCACAGGCCTCAAAGCTCTCCAAATGTCCACTTGCAGATTCCAGAAAAAGAGGGTTTCAGAGCTGCTCTGTCAAGAGGAAAGTTCAATTCTTGAAGTGGAACACAAACATCACAAAGCAGTTTCTGAGAATGCTCCTGTTTAGTTTTTCTGTGAAGATGAACACGTTTCCAACGAAATCTTCACAGAGGTCCACATATCCACTTGCAGAATCCAAAGAAAGAGAGTTTCAAAACTGCTCCATCAGCAGGATTGTTCACCTCTGTGAGTTGAATGCAGTCATCACAGGAAACATTCTGAGAATGCTTCTGTCTAGGTTTGATGTGAAGATATACCCGTTTCGAAGGAAGGCCACAAAGTGGTCCAAATATCCACTTGCAGATTCTACAAAAAGAGTGTTTGAAAGCTGAACTATGAAAGCAAGGTTCAACTCTGTGAGTTGAATGCAAACATCACAAAGAAGTTTCTCACAATGCTTCCGTGTAGTTCTGGGAAGTTTATCCCGTTTCCAACGAAATCCTCAGAGAAGTCCAAATATCCACTTGCAGATTCTACAGAAAGTGGGTTTGGAAACTGCTCCATCTAAAGGAATGTTCAGCTCTGTTAGTTCAATCCAATGATCACTAAGAATTGTCTGTGAATGCTTCCGTTTGGTTTTTAGATGAAGTTATTTCCTTTACTACAGTAGGCCTCAAAGCAGTCCAAATCTCCAATCGCAGATTCTACAAAAAGATTGTTTACAACCTGCTCTATCTATAGGAATGTTCAACTCTGTGAGTCGAATGCAATCATCACAAAGTAGTTTCTGAGAATGCTTCCATCTAGTTTTTATGTGAAGATTTTCCTTTTCCACCACAGGCCTCAAAGCCCTCCAAATGTCCACTTGCAGATTCTAGAATAAGAGGGTTTCAGAGCTGCTCTGTCAAGAGGAAAGTTCAATTCTTGAAGTGGAACACAAACATCACAAAGCAGTTTCTGAGAATGCTCCTGTTTAGTTTTTCTGTGAAGATGAACCCGTTTCCAACGAAATCTTCACAGAGGTCCACATATCCACTTGCAGAATCCAAAGAAAGAGAGTTTCAAAACTGCTCCATCAGCAGGATTGTTCACCTCTGTGAGTTGAATGCAGTCATCACAGGAAACATTCTCAGAATGCTTCTGTCTAGGTTTGATGTGAAGATATACCCGTTTCGAAGGAAGGCCACAAAGTGGTCCAAATATCCACTTGCAGATTCTACAAAAAGAGTGTTTGAAAGCTGAACTATGAAAGCAAGGTTCAACTCTGTGAGTTGAATGCAAACATCACAAATAAGTTTCTCAGAATGCTTCCCTGTAGTTCTGGGAAGTTTATCCCTTATCAAACGAAATCCTCAGATAAGTCCAAATATCCACTTGCAGATTCTACAGAAAGTGTGTTTGGAAACTGCTCCATCTAAAGGAATGTTCAGCTCTGTTAGTTCAATCCAATGATCACTAAGAATTGTCTGTGAATGCTTCCGGTATGGTTTTTAGATGAAGTTATTTCCTTTACTACAGTAGGCCTCAAAGCAGTCCAAATCTCCAATCTCAGATTCTACAAAAAGATTGTTTACAACCTGCTCTATCTTTAGGAATGTTCAACTCTGTGAGTCGAATGCAATCATCACAAAGTAGTTTCTGAGAATGCTTCCATCTAGTTTTTATGTGAAGATTTTCCTTTTCCACCACAGGCCTCAAAGCCCTCCAAATGTCCACTTGCAGATTCTAGAATAAGAGGATTTCAGAGCTGCTCTGTCAAGAGGAAAGTTCAATTCCTGAAGTGGAACACAAACATCACAAAGCAGTTTCTGAGAATGCTTCTGTTTAGTTTTTCTGTGAAGATGAACCCGTTTCCAACGAAATCTTCACAGAGGTCCACATATCCACTTGCAGAATCCAAAGAAAGAGAGTTTCAAAACTGCTCCATCAGCAGGATTGTTCACCTCTGTGAGTTGAATGCAGTCATCACAGGAAACATTCTGAGAATGCTTCTGTCTATGTTTGATGTGAAGATATACCCGTTTCGAAGGAAGGCCACAAAGTGGTCCAAATATCCACTTGCAGATTCTACAAAAAGAGTGTTTGAAAGCTGAAGTATGAAAGCAAGGTTCAACTCTGTGAGTTGAATGCAAACATCACAAAGAAGTTTCTCACAATGCTTCCGTGTAGTTCTGGGAAGTTTATCCCGTTTCCAACGAAATCCTCAGAGAAGTCCAAATATCCACTTGCAGATTCTACAGAAAGTGTGTTTGGAAAATGCTCCATGTAAAGGAATGTTCAGCTCTGTTAGTTCAATGCAATGATCACTAAGAATTGTCTGTGAATGCTTCCGTTTGGTTTTTAGATGAAGTTATTTCCTTTACTACAGTAGGCCTCAAAGCAGTCCAAATCTCCAATCGCAGATTCTACAAAAAGATTGTTTACAACCTGCTCTATGTATAGGAATGTTCAACTCTGTGAGTCGAATGCAATCATCACAAAGTAGTTTCTGAGAATGCTTCCATCTAGTTTTTATGTGAAGATTTTCCTTTTCCACCGCAGGCCTCAAAGCCCTCCAAATGTCCACTTGCAGATTCTAGAATAAGAGGGTTTCAGAGCTGCTCTGTCAAGAGGAAAGTTCAATTCTTGAAGTGGAACACAAACATCACAAAGCAGTTTCTGAGAATGCTTCTGTTTAGTTTTTCTGTGAAGATGAACCCGTTTCCAACGAAATCTTCACAGAGGTCCACATATCCACTTGCAGAATCCAAAGAAAGAGAGTTTCAAAACTGCTCCATCAGCAGGATTGTTCACCTCTGTGAGTTGAATGCAGTCATCACAGGAAACATTCTGAGAATGCTTCTGTCTAGGTTTGATGTGAAGATATACCCGTTTCGAAGGAAGGCCAGAAAGTGGTCCAAATATCCACTTGCAGATTCTACAAAAAGAGTGTTTGAAAGCTGAACTATGAAAGCAAGGTTCAACTCTGTGAGTTGAATGCAAACATCACAAAGAAGTTTCTCACAATGCTTCCGTGTAGTTCTGGGAAGTTTATCCCGTTTCCAACGAAATCCTCAGAGAAGTCCAAATATCCACTTGCAGATTCTACAGAAAGTGTGTTTGGAAACTGCTCCATCTAAAGGAATGTTCAGCTCTGTTAGTTCAATGCAATGATCACTAAGAATTGTCTGTGAATGCTTCCGTTTGGTTTTTAGATGAAGTTATTTCCTTTACTACAGTAGGCCTCAAAGCAGTCCAAATCTCCAATCGCAGATTCTACAAAAAGATTGTTTACAACCTGCTCTATCTATAGGAATGTTCAACTCTGTGAGTCGAATGCAATCATCACAAAGTAGTTTCTGAGAATGCTTCCATCTAGTTTTTATGTGAAGATTTTCCTTTTCCACCACAGGCCTCAAAGCCCTCCAAATGTCCACTTGCAGATTCTAGAATAAGAGGGTTTTAGAGCTGCTCTGTCAAGAGGAAAGTTCAATTCCTGAAGTGGAACACAAACATCACAAAGCAGTTTCTGAGAATGCTTCTGTTTAGTTTTTCTGTGAAGATGAACCCGTTTCCAACGAAATCTTCACAGAGGTCCACATATCCACTTGCAGAATCCAAAGAAAGAGAGTTTCAAAACTGCTCCATCAGCAGGATTGTTCACCTCTGTGAGTTGAATGCAGTCATCACAGGAAACATTCTGAGAATGCTTCTGTCTAGGTTTGATGTGAAGATATACCCGTTTCGAAGGAAGGCCACAAAGTGGTCCAAATATCCACTTGCAGATTCTACAAAAAGAGTGTTTGAAAGCTGAACTATGAAAGCAAGGTTCAACTCTGTGAGTTGAATGCAAACATCACAAAGAAGTTTCTCAGAATGCTTCCGTGTAGTTCTGGGAAGTTTATCCCGTTTCCAACGAAATCCTCAGAGAGGTCCAAATATCCACTTGCAGATTTTACAGAAAGTGTGTTTGGAAACTACGCCATCTAAAGGAATGTTCAGCTCTGTTAGATCAATGCAATGATCACTAAGAATTGTCCTGTGAATGCTTCCGTTTGGTTTTTAGATGAAGTTATTTCCTTTACTACAGTAGGCCTCAAAGCAGTCCAAATCTCCAATCGCAGATTCTACAAAAAGATTGTTTACAACCTGCTCTATCTATAGGAATGTTCAACTCTGTGAGTCGAAAGCCATCATCACAAAGTAGTTTCTGAGAATGCTTCCATCTAGTTTTTATGTGAAGATTTTCCTTTTCCACCACAGGCCTCAAAGCCCTCCAAATGTCCACTTGCAGATTCTAGAATAAGAGGGTTTCAGAGCTGCTCTGTCAAGAGGAAAGTTCAATTCCTGAAGTGGAACACAAACATCACAAAGCAGTTTCTGAGAATGCTTCTGTTTAGTTTTTCTGTGAAGATGAACCCGTTTCCAACGAAATCTTCACAGAGGTCCACATATCCACTTGCAGAATCCAAAGAAAGAGAGTTTCAAAACTGCTCCATCAGCAGGATTGTTCACCTCTGTGAGTAGAATGCAGTCATCACAGGAAACATTCTGAGAATGCTTCTGTCTAGGTTTGATGTGAAGATATACCCGTTTCGAAGGAAGGCCACAAAGTGGTCCAAATATCCACTTGCAGATTCTACAAAAAGAGTGTTTGAAAGCTGAACTATGAAAGCAAGGTTCAACTCTGTGAGTTGAATGCAAACATCACAAAGAAGTTTCTCACAATGCTTCCGTGTAGTTCTGGGAAGTTTATCCCGTTTCCAACGAAATCCTCAGAGAGGTCCAAATATCCACTTGCAGATTCTACAGAAAGTGGGTTTGGAAACTGCTCCATCTAAAGGAATGTTCAGCTCTGTTAGTTCAATGCAATGATCACTAAGAATTGTCTGTGAATGCTTCCGTTTGGTTTTTAGATGAAGTTATTTCCTTTACTACAGTAGGCCTCAAAGCAGTCCAAATCTCCAATCGCAGATTCTACAAAAAGATTGTTTACAACCTGCTCTATCTATAGGAATGTTCAACTCTGTGAGTCGAATGCAATCATCACAAAGTAGTTTCTGAGAATGCTTCCATCTAGTTTTTATGTGAAGATTTTCCTTTTCCACCACAGGCCTCAAAGCCCTCCAAATGTCCACTTGCAGATTCTAGAATAAGAGGGTTTCAGAGCTGCTCTGTCAAGAGGAAAGTTCAATTCCTGAAGTGGAACACAAACATCACAAAGCAGTTTCTGAGAATGCTTCTGTTTAGTTTTTCTGTGAAGATGAACCCGTTTCCAACGAAATCTTCACAGAGGTCCACATATCCACTTGCAGAATCCAAAGAAAGAGAGTTTCAAAACTGCTCCATCAGCAGGATTGTTCACCTCTGTGAGTTGAATGCAGTCATCACAGGAAACATTCTGAGAATGCTTCTGTCTAGGTTTGATGTGAAGATATACCCGTTTCGAAGGAAGGCCACAAAGTGGTCCAAATATCCACTTGCAGATTCTACAAAAAGAGTGTTTGAAAGCTGAACTATGAAAGCAAGGTTCAACTCTGTGAGTTGAATGCAAACATCACAAAGAAGTTTCTCACAATGCTTCCGTGTAGTTCTGGGAAGTTTATCCCGTTTCCAACGAAATCCTCAGAGAAGTCCAAATATCCACTTGCAGATTCTACAGAAAGTGTGTTTGGAAACTGCGCCATCTAAAGGAATGTTCAGCTCTGTTAGTTCAATGCAATGATCACTAAGAATTGTCTGTGAATGGTTCCGTTTGGTTTTTAGATGAAGTTATTTCCTTTACTACAGTAGGCCTCAAAGCAGTCCAAATCTCCAATCGCAGATTCTACAAAAAGATTGTTTACAACCTGCTCTATCTATAGGAATGTTCAACTCTGTGAGTCGAATGCAATCATCACAAAGAAGTTTCTGAGAATGCTTCCATAAAGTTTTTATGTGAAGATTTTCCTTTTCCACCACAGGCCTCAAAACCCTCCAAATGTCCACTTGCAGATTCTAGAAAAAGAGGGTTTCAGAGCTGCTCTGTCAAGAGGAAAGTTCAATTCTTTAAGTGGAACACAAACATCACAAAGCAGTTTCTGAGAATGCTCCTGTTTAGTTTTTCTGTGAAGATGAACCCGTTTCCAACGAAATCTTCACAGAGGTCCACATATCCACTTGCAGAATCCAAAGAAAGAGAGTTTCAAAACTGCTCCATCAGCAGGATTGTTCACCTCTGTGAGTTGAATGCAGTCATCACAGGAAACATTCTGAGAATGCTTCTGTCTAGGTTTGATGTGAAGATATACCCGTTTCGAAGGAAGGCCACAAAGTGGTCCAAATATCCACTTGCAGATTCTACAAAAAGAGTGTTTGAAAGCTGAACTATGAAAGCAAGGTTCAACTCTGTGAGTTGAATGCAAATATCACAAAGAAGTTTCTCACAATGCTTCCGTGTAGTTCTGGGAAGTTTATCCCGTTTCCAACGAAATCCTCAGAGAGGTCCAAATATCCACTTGCAGATTCTACAGAAAGTGTGTTTGGAAACTGCGCCATCTAAACGAATGTTCAGCTCTGTTATTTCAATGCAATGATCACTAAGAATTGTCTGTGAATGCTTCCGTTTGGTTTTTAGATGAAGTTATTTCCTTTACTACAGTAGGCCTCAAAGCAGTCCAAATCTCCAATCGCAGATTCTACAAAAAGATTGTTTACAACCTGCTCTATCTATAGGAATGTTCAACTCTGTGAGTCGAATGCAATCATCACAAAGTAGTTTCTGAGAATGCTTCCATCTAGTTTTTATGTGAAGATTTTCCTTTTCCACCACAGGCCTCAAAGCCCTCCAAATGTCCACTTGCAGATTCTAGAAAAAGAGGGTTTCATAGCTGCTCTGTCAAGAGGAAAGTTCAATTCTTGAAGTGGAACACAAACATCACAAAGCAGTTTCTGAGAATGCTCCTGTTTAGTTTTTCTGTGAAGATGAACCCGTTTCCAACGAAATCTTCACAGAGGTCCACATATCCACTTGCAGAATCCAAAGAAAGAGAGTTTCAAAACTGCTCCATCAGCAGGATTGTTCACCTCTGTGAGTTGAATGCAGTCATCACAGGAAACATTCTGAGAATGCTTCTGTCTAGGTTTGATGTGAAGATATACCCGTTTCGAAGGAAGGCCACAAAGTGGTCCAAATATCCACTTGCAGATTCTACAAAAAGAGTGTTTGAAAGCTGAACTATGAAAGCAAGGTTCAACTCTGTGAGTTGAATGCAAACATCACAAAGATGTTTCTCACAATGCTTCCGTGTAGTTCTGGGAAGTTTATCCCGTTTCCAACGAAATCCTCAGAGAAGTCCAAATATCCACTTGCAGATTCTGCAGAAAGTGTGTTTGGAAACTGCTCCATCTAAAGGAATGTTCAGCTCTGTTAGTTCAATCCAATGATCACTAAGAATTGTCTGTGAATGCTTCCGTTTGGTTTTTAGATGAAGTTATTTCCTTTACTACAGTAGGCCTCAAAGCAGTCCAAATCTCCAATCGCAGATTCTACAAAAACATTGTTTACAACCTGCTCTATCTATAGGAATGTTCAACTCTGTGAGTCGAATGCATTCATCACAAAGTAGTTTCTGAGAATGCTTCCATCTAGTTTTTATGGGAAGATTTTCCTTTTCCACCACAGGCCTCAAAGCCCTCCAAATGTCCACTTGCAGATTCTAGAAAAAGAGGGTTTCAGAGCTGCTCTGTCAAGAGGAAAGTTCAATTCTTGAAGTGGAACACAAACATCACAAAGCAGTTTCTGAGAATGCTCCTGTTTAGTTTTTCTGTGAAGATGAACCCGTTTCCAACGAAATCTTCACAGAGGTCCACATATCCACTTGCAGAATCCAAAGAAAGAGAGTTTCAAAACTGCTCCATCAGCAGGATTGTTCACCTCTGTGAGTTGAATGCAGTCATCACAGGAAACATTCTGAAAATGCTTCTGTCTAGGTTTGATGAGAAGATATACCCGTTTCGAAGGAAGGCCACAAAGTGGTCCAAATATCCACTTGCAGATTCTACAAAAAGAGTGTTTGAAAGCTGAACTATGAAAGCAAGGTTCCACTCTGTGAGTTGAATGCAAACATCACAAAGAAGTTTCTCAGCATGCTTCCGTGTAGTTCTGGGAAGTTTATCCCTTTTCCAACGATATCCTCAGAGAGGTCCAAATATCCACTTGCAGATTCTACAGAAAGTGTGTTTGGAAACTGCGCCATCTAAAGCAATGTTCAGCTCTGTTAGTTCAATGCAATGATCACTAAGAATTGTCTGTGAATGCTTCCGTTTGGTTTTTAGATGAAGTTATTTCCTTTACTACAGTAGGCCTCAAAGCAGTCCAAATCTCCAATCGCAGATTCTACAAAAAGATTGTTTACAACCTGCTCTATCTATAGGAATGTTCAACTCTGTGAGTCGAATGCAATCATCACAAAGTAGTTTCTGAGAATGCTTCCATCTAGTTTTTATGTGAAGATTTTCCTTTTCCACCACAGGCCTCAAAGCCCTCCAAATGTCCACTTGCAGATTCTAGAAAAAGAGGGTTTCAGAGCTGCTCTGTCAAGAGGAAAGTTCAATTCTTGAAGTGGAACACAAACATCACAAAGCAGTTTCTGAGAATGCTCCTGTTTAGTTTTTCTGTGAAGATGAACCCGTTTCCAACGAAATCTTCACAGAGGTCCACATATCCACTTGCAGAATCCAAAGAAAGAGAGTTTCAAAACTGCTCCATCAGCAGGATTGTTCACCTCTGTGAGTTGAATGCAGTCATCACAGGAAACATTCTGAGAATGCTTCTGTCTAGGTTTGATGTGAAGATATACCCGTTTCGAAGGAAGGCCACAAAGTGGTCCAAATATCCACTTGCAGATTCCACAAAAAGAGTGTTTGAAAGCTGAACTATGAAAGCAAGGTTCAACTCTGTGAGTTGAATGCAAACATCACAAAGAAGTTTCTCACAATGCTTCCGTGTAGTTCTGGGAAGTTTATCCCGTTTCCAACGAAATCCTCAGAGAAGTCCAAATATCCACTTGCAGATTCTACAGAAAGTGTGTTTGGAAACTGCGCCATCTAAAGGAATGTTCAGCTCTGTTAGTTCAATGCAATGATCACTAAGAATTGTCTGTGAATGCTTCCGTTTGGTTTTTAGATGAAGTTATTTCCTTTACTACAGTAGGCCTCAAAGCAGTCCAAATCTCCAATCGCAGATTCTACAAAAAGATTGTTTACAACCTGCTCTATCTATAGGAATGTTCAACTCTGTGAGTCGAATGCAATCATCACAAAGTAGTTTCTGAGAATGCTTCCATCTAGTTTTTATGTGAAGATTTTCCTTTTCCACCACAGGCCTCAAAGCCCTCCAAATGTCCACTTGCAGATTCTAGAAAAAGAGGGTTTCAGAGCTGCTCTGTCAAGAGGAAAGTTCAATTCTTGAAGTGGAACACAAACATCACAAAGCAGTTTCTGAGAATGCTTCTGTTTAGTTTTTCTGTGAAGATGAACCCGTTTCCAACGAAATCTTCACAGAGGTCCACATATCCACTTGCAGAATCCAAAGAAAGAGAGTTTCAAAACTGCTCCATCAGCAGGATTGTTCACCTCTGTGAGTTGAATGCAGTCATCACAGGAAACATTCTGAGAATGCTTCTGTCTAGATTTGATGTGAAGATATACCCGTTTCGAAGGAAGGCCACAAAGTGGTCCAAATATCCACTTGCAGATTCTACAAAAAGAGGGTTTGAAAGCTGAACTATGAAAGCAAGGTTCAACTCTGTGAGTTGAATGCAAACATCACAAAGAAGTTTCTCAGAATGCTTCCGTGTAGTTCTGGGAAAGTTATCCCGTTTCCAACGAAATCCTCAGAGAAGTCCAAATATCCACTTGCAGATTCTACAGAAAGTGTGTTTGGAAACTGCGCCATCTAAAGGAATGTTCAGCTCTGTTAGTTCAATCCAATGATCACTAAGAATTGTCTGTGAATGCTTCCGTTTGGTTTTTAGATGAAGTTATTTCCTTTACTACAGTAGGCCTCAAAGCAGTCCAAATCTCCAATCGCAGATTCTACAAAAAGATTGTTTACAACCTGCTCTATCTATAGGAATGTTCAACTCTGTGAGTCGAATGCAATCATCACAAAGTAGTTTCTGAGAATGCTTCCATCTAGTTTTTATGTGAAGATTTTCCTTTTCCACCACAGGCCTCAAAGCCCTCCAAATGTCCACTTGCAGATTCTAGAAAAAGAGGGTTTCAGAGCTGCTCTGTCAAGAGGAAAGTTCAATTCTTGAAGTGGAACACAAACATCACAAAGCAGTTTCTGAGAATGTTCCTGTTTAGTTTTTCTGTGAAGATGAACCCGTTTCCAACGAAATCTTCACAGAGGTCCACATATCCACTTGCAGAATCCAAAGAAAGAGAGTTTCAAAACTGCTCCATCAACAGGATTGTTCACCTCTGTGAGTTGAATGCAGTCATCACAGGAAACATTCTGAGAATGCTTCTGTCTAGGTTTGATATGAAGATATACCCGTTTCGAAGCAAGGCCACAAAGTGGTCCAAATATCCACTTGCAGATTCTACAAAAAGAGTGTTTGAAAGCTGAACTATGAACGCAAGGTTCAACGCTGTGAGTTGAACGCAAACATCACAAGAAGTTTCTCAGAATGCTTCCGTGTAGTTCTGGGAAGTTTATCCCGTTTCCAACGAAATCCTCAGAGAAGTCCAAATATCCACTTGCAGTTTCTACAGAAAGTGTGTTTGGAAACTGCTCCATCTAAAGGAATGTTCAGCTCTGTTAGTTCAATCCAATGATCACTAAGAATTGTCTGTGAATGCTTCCGTTTTGTTTTTAGATGAAGTTATTTCCTTTACTACAGTAGGCCTCAAAGCAGTCCAAATCTCCAATCGCAGATTCTACAAAAAGATTGTTTACAACCTGCTCTATCTATAGGAATGTTCAACTCTGTGAGTCGAATGCAATCATCACAAAGTAGTTTCTGAGAATGCTTCCATCTAGTTTTTATGTGAAGATTTTCCTTTTCCACCACAGGCCTCAAAGCCCTCCAAATGTCCACTTGCAGATTCTAGAAAAAGAGGGTTTCAGAGCTGCTCTGTCAAGAGGAAAGTTCAATTCCTGAAGTGGAACACAAACATCACAAAGCAGTTTCTGAGAATGCTCCTGTTTAGTTTTTCTGTGAAGATGAACCCGTTTCCAACGAAATCTTCAAAGAGTTCCACATATCCACTTGCAGAATCCAAAGAAAGGGAGTTTCAAAACTGCTCCATCAACAGGATTGTTCACCTCTGTGAGTTGAATGCAGTCATCACAGGAAACATTCTGAGAATGCTTCTGTCTAGGTTTGATGTGAAGATATACCCGTTTCGAAGGAAGGCCACAAAGTGGTCCAAATATCCACTTGCAGATTCTACAAAAAGAGTGTTTGAAAGCTGAACTATGAAAGCAAGGTTCAACTCTGTGAGTTGAATGCAAACATCACAAAGAAGTTTCTCACAATGCTTCCCTGTAGTTCTGGGAAGTTTATCCCGTTTCCAACGAAATCCTCAGAGAGGTCCAAATATCCACTTGCAGATTCTACAGAAAGTGTGTTTGGAAACTGCGCCATCTAAAGGAATGTTCAGCTCTGTTAGTTCAATGCAATGATCACTAAGAATTGTCTGTGAATGCTTCCGTTTGGTTTTTAGATGAAGTTATTTCCTTTACTACAGTAGGCCTCAAAGCAGTCCAAACCTCCAATCGCAGATTCTACAAAAAGATTGTTTACAACCTGCTCTATCTATAGGAATGTTCAACTCTGTGAGTCGAATGCAATCATCACAAAGTAGTTTCTGAGAATGCTTCCATCTAGTTTGTATGTGAAGATTTTCCTTTTCCACCACAGGCCTCAAAGCCCTCCAAATGTCCACTTGCAGATTCTAGAATAAGAGGGTTTCAGAGCTGCTCTGTCAAGAGGAAAGTTCAATTCCTGAAGTGGAACACAAACATCACAAAGCAGTTTCTGAGAATGCTTCTGTTTAGTTTTTCTGTGAAGATGAACCCGTTTCCAACGAAATCTTCACAGAGGTCCACATATCCACTTGCAGAATCCAAAGAAAGAGAGTTTCAAAACTGCTCCATCAGCAGGATTGTTCACCTCTGTGAGTTGAATGCAGTCATCACAGGAAACATTCTGAGAATGCTTCTGTCTAGGTTTGATGTGAAGATATACCCGTTTCGAAGGAAGGCCACAAAGTGGTCCAAATATCCACTTGCAGATTCTACAAAAAGAGTGTTTGAAAGCTGAACTATGAAAGCAAGGTTCAACTCTGTGAGTTGAATGCAAACATCAGAAAGATGATTCTCACAATGCTTCCGTGTAGTTCTGGGAAGTTTATCCCGTTTCCAACGAAATCCGCAGAGAAGTCCAAATATCCACTTGCAGATTCTGCAGAAAGTGTGTTTGGAAACTGCTCCATCTAAAGGAATGTTCAGCTCTGTTAGTTCAATCCAATGATCACTAAGAATTGTCTGTGAATGCTTCCGTTTGGTTTTTAGATGAAGTTATTTCCTTTACTACAGTAGGCCTCAAAGCAGTCCAAATCTCCAATCGCAGATTCTACAAAAACATTGTTTACAACCTGCTCTATCTATAGTAATGTTCAACTCTGTGAGTCGAATGCAATCATCACAAAGTAGTTTCTGAGAATGCTTCCATCTAGTTTTTATGGGAAGATTTTCCTTTTCCACCACAGGCCTCAAAGCCCTCCAAATGTCCACTTGCAGATTCTAGAAAAAGAGGGTTTCAGAGCTGCTCTGTCAAGAGGAAAGTTCAATTCTTGAAGTGGAACACAAACATCACAAAGCAGTTTCTGAGAATGCTTCTGTTTAGTTTTTCTGTGAAGATGAACCCTTTTCCAACGAAATCTTCACAGAGGTCCACATATCCACTTGCAGAATCCAAAGAAAGAGAGATTCAAAACTGCTCCATCAACAGGATTGTTCACCTCTGTGAGTTGAATGCAGTCATCACATGAAACATTCTGAGAATGCTTCTGTCTAAGTTTGATGTGAAGATATACCCGTTTCGAAGGAAGGCCACAAAGTGGTCCAAATATCCACTTGCAGATTCTACAAAAAGAGTGTTTGAAAGCTGAACTATGAAAGCAAGGTTCAACTCTGTGAGTTGAATGCAAACATCACAAAGAAGTTTCTCAGAATGCTTCCGTGTAGTTCTGGGAAGTTTATTCCGTTTCCAACGAAATCCTCAGAGAGGTCCAAATATCCACTTGCAGATTCTACAGAAAGTGTGTTTGGAAACTGCGCCATCTAAAGGAATGTTCAGCTCTGTTAGTTCAATCCAATGATCACTAAGAATTGTCTGTGAATGCTTCCGTTTGGTTTTTAGATGAAGTTATTTCCTTTACTACAGTAGGCCTCAAAGCAGTCCAAATTTCCAATCGCAGATTCTACAAAAAGATTGTTTACGACCTGCTCTATCTGTAGGAAAGTTCAACTCTGTGAGTCGAACGCAATCATCACAAAGGAGTTTATGAGAATGCTTCCATCTAGTTTTTATGTGAAGATTTTCCTTTTCCACCACAGGCCTCAAAGCCCTCCAAATGTCCACTTGCAGATTCTAGAAAAAGAGGGTTTCAGAGCTGCTCTGTCAAGAGGAAAGTTCAATTCTTGAAGTGGAACACAAACATCACAAAGCAGTTTCTGAGAATGCTCCTGTTTAGTTTTTCTGTGAAGATGAACCCGTTTCCAACGAAATCTTCACAGAGGTCCACATATCCACTTGCAGAATCCAAAGAAAGAGAGTTTCAAAACTGCTCCATCAGCAGGATTGTTCACCTCTGTGAGTTGAATGCAGTCATCACAGGAAACATTCTGAGAATGCTTCTGTCTAGGTTTGATGTGAAGATATACCCGTTTCAAAGGAAGGCCACAAAGTGGTCCAAATATCCACTTGCAGATTCTACAAAAAGAGTGTTTGAAAGCTGAACTATGAAAGCAAGGTTCAACTCTGTGAGTTGAATGCAAACATCACAAAGAAGTTTCTCACAATGCTTCCTTGTAGTTCTGGGAAGTTTATCCCGTTTCCAACGAAATCCTCAGAGAAGTCCAAATATCCACTTGCAGATTCTACAGAAAGTGGGTTTGGAAACTGCTCCATCTAAAGGAATGTTCAGCTCTGTTAGTTCAAAGCAATGATCACTAAGAATTGTTTGTGAATGCTTCCGTTTGATTTTTAGATGAAGTTATTTCCTTTACTACAGTAGGCCTCAAAGCAGTCCAAATCTCCAATCGCAGATTCTACAAAAAGATTGTTTACAACCTGCTCTATCTATAGGAATGTTCAACTCTGTGAGTCGAATGCAATCATCACAAAGTAGTTTCTTAGAATGCTTCCATCTAGTTTTTATGTGAAGATTTTCCTTTTCCACCACAGGCCTCAAAGCCCTCCAAATGTCCACTTGCAGATTCTAGAATAAGAGGGTTTCAGAGCTGCTCTGTCAAGAGGAAAGTTCAATTCCTGAAGTGGAACACAAACATCACAAAGCAGTTTCTGAGAATGCTCCTGTTTAGTTTTTCTGTGAAGATGAACCCGTTTCCAACGAAATCTTCACAGAGGTCCAAATATCCACTTGGAGAATCCAAAGAAAGAGAGTTTCAACACTGCTCCATCAGCAGGATTGTTCACCTCTGTAAGTTGAATGCAGTCATCACAGGAAACATTCTGAGAATGCTTCTGTCTAGGTTTGATGTGAAGATATACCCGTTTCGAAGGAAGGCCACAAAGTGGTCCCAATATCCACTTGCAGATTCTACAAAAAGAGTGTTTGAAAGCTGAACTATGAAAGCAAGGTTCAACTCTGTGAGTTGAATGCAAACATCCAAAGAAGTTTCTCACAATGCTTCCGTGTAGTTCTGGGAAGTTTATCCCGTTTCCAACGAAATCCTCAGAGAGGTCCAAATATCCACTTGCAGATTCTACAGAAAGTGTGTTTGGAAACTGCTCCATCTAAAGGAATGTTCAGCTCTGTTAGTTCAATGCAATGATCACTAAGAATTGTCTGTGAATGCTTCCGTTTGGTTTTTAGATGAAGTTATTTCCTTTACTACAGTAGGCCTCAAAGCAGTCCAAATCTCCAATCGCAGATTCTACAAAAAGATTGTTTACAACCTGCTCTATCTATAGGAATGTTCAACTCTGTGAGTCGAATGCAATCATCACAAAGTAGTTTCTGAGAATGCTTCCATCTAGTTTTTATGTGAAGATTTTCCTTTTCCACCACAGGCCTCAAAGCCCTCCAAATGTCCACTTGCAGATTCTAGAATAAGAGGGTTTCAGAGCTGCTCTGTCAAGAGGAAAGTTCAATTCCTGAAGTGGAACACAAACATCACAAAGCAGTTTCTGAGAATGCTTCTGTTTAGTTTTTCTGTGAAGATGAACCCGTTTCCAACGAAATCTTCACAGAGGTCCACATATCAACTTGCAGAATCCAAAGAAAGAGAGTTTCAAAAGTGCTCCATCAACAGGATTGTTCACCTCTGTGAGTTGAATGCAGTCATCACAGGAAACATTCTGAGAATGCTTCTGTCTAGGTTTGATGTGAAGATATACCCGTTTCGAAGGAAGGCCACAAAGTGGTCCAAATATCCACTTGCAGATTCTACAAAAAGAGTGTTTGAAAGCTGAACTATGAAAGCAAGGTTCAACTCTGTGAGTTGAATGCAAACATCACAAAGAAGTTTCTCAGCATGCTTCCGTGTAGTTCTGGGAAGTTTATCCCGTTTCCAACGAAATCCTCAGAGAGGTCCAAATATCCACTTGCAGATTCTACAGAAAGTGTGTTTGGAAACTGCGCCATCTAAAGCAATGTTCAGCTCTGTTAGTTCAATGCAATGATCACTAAGAATTGTCTGTGAATGCTTCCGTTTGGTTTTTAGATGAAGTTATTTCCTTTACTACAGTAGGCCTCAAAGCAGTCCAAATCTCCAATCGCAGATTCTACAAAAAGATTGTTTACAACCTGCTCTATCTATAGGAATGTTCAACTCTGTGAGTCGAATGCAATCATCACAAAGTAGTTTCTGAGAATGCTTCCATCTAGTTCTTATGTGAAGATTTTCCTTTTCCACCACAGGCCTCAAAGCCCTGCAAATGTCCACTTGCAGATTCTAGAAAAAGAGGGTTTCAGAGCTGCTCTGTCAAGAGGAAAGTTCAATTCTTGAAGTGGAACACAAACATCACAAAGCAGTTTCTGAGAATGCTCCTGTTTAGTTTTTCTGTGAAGATGAACCCGTTTCCAACGAAATCTTCACAGAGGTCCACATATCCACTTGCAGAATCCAAAGAAAGAGAGTTTCAAAACTGCTCCATCAACAGGATTGTTCACCTCTGTGAGTTGAATGCAGTCATCACAGGAAACATTCTGAGAATGCTTCTGTCTAGGTTTGATGTGAAGATATACCCGTTTCGAAGGAAGGCCACAAAGTGGTCCAAATATCTACTTGCAGATTCTACAAAAAGAGTGTTTGAAAGCTGAACTATGAAAGCAAGGTTCAACTCTCTGAGTTGAATGCAAACATCACAAAGAAGTTTCTCAGAATACTTCCGTGTAGTTCTGGGAAGTTTATCCCGTTTCCAACGAAATCCTCAGAGAGGTCCAAATATCCACTTGCAGATTCTACAGAAAGTGTGTTTGGAAACTGCTCCATCTAAAGGAATGTTCAGCTCTGTTAGTTCAATCCAATGATCACTAAGAATTGTCTGTGAATGCTTCCGTTTGGTTTTTAGATGAAGTTATTTCCTTTACTACAGTAGGCCTCAAAGCAGTCCAAATCTCCAATCGCAGATTCTACAAAAAGATTGTTTACAACCTGCTCTATCTATAGGAATGTTCAACTCTGTGAGTCGAATGCAATCATCACAAAGTAGTTTCTGAGAATGCTTCCATCTAGTTTTTATGTGAAGATTTTCCTTTTCCACCACAGGCCTCAAAGCCCTCCAAATGTCCACTTGCAGATTCTAGAAAAAGAGGGTTTCAGAGCTGCTCTGTCAAGAGGAAAGTTCAATTCTTGAAGTGGAACACAAACATCACAAAGCAGTTTCTGAGAATGCTCCTGTTTAGTTTTTCTGTGAAGATGAACCCGTTTCCAATGAAATCTTCACAGAGGTCCACATATCCACTTGCAGAATCCAAAGAAAGAGAGTTTCAAAACTGCTCCAACAGCAGGATTGTTCACCTCTGTGAGTTGAATGCAGTCATCACAGGAAACATTCTGAGAATGCTTCTGTCTAGGTTTGATGTGAAGATATACCCGTTTCGAAGGAAGGCCACAAAGTGGTCCAAATATCCACTTGCAGATTCTACAAAAAGAGTGTTTGAAAGCTGAACTATGAAAGCAAGGTTCAACTCTGTGAGTTGAATGCAAACATCACAAAGAAGTTTCTCACAATGCTTCCGTGTAGTTCTGGGAAGTTTATCCCGTTTCCAACGAAATCCTCAGAGAGGTCCAAATATCCACTTGCAGATTCTACAGAAAGTGTGTTTGGAAACTGCGCCATCTAAAGGAATGTTCAGCTCTGTTAGTTCAATCCAATGATCACTAAGAATTGTCTGTGAATGCTTCCGTTTGGTTTTTAGATGAAGTTATTTCCTTTACTACAGTAGGCCTCAAAGCAGTCCAAATCTCCAATCGCAGATTCTACAAAAGGATTGTTTACAACCTGCTCTATCTATAGGAATGTTCAACTCTGTGAGTCGAATGCAATCATCACAAAGTAGTTTCTGAGAATGCTTCTATCTAGTTATTATATGCAGATATTTACGTTTCTGCCAAAGGCCCCAAAACCCTCCAAATGTCCACTTGCAGATTCTGGAAAAACAATGTTTCATAGCTGCTCTGTCAAGAGGAAAGTTCAACTCTGCAAGTTGAACACAAACATCACAAAGTTGTTTCTGAGAATGCTTCTGTTTAGTTTTTCTGTGAAGATGAACCCGTTTCCAACGAAATCTTCACAGAGGTCCACATATCCACTTGCAGAATCCAAAGAAAGAGAGTTTCAAAACTGCTCCATCAGCAGGATTGTTCACCTCTGTGAGTTGAATGCAGTCATCACAGGAAACATTCTGAGAATGCTTCTGTCTAGGTTTGATGTGAAGATGTACCCGTTTCAAAGGAAGGCCACAAAGTGGTCCAAATATCCACTTGCAGATTCTACAAAAAGAGTGTTTGAAAGCTGAACTATGAAAGCAAGGTTCAACTCTGTGAGTTGAATGCAAACATCACAAAGAAGTTTCTCAGAATGCTTCCGTGTAGTTCTGGGAAGTTTATCCCGTTTCCAACGAAATCCTCAGAGAAGTCCAAATATCCACTTGCAGATTCTACAGAAAGTGTGTTTGGAAACTGCTCCATCTAAAGGAATGTTCAGCTGTGTTAGTTCAATGCAATGATCACTAAGAATTGTCTGTGAATGCTTCCGTTTGGTTTTTAGATGAAGTTATTTCCTTTACTACAGTAGGCCTCAAAGCAGTCGAAATCTCCAATCGCAGATTCTACAAAAAGATTGTTTACAACCTGTTCTATCTATAGGAATGTTCAACTCTGTGAGTCGAATGCAATCATCACAAAGTAGTTTCTGAGAATGCTTCCATCTAGTTTTTATGTGAAGATTTTCCTTTTCCACCACAGGCCTCAAAGCCCTCCAAATGTCCACTTGCAGATTCTAGAAAAAGAGGGTTTCAGAGCTGCTCTGTCAAGAGGAAAGTTCAATTCTTGAAGTGGAACACAAACATCACAAAGTAGTTTCTGAGAATGCTCCTGTTTAGTTTTTCTGTGAAGATGAACCCGTTTCCAACGAAATCTTCACAGAGGTCCACATATCCACTTGCAGAATCCAAAGAAAGAGAGTTTCAAAACTGCTCCATCAACAGGATTGTTCACCTCTGTGAGTTGAATGCAGTCATCACAGGAAACATTCTGAGAATGCTTCTGTCTAGGTTTGATGTGAAGATATACCCGTTTCGAAGGAAGGCCACAAAGTGGTCCAAATATCCACTTGCAGATTCTACAAAAAGAGTGTTTGAAAGCTGAACTATGAAAGCAAGGTTCAACTCTGTGAGTTGAATGCAAACATCACAAAGCAGTTTCTCACAATGCTTCCGTGTAGTTCTGGGAAGTTTATCCCGTTTCCAACGAAATCCTCAGAGAAGTCCAAATATCCACTTGCAGATTCTACAGAAAGTGTGTTTGGAAACTGCTCCATCTAAAGGAATGTTCAGCTCTGTTAGTTCAATCCAATGATCACTAAGAATTGCCTGTGAATGCTTCCGTTTGGTTTTTAGATGAAGTTATTTCCTTTACTACAGTAGGCCTCAAAGCAGTCCAAATCTCCAATCGCAGATTCTACAAAAAGATTGTTTACAACCTGATGTATCCATAGGAATATTCAACTCTGTGAGTCGAATGCAATCATCACAAAGTAGTTTCTGAGAATGCTTCCATCTAGTTTTTATGTGAAGATTTTCCTTTTCCACCACAGGCCTCAAAGCCCTCCAAATGTCCACTTGCAGATTCTAGAAAAAGAGGGTTTCAGAGCTGCTCTGTCAAGAGGAAAGTTCAATTCCTGAAGTGGAACACAAACATCACAAAGCAGTTTCTGAGAATGCTTCTGTTTAGTTTTTCTGTGAAGATGAACCCGTTTCCAACGAAATCTTCACAGAGGTCCACATATCCACTTGCAGAATCCAAAGAAAGAGAGTTTCAAAACTGCTCCATCAACAGGATTGTTCACCTCTGTGAGTTGAATGCAGTCATCACAGGAAACATTCTGAGAATGCTTCTGTCTAGGTTTGATGTGAAGATATACCCGTTTCGAAGGAAGGCCACAAAGTGGTCCAAATATCCACTTGCAGATTCTACAAAAAGAGTGTTTGAAAGCTGAACTATGAAAGCAAGGTTCAACTCTGTGAGTTGAATGCAAACATCACAAAGAAGTTTCTCAGAATGCTTCCGTGTAGTTCTGGGAAGTTTATCCCGTTTCCAACGAAATCCTCAGAGAAGTCCAAATATCCACTTGCAGATTCTACAGAAAGTGGGTTTGGAAACTGCTCCATCTAAAGGAATGTTCAGCTCTGTTAGTTCAATCCAATGATCACTAAGAATTGTCTGTGAATGCTTCCGTTTGGTTTTTAGATGAAGTTATTTCCTTTACTACAGTAGGCCTCAAAGCAGTCCAAATCTCCAATCGCAGATTCTACAAAAAGATTGTTTACAACCTGCTCTATCTATAGGAATGTTCAACTCTGTGAGTCGAATGCAATCATCACAAAGTAGTTTCTGAGAATGCTTCCATAAAGTTTTTATGTGAAGATTTTCCTTTTCCACCACAGGCCTCAAAGCCCTCCAAATGTCCACTTGCAGATTCTAGAAAAAGAGGGTTTCAGAGCTGCTCTGTCAAGAGGAAAGTTCAATTCTTTAAGTGGAACACAAACATCACAATGCAGTTTCTGAGAATGCTCCTGTTTAGTTTTTCTGTGAAGATGAACCCGTTTCCAACGAAATCTTCACAGAGGTCCACATATCCACTTGCAGAATCCAAAGAAAGAGAGTTTCAAAACTGCTCCATCAGCAGGATTGTTCACCTCTGTGAGTTGAATGCAGTCATCACAGGAAACATTCTGAGAATGCTTCTGTCTAGGTTTGATGTGAAGATATACCCGTTTCGAAGGAAGGCCACAAAGTGGTCCAAATATCCACTTGCAGATTCTATAAAAAGAGTGTTTGAAAGCTGAACTATGAAAGCAAGGTTCAACTCTGTGAGTTGAATGCAAACATCACAAAGAAGTTTCTCACAATGCTTCCGTGTAGTTCTGGGAAGTTTATCCCGTTTCCAACGAAATCCTCAGAGAGGTCCAAATATCCACTTGCAGATTCTACAGAAAGTGTGTTTGGAAACTGCGCCATCTAAAGGAATGTTCAGCTCTGTTAGTTCAATGCAATGATCACTAAGAATTGTACTGTGAATGCTTCCGTTTGGTTTTTAGATGAAGTTATTTCCTTTACTACAGTAGGCCTCAAAGCAGTCCAAATCTCCAATCGCAGATTCTACAAAAAGATTGTTTACAACCTGCTCTATCTATAGGAATGTTCAACTCTGTGAGTCGAATGCAATCATCACAAAGTAGTTTCTGAGAATGCTTCCATCTAGTTTTTATGTGAAGATTTTCCTTTTCCACCACAGGCCTCAAAGCCCTCCAAATGTCCACTTGCAGATTCTAGAATAAGAGGGTTTCAGAGCTGCTCTGTCAAGAGGAAAGTTCAATTCTTGAAGTGGAACACAAACATCACAAAGCAGTTTCAGAGAATGCTTCTGTTTAGTTTTTCTGTGAAGATGAACCCGTTTCCAACGAAATCTTCACAGAGGTCCACATATCCACTTGCAGAATCCAAAGAAAGAGAGTTTCAAAACTGCTCCATCAGCAGGATTGTTCACCTCTGTGAGTTGAATGCAGTCATCACAGGAAACATTCTGAGAATGCTTCTGTCTAGGTTTGATGTGAAGATATACCCGTTTCGAAGGAAGGCCACAAAGTGGTCCAAATATCCACTTGCAGATTCTACAAAAAGAGTGTTTGAAAGCTGAACTATGAAAGCAAGGTTCAACTCTGTGAGTTGAATGCAAACATCACAAAGAAGTTTCTCAGAATGCTTCCGTGTAGTTCTGGGAAGTTTATCCCTTTTCCAACGAAATCCTCAGATAAGTCCAAATATCCACTTGCAGATTCTACAGAAAGTGTGTTTGGAAACTGCTCCATCTAAAGGAATGTTCAGCTCTGTTAGTTCAATCCAATGATCACTAAGAATTGTCTGTGAATGCTTCCGTTTGGTTTTTAGATGAAGTTATTTCCTTTACTACAGTAGGCCTCAAAGCAGTCCAAATCTCCAATCGCAGATTCTACAAAAAGATTGTTTACAACCTGCTCTATCTATAGGAATGTTCAACTCTGTGAGTCGAATGCAATCATCACAAAGTAGTTTCTGAGAATGCTTCCATCTAGTTTTTATGTGAAGATTTTCCTTTTCCACCACAGGCCTCAAAGCCCTCCAAATGTCCACTTGCAGATTCTAGAATAAGAGGGTTTTAGAGCTGCTCTGTCAAGAGGAAAGTTCAATTCCTGAAGTGGAACACAAACATCACAAAGCAGTTTCTGAGAATGCTTCTGTTTAGTTTTTCTGTGAGATGAACCCGTTTCCAACGAAATCTTCACAGAGGTCCACATATCAACTTGCAGAATCCAAAGAAAGAGAGTTTCAAAAGTGCTCCATCAACAGGATTGTTCACCTCTGTGAGTTGAATGCAGTCATCACAGGAAACATTCTGAGAATGCTTCTGTCTAGGTTTGATGTGAAGATATACCCGTTTCGAAGGAAGGCCACAAAGTGGTCCAAATATCCACTTGCAGATTCTACAAAAAGAGTGTTTGAAAGCTGAACTATGAAAGCAAGTTTCAACTCTGTGAGTTGAATGCAAACATCACAAAGAAGTTTCTCAGCATGCTTCCGTGTAGTTCTGGGAAGTTTATCCCGTTTCCAAGGAAATCCTCAGAGAGGTCCAAATATCCACTTGCAGATTCTACAGAAAGTGTGTTTGGAAACTGCGCCATCTAAAGGAATGTCCAGCTCTGTTAGTTCAATGCAATGATCACTAAGAATTGTCTGTGAATGCTTCCGTTTGGTTTTTAGATGAAGTTATTTCCTTTACTACAGTAGGCCTCAAAGCAGTCCAAATCTCCAATCGCAGATTCTACAAAAACATTGTTTACAACCTGCTCTATCTATAGGAATGTTCAACTCTGTGAGTCGAATGCAATCATCACAAAGTAGTTTCTGAGAATGCTTCCATCTAGTTTTTATGTGAAGATTTTCCTTTTCCACCACAGGCCTCAAAGCCCTCCAAATGTCCACTTGCAGATTCTAGAATAAGAGGGTTTTAGAGCTGCTCTGTCAAGAGGAAAGTTCAATTCCTGAAGTGGAACACAAACATCACAAAGCAGTTTCTGAGAATGCTTCTGTTTAGTTTTTCTGTGAAGATGAACCCGTTTCCAACGAAATCTTCACAGAGGTCCACATATCCACTTGCAGAATCCAAAGAAAGAGAGTTTCAAAACTGCTCCATCAGCAGGATTGTTCACCTCTGTGAGTTGAATGCAGTCATCACAGGAAACATTCTGAGAATGCTTCTGTCTAGGTTTGATGTGAAGATATACCCGTTTCGAAGGAAGGCCACAAAGTGGTCCAAATATCCACTTGCAGATTCTACAAAAAGAGTGTTTGAAAGCTGAACTATGAAAGCAAGGTTCAACTCTGTGAGTTGAATGCAAACATCACAAAGAAGTTTCTCACAATGCTTCCGTGTAGTTCTGGGAAGTTTATCCCGTTTCCAACGAAATCCTCAGAGAAGTCCAAATATCCACTTGCAGATTCTACAGAAAGTGGGTTTGGAAACTGCTCCATCTAAAGGAATGTTCAGCTCTGTTAGTTCAATCCAATGATCACTAAGAATTGTCTGTGAATGCTTCCGTTTGGTTTTTAGATGAAGTTATTTCCTTTACTACAGTAGGCCTCAAAGCAGTCCAAATCTCCAATCGCAGATTCTACAAAAAGATTGTTTACAACCTGCTCTATCTATAGGAATGTTCAACTCTGTGAGTCGAATGCAATCATCACAAAGTAGTTTCTGAGAATGCTTCCATCTAGTTTTTATGTGAAGATTTTCCTTTTCCACCACAGGCCTCAAAGCCCTCCAAATGTCCACTTGCAGATTCTAGAAAAAGAGGGTTTCAGAGCTGCTCTGTCAAGAGGAAAGTTCAATTCTTGAAGTGGAACACAAACATCACAAAGTAGTTTCTGAGAATGCTTCTGTTTAGTTTTTCTGTGAAGATGAACCCGTTTCCAACGAAATCTTCACAGAGGTCCACATATCAACTTGCAGAATCCAAAGAAAGAGAGTTTCAAAACTGCTCCATCAACAGGATTGTTCACCTCTGTGAGTTGAATGCAGTCATCACAGGAAACATTCTGAGAATGCTTCTGTCTAGGTTTGATGTGAAGATATACCCGTTTCGAAGGAAGGCCACAAAGTGGTCCAAATATCCACTTGCAGATTCTACAAAAAGAGTGTTTGAAAGCTGAACTATGAAAGCAAGGTTCAACTCTGTGAGTTGAATGCAAACATCACAAAGAAGTTTCTCACAATGCTTCCGTGTAGTTCTGGGAAGTTTATCCCGTTTCCAACGAAATCCTCAGAGAAGTCCAAATATCCACTTGCAGATTCTACAGAAAGTGGGTTTGGAAACTGCTCCATCTAAAGGAATGTTCAGCTCTGTTAGTTCAATCCAATGATCACTAAGAATTGTCTGTGAATGCTTCCGTTTGGTTTTTAGATGAAGTTATTTCCTTTACTACAGTAGGCCTCAAAGCAGTCCAAATCTCCAATCGCAGATTCTACAAAAAGATTGTTTACAACCTGCTCTATCTATAGGAATGTTCAACTCTGTGAGTCGAAAGCCATCATCACAAAGTAGTTTCTGAGAATGCTTCCATATAGTTTTTATGTGAAGATTTTCCTTTTCCACCACAGGACTCATAGCCCTCCAAATGTCCACTTGCAGATTCTAGAAAAAGAGGGTTTCAGAGCTGCTCTGTCAAGAGGAAAGTTCAATTCCTGAAGTGGAACACAAACATCACAAAGCAGTTTCTGAGAATGCTTCTGTTTAGTTTTTCTGTGAAGATGAACCCGTTTCCAACGAAATCTTCACAGAGGTCCACATATCCACTTGCAGAATCCAAAGAAAGAGAGTTTCAAAACTGCTCCATCAGCAGGATTGTTCACCTCTGTGAGTTGAATGCAGTCATCACAGGAAACATTCTGAGAATGCTTCTGTCTAGGTTTGATGTGAAGATATACCCGTTTCGAAGGAAGGCCACAAAGTGGTCCAAATATCCACTTGCAGATTCTACAAAAAGAGTGTTTGAAAGCTGAACTATGAAAGCAAGGTTCAACTCTGTGAGTTGAATGCAAACATCACAAAGAAGTTTCTCACAATGCTTCCGTGTAGTTCTGGGAAGTTTATCCCGTTTCCAACGAAATCCTCAGAGAAGTCCAAATATCCACTTGCAGATTCTACAGAAAGTGTGTTTGGAAAATGCTCCATCTAAAGGAATGTTCACCTCTGTTAGTTCAATCCAATGATCACTAAGAATTGTACTGTGAATGCTTCCGTTTGGTTTTTAGATGAAGTTATTTCTTTTACTACAGTAGGCCTCAAAGCAGAACAAATCTCCAATCGCAGATTCTACAAAAAGATTGTTTACAACCTGCTCTATCTATAGGAATGTTCAACTCTGTGAGTCGAATGCAATCATCACAAAGTAGTTTCTGAGAATGCTTCCATCTAGTTTTTATGTGAAGATTTTCCTTTTCCACCACAGGCCTCAAAGCCCTCCAAATGTCCACTTGCAGATTCTAGAATAAGAGGGTTTCAGAGCTGCTCTGTCAAGAGGAAAGTTCAATTCCTGAAGTGGAACACAAACATCACAAAGCAGTTTCTGAGAATGCTTCTGTTTAGTTTTTCTGTGAAGATGAACCCGTTTCCAACGAAATCTTCACAGAGGTCCACATATCCACTTGCAGAATCCAAAGAAAGAGAGTTTCAAAACTGCTCCATCAGCAGGATTGTTCACCTCTGTGAGTTGAATGCAGTCATCACAGGAAACATTCTGAGAATGCTTCTGTCTAGGTTTGATGTGAAGATATACCCGTTTCGAAGGAAGGCCACAAAGTGGTCCAAATATCCACTTGCAGATTCTACAAAAAGAGTGTTTGAAAGCTGAACTATGAAAGCAAGGTTCAACTCTGTGAGTTGAATGCAAACATCACAAAGAAGTTTCTCACAATGCTTCCGTGTAGTTCTGGGAAGTTTATCCCGTTTCCAACAAAATCCTCAGAGAGGTCCAAATATCCACTTGCAGATTCTACAGAAAGTGTGTTTGGAAACTGCGCCATCTAAAGGAATGTTCAGCTCTGTTAGTTCAATCCAATGATCACCAAGAATTGTCTGTGAATGCTTCCGTTTGGTTTTTAGATGAAGTTATTTCCTTTACTACAGTAGGCCTCAAAGCAGTCCAAATCTCCAATCGCAGATTCTACAAAAAGATTGTTTACAACCTGCTCTATCTATAGGAATGTTCAACTCTGTGAGTCGAATGCAATCATCACAAAGTAGTTTCTGAGAATGCTTCCATCTAGTTTTTATGTGAAGATTTTCCTTTTCCACCACAGGCCTCAAAGCCCTCCAAATGTCCACTTGCAGATTCTAGAATAAGAGGGTTTCAGAGCTGCTCTGTGAAGAGGAAAGTTCAATTCCTGAAGTGGAACACAAACATCACAAAGCAGTTTCTGAGAATGCTTCTGTTTAGTTTTTCTGTGAAGATGAACCCGTTTCCAACGAAATCTTCACAGAGGTCCACATATCCACTTGCAGAATCCAAAGAAAGAGAGTTTCAAAACTGCTCCATCAGCAGGATTGTTCACCTCTGTGAGTTGAATGCAGTCATCACAGGAAACATTCTGAGAATGCTTCTGTCTAGGTTTGATGTGAAGATATACCCGTTTCGAAGGAAGGCCACAAAGTGGTCCAAATATCCACTTGCAGATTCTACAAAAAGAGTGTTTGAAAGCTGAACTATGAAAGCAAGGTTCAACTCTGTGAGTTGAATGCAAACATCACAAAGAAGTTTCTCAGAATGCTTCCGTGTAGTTCTGGGAAGTTTATCCCGTTTCCAACGAAATCCTCAGAGAAGTCCAAATATCCACTTGCAGATTCTACAGAAAGTGTGTTTGGAAACTGCGCCATCTAAAGGAATGTTCAGCTCTGTTAGTTCAATGCAATGATCACTAAGAATTGTCTGTGAATGCTTCCGTTTGGTTTTTAGATGAAGTTATTTCCTTTACTACAGTAGGCCTCAAAGCAGTCCAAATCTCCAATCGCAGATTCTACAAAAAGATTGTTTACAACCTGCTCTATGTATAGGAATGTTCAACTCTGTGAGTCGAATGCAATCATCACAAAGTAGTTTCTGAGAATGCTTCCATCTAGTTTTTATGTGAAGATTTTCCTTTTCCACCACAGGCCTCAAAGCCCTCCAAATGTCCACTTGCAGATTCTAGAAAAAGAGGGTTTCAGAGCTGCTCTGTCAAGAGGAAAGTTCAATTCCTGAAGTGGAACACAAACATCACAAAGCAGTTTCTGAGAATGCTCCTGTTTAGTTTTTCTGTGAAGATGAACCCGTTTCCAACGAAATCTTCACAGAGGTCCACATATCCACCTGCAGAATCCAAAGAAAGAGAGTTTCAAAACTGCTCCATCAGCAGGATTGTTCACCTCTGTGAGTTGAATGCAGTCATCACAGGAAACATTACTGAGAATGCTTCTGTCTAGGTTTGATGTGAAGATATACCCGTTTCGAAGGAAGGCCACAAAGTGGTCCAAATATCCACTTGCAGATTCTACAAAAAGAGTGTTTGAAAGCTGAACTATGAAAGCAAGGTTCAACTCTGTGAGTTGAATGCAAACATCACAAAGAAGTTTCTCACAATTCTTCCGTGTAGTTCTGGGAAGTTTATCCCGTTTCCAAAGAAATCCTCAGAGAGGTCCAAATATCCACTTGCAGATTCTACAGAAAGTGTGTTTGGAAACTGCTCCATCTAAAGGAATGTTCAGCTCTGTTAGTTCAATCCAATGATCACTAAGAATTGTCTGTGAATGCTTCCGTTTGGTTTTTAGATGAAGTTATTTCCTTTACTACAGTAGGCCTCAAAGCAGTCCAAATCTCCAATCGCAGATTCTACAAAAAGATTGTTTACAACCTGCTCTATCTATAGGAATGTTCAACTCTGTGAGTCGAATGCAATCATCACAAAGTAGTTTCTGAGAATGCTTCCATCTAGTTTTTATGTGAAGATTTTCCTTTTCCACCACAGGCCTCAAAGCCCTCCCAATGTCCACTTGCAGATTACAGAAAAAGAGGGTTTCAGAGCTGCTCTGTCAAGAGGAAAGTTCAATTCTTGAAGTGGAACACAAACATCACAAAGCAGTTTCTGAGAATGCTCCTGTTTAGTTTTTCTGTGAAGATGAACCCGTTTCCAATGAAATCTTCACAGAGGTCCACATATCCACTTGCAGAATCCAAAGAAAGAGAGTTTCAAAACTGCTCCAACAGCAGGATTGTTCACCTCTGTGAGTTGAATGCAGTCATCACAGGAAACATTCTGAGAATGCTTCTGTCTAGGTTTGATGTGAAGATATACCCGTTTCGAAGGAAGGCCACAAAGTGGTCCAAATATCCACTTGCAGATTCTACAAAAAGAGTGTTTGAAAGCTGAACTATGAAAGCAAGGTTCAACTCTGTGAGTTGAATGCAAACATCACAAAGAAGTTTCTCACAATGCTTCCGTGTAGTTCTGGGAAGTTTATCCCGTTTCCAACGAAATCCTCAGAGAAGTCCAAATATCCACTTGCAGATCCTACAGAAAGTGTGTTTGGAAAATGCTCCATCTAAAGGAATGTTCAGCTCTGTTAGTTCAATTCAATGATCACTAAGAATTGTCTGTGAATGCTTCCGTTTGGTTTTTAGATGAAGTTATTTCCTTTACTACAGTAGGCCTCAAAGCAGTCCAAATCTCCAATCGCAGATTCTACAAAAAGATTGTTTACAACCTGCTCTATCTATAGGAATGTTCAACTCTGTGAGTCGAATGCAATCATCACAAAGTAGTTTCTGAGAATGCTTCCATCTGGTTTTTATGTGAAGATTTTCCTTTTCCACCACAGGCCTCAAAGCCCTCCCAATGTCCACTTGCAGATTCTAGAATAAGAGGGTTTCAGAGCTGCTCTGTCAAGAGGAAAGTTCAATTCCTGAAGTGGAACACAAACATCACAAAGCAGTTTCTGAGAATGCTTCTGTTTAGTTTTTCTGTGAAGATGAACCCGTTTCCAACGAAATCTTCACAGAGGTCCACATATCCACTTGCAGAATCCAAAGAAAGAGAGTTTCAAAACTGCTCCATCAGCAGGATTGTTCACCTCTGTGAGTTGAATGCAGTCATCACAGGAAACATTCTGAGAATGCTTCTGTCTAGGTTTGATGTGAAGATATACCCGTTTCGAAGGAAGGCCACAAAGTGGTCCAAATATCCACTTGCAGATTCTACAAAAAGAGTGTTTGAAAGCTGAACTATGAAAGCAAGGTTCAACTCTGTGAGTTGAATGCAAACATCACAAAGAAGTTTCTCACAATGCTTCCGTGTAGTTCTGGGAAGTTTATCCCGTTTCCAACGAAATCCTCAGAGAAGTCCAAATATCCACTTGCAGATTCTACAGAAAGTGTGTTTGGAAAATGCTCCATCTAAAGGAATGTTCAGCTCTGTTAGTTCAATCCAATGATCACTAAGAATTGTCTGTGAATGCTTCCGTTTGGTTTTTAGATGAAGTTATTTCCTTTACTACAGTAGGCCTCAAAGCAGTCCAAATCTCCAATCGCAGATTCTACAAAAAGATTGTTTACAACCTGCTCTATCTATAGGAATGTTCAACTCTGTGAGTCGAATGCAATCATCACAAAGTAGTTTCTGAGAATGCTTCCATCTAGTTTTTATGTGAAGATTTTCCTTTTCCACCACAGGCCTCAAAGCCCTCCAAATGTCCACTTGCAGATTCTAGAAAAAGAGGGTTTCAGAGCTGCTCTTTCAAGAGGAAAGTTCAATTCCTGAAGTGGAACACAAACATCACAAAGCAGTTTCTGAGAATGCTTCTGTTTAGTTTTTCTGTGAAGATGAACCCGTTTCCAACGAAATCTTCACAGAGGTCCACATATCCACTTGCAGAATCCAAAGAAAGAGAGTTTCAAAACTGCTCCATCAGCAGGATTGTTCACCTCTGTGAGTTGAATGCAGTCATCACAGGAAACATTCTGAGAATGCTTCTGTCTAGGTTTGATGTGAAGATATACCCTTTTCAAAGGAAGGCCACAAAGTGGTCCAAATATCCACTTGCAGATTCTACAAAAAGAGTGTTTGAAAGCTGAACTATGAAAGCAAGGTTCAACTCTGTGAGTTGAATGCAAACATCACAAAGAAGTTTCTCACAATGCTTCCGTGTAGTTCTGGGAAGTTTAACCCGTTTCCAACGAAATCCTCAGAGAGGTCCAAATATCCACTTGCAGATTCTACAGAAAGTGTGTTTGGAAACTGCGCCATCTAAAGGAATGTTCAGCTCTGTTAGTTCAATGCAATGATCACTAAGAATTGTCTGTGAATGCTTCCGTTTGGTTTTTAGATGAAGTTATTTCCTTTACTACAGTAGGCCTCAAAGCAGTCCAAATCTCCAATCGCAGATTCTACAAAAAGATTGTTTACAACCTGCTCTATCTATAGGAATGTTCAACTCTGTGAGTCGAATGCAATCATCACAAAGTAGTTTCTGAGAATGCTTCCATCTAGTTTGTATGTGAAGATTTTCCTTTTCCACCACAGGCCTCAAAGCCCTTCAAATGTCCCCTTGCAGATTCTAGTATAAGAGGGTTTCAGAGCTGCTCTGTCAAGAGGAAAGTTCAATTCCTGAAGTGGAACACAAACATCACAAAGCAGTTTCTGAGAATGCTCCTGTTTAGTTTTTCTGTGAAGATGAACCCGTTTCCAACGAAATCTTCACAGAGGTCCACATATCCACTTGCAGAATCCAAAGAAAGAGAGTTTCAACACTGCTCCATCAGCAGGATTGTTCACCTCTGTGAGTTGAATGCAGTCATCACAGGAAACATTCTGAGAATGCTTCTGTCTAGGTTTGATGTGAAGATATACCCGTTTCGAAGGAAGGCCACAAAGTGGTCCAAATATCCACTTGCAGATTCTACAAAAAGAGTGTTTGAAAGCTGAACTATGAAAGCAAGGTTCAACTCTGTGAGTTGAATGCAAACATCACAAAGAAGTTTCTCAGCATGCTTCCGTGTAGTTCTGGGAAGTTTATCCCGTTTCCAACGAAATCCTCAGAGAAGTCCAAATATCCACTTGCAGATTCTACAGAAAGTGTGTTTGGAAACTGCGCCATCTAAAGGAATGTTCAGCTCTGTTAGTTCAATGCAATGATCACTAAGAATTGTCTGTGAATGCTTCCGTTTGGTTTTTAGATGAAGTTATTTCCTTTACTACAGTAGGCCTCAAAGCAGTCCAAATCTCCAATCGCAGATTCTACAAAAAGATTGTTTACAACCTGCTCTATATATAGGAATGTTCAACTCTGTGAGTCGAATGCAATCATCACAGAGTAGTTTCTGAGAATGCTTCTATCTAGGTTTTATGTGAAGATATTTCCTTTTCCACTGAAGGCCTCCAAGCCCTCCAAATATCCACTTGCAGATTCTAGAAAAAGAGGGTTTCAGAGCTGCTCTGTCAAGAGGAAATTTCAATTCTTGAAATGGAACACAAACATCACAAAGCAGTTTCTGAGAATGCTTCTGTTTAGTTTTTCTGTGAAGATGAACCCGTTTCCAACGAAATCTTCACAGAGGTCCACATATCCACTTGCAGAATCCAAAGAAAGAGAGTTTCAAAACTGCTCCATCAGCAGGATTGTTCACCTCTGTGAGTTGAATGCAGTCATCGCAGGAAACATTCTGAGAATGCTTCTGTCTAGGTTTGATGTGAAGATATACCCGTTTCGAAGGAAGGCCACAAAGTGGTCCAAATATCCACTTGCAGATTCTACAAAAAGAGTGTTTGAAAGCTGAACTATGAAAGCAAGGTTCAACTCTGTGAGTTGAATGCAAACATCACAAAGAAGTTTCTCACAATGCTTCCGTGTAGTTCTGGGAAATTTATCCCGTTTCCAACGAAATCCTCAGAGAGGTCCAAATATCCACTTGCAGATTCCACAGAAAGTGGGTTTTTAAACTGCCCCATCTAAAGGAATGTTCAGCTCTGTTAGTTCAATCCAATGATCACTAAGAATTGTCTGTGAATGCTTCCATTTTGGTTTTTAGATGAAGTTATTTCCTTTACTACAGTAGGCCTCAAAGCAGTCCAAATCTCCAATCGCAGATTCTACAAAAAGATTGTTTACAACCTGCTCTATCTATAGGAATGTTCAACTCTGTGAGTCGAATGCAATCATCACAAAGTAGTTTCTGAGAATGCTTCCATCTAGTTCTTATGTGAAGATTTTCCTTTTGCACCACAGGCCTCAAAGCCCTCCAAATGTCCACTTGCAGATTCTAGAAAAAGAGGGTTTCAGAGCTGCTCTGTCAAGAGGAAAGTTCAATTCTTGAGGTGGAACACAAACATCACAAAGCAGTTTCTGAGAATGCTCCTGTTTAGTTTTTCTGTGAAGATGAACCCGTTTCCAATGAAATCTTCACAGAGGTCCACATATCCACTTGCAGAATCCAAAGAAAGAGAGTTTCAAAACTGCTCCAACAGCAGGATTGTTCACCTCTGTGAGTTGAATGCAGTCATCACAGGAAACATTCTGAGAATGCTTCTGTCTAGGTTTGATGTGAAGATATACCCGTTTCGAAGGAAGGCCACAAAGTGGTCCAAATATCCACTTGCAGATTCTACAAAAAGAGTGTTTGAAAGCTGAACTATGAAAGCAAGGTTCAACTCTGTGAGTTGAATGCAAACATCACAAAGAAGTTTCTCACAATGCTTCCGTGTAGTTCTGGGAAGTTTATCCCGTTTCCAACGAAATCCTCAGAGAGGTCCAAATATCCACTTGCAGATTCTACAGAAAGTGTGTTTGGAAACTGCGCCATCTAAAGGAATGTTCAGCTCTGTTAGTTCAATCCAATGATCACTAAGAATTGTCTGTGAATGCTTCCGTTTGGTTTTTAGATGAAGTTATTTCCTTTACTACAGTAGGCCTCAAAGCAGTCCAAATCTCCAATCGCAGATTCTACAAAAAGATTGTTTACAACCTGCTCTATCTATAGGAATGTTCAACTCTGTGAGTCGAATGCAATCATCACAAAGTAGTTTCTGAGAATGCTTCCATCTAATTTTTATGTGAAGTTTTTCCTTTTCCACCACAGGCCTCAAAGCCCTCCAAATGTCCACTTGCAGATTCTAGAAAAAGAGGGTTTCAGAGCTGCTCTGTCAAGAGGAAAGTTCAATTCTTGAAGTGGAACACAAACATCACAAAGCAGTTTCTGAGAATGCTCCTGTTTAGTTTTTCTGTGAAGATGAAGCCGTTTCCAACGAAATCTTCACAGAGGTCCACATATCCACTTGCAGAATCCAAAGAAAGAGAGTTTCAAAACTGCTCCATCAGAAGGATTATTCACCTCTGTGAGTTGAATGCAGTCATCACAGGAAACATTCTGAGAATGCTTCTGTCTAGGTTTGATGTGAAGATATACCCGTTTCGAAGGAAGGCCACAAAGTGGTCCAAATATCCACTTGCAGATTCTACAAAAAGAGTGTTTGAAAGCTGAACTATGAAAGCAAGGTTCAACTCTGTGAGTTGAATGCAAACATCACAAAGAAGTTTCTCACAATGCTTCCGTGTAGTTCTGGGAAGTTTATCCCGTTTCCAACGAAATCCTCAGAGTAGTCCAAATATCCACTTGCAGATTCTGCAGAAAGTGTGTTTGGAAACTGCGCCATCTAAAGGAATGTTCAGCTCTGTTTGTTCAATCCAATGATCACTAAGAATTGTCTGTGAATGCTTCCGTTTGGTTTTTAGATGAAGTTATTTCCTTTACTACAGTAGGCCTCAAAGCAGTCCAAATCTCCAATCGCAGATTCTACAAAAAGATTGTTTACAACCTGCTCTATCTATAGGAATGTTCAACTCTGTGAGTCGAATGCAATCATCACAAAGTAGTTTCTGAGAATGCTTCCATCTAGTTTTTATGTGAAGATTTTCCTTTTCCACCACAGGCCTCAAAGCCCTCCAAATGTCCACTTGCAGATTCTAGAATAAGAGGGTTTCAGAGCTGCTCTGTCAAGAGGAAAGTTCAATTCCTGAAGTGGAACACAAACATCACAAAGCAGTTTCTGAGAATGCTTCTGTTTAGTTTTTCTGTGAAGATGAACCCGTTTCCAACGAAATCTTCACAGAGGTCCACATATCAACTTGCAGAATCCAAAGAAAGAGAGTTTCAAAAGTGCTTCATCAACAGGATTGTTCACCTCTGTGAGTTGAATGCAGTCATCACAGGAAACATTCTGAGAATGCTTCTGTCTAGGTTTGATGTGAAGATATACCCGTTTCGAAGGAAGGCCACAAAGTGGTCCAAATATCCACTTGCAGATTCTACAAAAAGAGTGTTTGAAAGCTGAACTATGAAAGCAAGGTTCAACTCTGTGAGTTGAATGCAAACATCACAAAGAAGTTTCTCAGCATGCTTCCGTGTAGTTCTGGGAAGTTTAGCCCGTTTCCAACGAAAACCTCAGAGAGGTCCAAATATCCAGTGGCAGATTCTACAGAAAGTGTGTTTGGAAACTGCGCCATCTAAAGGAATGTTCAGCTCTGTTAGTTCAATCCAATGATCACTAAGAATTGTCTGTGAATGCTTCCGTTTGGTTTTTAGATGAAGTTATTTCCTTTACTGCAGTAGGCCTCAAAGCATTCCAAATCTCGAATCGCAGATTCTACAAAAAGATTGTTTACAACCTGCTCTATCTATAGGAATGTTCAACTCTGTGAGTCGAATGCAATCATCACAAAGTAGTTTCTGAGAATGCTTCCATCTAATTTTTATGTGAAGATTTTCCTTTTCCACCACAGGCCTAAAAGCCCTCCAAATGTCCACTTGCAGATTCTAGAAAAAGAGGGTTTCAGAGCTGCTCTGTCAAGAGGAAAGTTCAATTCCTGAAGTGGAACACAAACATCACAAAGCAGTTTCTGAGAATGCTCCTGTTTAGTTTTTCTGTGAAGATGAACCCGTTTCCAACGAAATCTTCACAGAGGTCCACATATCCACTTGCAGAATCCAAAGAAAGAGAGTTTCAAAACTGCTCCATCAGCAGGATTGTTCACCTCTGTGAGTTGAATGCAGTCATCACAGGAAACATTCTGAGAATGCTTCTGTCTAGGTTTGATGTGAAGATATACCCGTTTGGAAGGAAGGCCACAAAGTGGTCCAAATATCCACTTGCAGATTCTACAAAAAGAGTGATTGAAAGCTGAACTATGAAAGCAAATTTCAACTCTGTGAGTTGAATGCAAACATCACAAAGAAGTTTCTCAGAATGCTTCCGTGTAGTTCTGGGAAGTTTATCCCGTTTCCAACGAAATCCTCAGAGAGGTCCAAATATCCACTTGCAGATTCTACAGAAAGTGGGTTTGGAAACTGCTCCATCTAAAGGAATGTTCAGCTCTGTTAGTTGAATCCAATGATCACTAAGAATTGTCTGTGAATGCTTCCGTTTGGTTTTTAGATGAAGTTATTTCCTTTACTACAGTAGGCCTCAAAGCAGTCCAAATCTCCAATCGCAGATTCTACAAAAAGATTGTTTACAACCTGCTCTATCTATAGGAATGTTCAACTCTGTGAGTCGAATGCAATCATCACAAAGTAGTTTCTGAGAATGCTTCCATCTAGTTTTTATGTGAAGATTTTCCTTTTCCACCACAGGCCTCAAAGCCCTCCAAATGTCCACTTGCAGATTCTAGAAAAAGAGGGTTTCAGAGCTGCTCTGTCAAGAGGAAAGTTCAATTCCTGAAGTGGAACACAAACATCACAAAGCAGTTTCTGAGAATGCTCCTGTTTAGTTTTTCTGTGAAGATGAACCCGTTTCCAACGAAATCTTCACAGAGGTCCACATATCCACTTGCAGAATTCAAAGAAAGAGAGTTTCAAAACTGCTCCATCAACAGGATTGTTCACCTCTGTGAGTTGAATGCAGTCATCACAGGAAACATTCTGAGAATGCTTCTGTCTAGGTTTGATGTGAAGATATACCCGTTTCGAAGGAAGGCCACAAAGTGGTCCAAATATCCACTTGCAGATTCTACAAAAAGAGTGTTTGAAAGCTGAACTATGAAAGCAAGGTTCAACTCTGTGAGTTGAATGCAAACATCACAAAGAAGTTTCTCACAATGCTTCCGTGTAGTTCTAGGAAGTTTAGCCCTTTTCCAACGAAATCCTCAGAGAGGTCCAAATATCCACTTGCAGATTCTACAGAAAGTGTGTTTGGAAACTGTGCCATCTAAGGGAATGTTCAGCTCTGTTAGTTCAATCCAATGATCACTAAGAATTGTCTGTGAATGCTTCCGTTTGGTTTTTAGATGAAGTTATTTCCTTTACAACAGTAGGCCTCAAAGCAGTCCAAATCTCCAATCGCAGATTCTACAAAAAGATTGTTTACAACCTGCTCTATCTATAGGAATGTTCAACTCTGTGAGTCGAATGCAATCATCACAAAGTAGTTTCTGAGAATGCTTCCATCTAGTTTTTATGTGAAGATTTTCCTTTTCCACCACAGGCCTCAAAGCCCTCCAAATGTCCACTTGCAGATTCTAGAAAAAGAGGGTTTCAGAGCTGCTCTGTCAAGAGGAAAGTTCAATTCCTGAAGTGGAACACAAACATCACAAAGCAGTTTCTGAGAATGCTCCTGTTTAGTTTTTCTGTGAAGATGAACCCGTTTCCAACGAAATCTTCACAGAGGTCCACATATCCACTTGCAGAATCCAAAGAAAGAGAGTTTCAAAACTGCTCCATCAACAGGATTGTTCACCTCTGTGAGTTGAATGCAGTCATCACAGGAAACATTCTGAGAATGCTTCTGTCTAGGTTTGATGTGAAGATATACCCGTTTCGAAGGAAGGCCACAAAGTGGTCCAAATATCCACTTGCAGATTCTACAAAAAGAGTGTTTGAAAGCTGAACTATGAAAGCAAGGTTCAACTCTGTGAGTTGAATGCAAACATCACAAAGAAGTTTCTCAGAATGCTTCCCTGTAGTTCTGGGAAGCATATCCCGTTTCCAACGAAATCCTCAGAGAAGTCCAAATATCCACTTGCAGATTCTACAGAAAGTGGGTTTGGAAACTGCTCCATCTAAAGGAATGTTCAGCTCTGTTAGTTCAATGCAATGATCACTAAGAATTTTCTGTGAATGCTTCCGTTTGGTTTTTAGATGAAGTTATTTCCTTTACTACAGTAGGCCTCAAAGCAGTCCAAATCTCCAATCGCAGATTCTACAAAAAGATTGTTTACAACCTGCTCTATCTATAGGAATGTTCAACTCTGTGAGTCGAATGCAATCATCACAAAGTAGTTTCTGAGAATGCTTCCATCTAGTTTTTATGGGAAGATTTTCCTTTTCCACCACAGGCCTCAAAGCCCTCCAAATGTCCACTTGCAGATTCTAGAAAAAGAGGGTTTCAGAGCTGCTCTGTCAAGAGGAAAGTTCAATTCTTGAAGTGGAACACAAACATCACAAAGCAGTTTCTGAGAATGCTTCTGTTTAGTTTTTCTGTGAAGATGAACCCGTTTCCAACGAAATCTTCACAGAGGTCCACATATCCACTTGCAGAATCCAAAGAAAGAGAGTTTCAAAACTGCTCCATCAACAGGATTGTTCACCTCTGTGAGTTGAATGCAGTCATCACAGGAAACATTCTGAGAATGCTTCTGTCTAGGTTTGATGTGAAGATATACCCGTTTCGAAGGAAGGCCACAAAGTGGTCCAAATATCCACTTGCAGATTCTACAAAAAGAGTGTTTGAAAGCTGAACTATGAAAGCAAGGTTCAACTCTGTGAGTTGAATGCAAACATCACAAAGAAGTTTCTCAGAATGCTTCCGTGTAGTACTGGGAAGTTTATCCCGTTTCCAACGAAATCCTCAGAGAGGACCAAATATCCACTTGCAGATTCTACAGAAAGTGTGTTTGGAAACTGCTCCATCTACAGGAATGTTCAGCTCTCTTAGTTCAATCCAATGATCACTAAGAATTGTCTGTGAATGCTTCCGTTTGGTTTTTAGATGAAGTTATTTCCTTTACTACAGTAGGCCTCAAAGCAGTCCAAATCTCCAATCGCAGATTCTACAAAAAGATTGTTTACAACCTGCTCTATCTATAGGAATGTTGAACTCTGTGAGTCGAATGCAATCATCACAAAGTAGTTTCTGAGAATGCTTCCATCTAGTTTTTATGTGAAGATTTTCCTTTTCCACCACAGGCCTCAAAGCCCTCCAAATGTCCACTTGCAGATTCTAGAATAAGAGGATTTCAGAGCTGCTCTGTCAAGAGGAAAGTTCAATTCCTGAAGTGGAACACAAACATCACAAAGCAGTTTCTGAGAATGCTTCTGTTTAGTTTTTCTGTGAAGATGAACCCGTTTCCAACGAAATCTTCACAGAGGTCCACATATCCACTTGCAGAATCCAAAGAAAGAGAGTTTCAAAACTGCTCCATCAACAGGATTGTTCACCTCTGTGAGTTGAATGCAGTCATCACAGGAAACATTCTGAGAATGCTTCTGTCTAGGTTTGATGTGAAGATATACCCGTTTCGAAGGAAGGCCACAAAGTGGTCCAAATATCCACTTGCAGATTCTACAAAAAGAGTGTTTGAAAGCTGAACTATGAAAGCAAGGTTCAACTCTGTGAGTTGAATGCAAACATCACAAAGAAGTTTCTCACAATGCTTCCGTGTAGTTCTGGGAAGTTTATCCTGCTTCCAACGAAATCCTCAGAGAAGTCCAAATATCCACTTGCAGATTCTACAGAAAGTGTGTTTGGAAACTGCTCCATCTAAAGGAATGTTCAGCTCTGTTAGTTCAATCCAATGATCACTAAGAATTGTCTGTGAATGCTTCCGTTTGGTTTTTAGATGAAGTTATTTCCTTTACTACAGTAGGCCTCAAAGCAGTCCAAATCTCCAATCGCAGATTCTACAAAAAGATTGTTTACAACCTGCTCTATCTATAGGAATGTTCAACTCTGTGAGTCGAATGCAATCATCACAAAGTAGTTTCTGAGAATGCTTCCATCTAGTTTTTATGTGAAGATTTTCCTTTTCCACCACAGGCCTCAAAGCCCTCCAAATGTCCACTTGCAGATTCTAGAATAAGAGGGTTTCAGAGCTGCTCTGTCAAGAGGAAAGTTCAATTCCTGAAGTGGAACACAAACATCACAAAGCAATTTCTGAGAATGCTTCTGTTTAGTTTTTCTGTGAAGATGAACCCGTTTCCAACGAAATCTTCACAGAGGTCCACATATCCACTTGCAGAATCCAAAGAAAGAGAGTTTCAAAACTGCTCCATCAGCAGGATTGTTCACCTCTGTGAGTTGAATGCAGTCATCACAGGAAACATTCTGAGAATGCTTCTGTCTAGGTTTGATGTGAAGATATACCCGTTTCGAAGGAAGGCCACAAAGTGGTCCAAATATCCACTTGCAGATTCTACAAAAAGAGTGTTTGAAAGCTGAACTATGAAAGCAAGGTTCAACTCTGTGAGTTGAATGCAAACATCACAAAGAAGTTTCTCACAATGCTTCCGTGTAGTTCTGGGAAGTTTATCCCATTTCCAACGAAATCCTCAGAGAGGTCCAAATATCCACTTGCAGATTCTACAGAAAGTGTGTTTGGAAACTGCTCCATCTAAAGGAATGTTCAGCTCTGTTAGTTCAATCCAATGATCTCTAAGAATTGGCTGTGAATGCTTCCGTTTGGTTTTTAGATGAAGTTATTTCCTTTACTACAGTAGGCCTCAAAGCAGTCCAAATCTCCAATCGCAGATTCTACAAAAACATTGTTTACAACCTGCTCTATCTATAGGAATGTTCAACTCTGTGAGTCGAATGCAATCATCACAAAGTAGTTTCTGAGAATGCTTCCATCTAGCTTTTATGTGAAGATTTTCCTTTTCCACCACAGGCCTCAAAGCCCTCCAAATGTCCACTTGCAGATTCTAGAAAAAGAGGGTTTCAGAGCTGCTCTGTCAAGAGGAAAGTTCAATTCTTGAAGTGGAACACAAACATCACAAAGTAGTTTCTGAGAATGTTCCTGTTTAGTTTTTCTGTGAAGATGAACCCGTTTCCAACGAAATCTTCACAGAGGTCCACATATCCACTTGCAGAATCCAAAGAAAGTGAGTTTCAAAACTGCTCCATCAGCAGGATTGTTCACCTCTGTGAGTTGAATGCAGTCATCACAGGAAATATTCTGAGAATGCTTCTGTCTAGGTTTGATGTGAAGATATACCCGTTTCGAAGGAAGGCCACAAAGTGGTCCAAATATCCACTTGCAGATTCCACAAAAAGAGTGTTTGAAAGCTGAACTATGAAAGCAAGGTTCAACTCTGTGAGTTGAATGCTAACATCACAGAGAAGTTTCTCACAATGCTTCCGTGTAGTTCTGGGAAGTTTATCCCTTTTCCAACGAAATCCTCAGAGAAGTCCAAATATCCACTTGCAGATTCTACAGAAAGTGGGTTTGGAAACTGCTCCATCTAAAGGAATGTTCAGCTCTGTTAGTTCAATGCAATGATCACTAAGAATTGTCTGTGAATGCTTCCGTTTGGTTTTTAGATGAAGTTATTTCCTTTACTACAGTAGGCCTCAAAGCAGTCCAAATCTCCAATCGCAGATTCTACAAAAAGATTGTTTACAACCTGCTCTATCTATAGGAATGTTCAACTCTGTGAGTCGAATGCAATCATCACAAAGTAGTTTCTGAGAATGCTTCCATCTAGTTTTTATGTGAAGATTTTCCTTTTCCACCACAGGCCTCAAAGCCCTCCAAATGTCCACTTGCAGATTCTAGAATAAGAGGGTTTCAGAGCTGCTCTTTCAAGAGGAAAGTTGAATTCCTGAAGTGGAACACAAACATCACAAAGCAGTTTCTGAGAATGCTTCTGTTTAGTTTTTCTGTGAAGATGAACCCGTTTCCAACGAAATCTTCACAGAGGTCCACATATCCACTTGCAGAATCCAAAGAAAGAGAGTTTCAAAACTGCTCCATCAGCAGGATTGTTCACCTCTGTGAGTTGAATGCAGTCATCACAGGAAACATTCTGAGAATGCTTCTGTCTAGGTTTGATGTGAAGATATACCCTTTTCAAAGGAAGGCCACAAAGTGGTCCAAATATCCACTTGCAGATTCTACAAAAAGAGTGTTTGAAAGCTGAACTATGAAAGCAAGGTTCAACTCTGTGAGTTGAATGCAAACATCACAAAGAAGTTTCTCACAATGCTTCCGTGTAGTTCTGGGAAATTTATCCCGTTTCCAACGAAATCCTCAGAGAGGTCCAAATATCCACTTGCAGATTCTACAGAAAGTGTGTTTGGAAACTGCTCCATCTAAAGGAACGTTCAGCTCTGTTAGTTCAATCCAATGATCACTAAGAATTGTCTGTGAATGCTTCCGTTTGGTTTTTAGATGAAGTTATTTCCTTTACTACAGTAGGCCTCAAAGCAGTCCAAATCTCCAATCGCAGATTCTACAAAAAGATTGTTTACAACCTGCTCTATCTATAGGAATGTTCAACTCTGTGAGACGAATGCAATCATCACAGAGTAGTTTCTGAGAATGCTTCCATCTAGTTTTTATGTGAAGATTTTTCTTTTCCACCACAGGCCTCAAAGCCCTCCAAATGTCCACTTGCAGATTCTAGAAAAAGAGGGTTTCAGAGCTGCTCTGTCAAGAGGAAAGTTCAATTCTTGAAGTGGAACACAAACATCACAAAGCAGTTTCTGAGAATGCTTCTGTTTAGTTTTTCTGTGAAGATGAACCCGTTTCCAACGAAATCTTCACAGAGGTCCACATATCCACTTGCAGAATCCAAAGAAAGAGAGTTTCAAAACTGCTCCATCAGCAGGATTGTTCACCTCTGTGAGTTGAATGCAGTCATCACAGGAAACATTCTGAGAATGCTTCTGTCTAGGTTTCATGTGAAGATATACCCGTTTCGAAGGAAGGCCACAAAGTGGTCCAAATATCCACTTGCAGATTCTACAAAAAGAGTGTTTGAAAGCTGAACTACGAAAGCAAGGTTCAACTCTGTGAGTTGAATGCAAACATCACAAAGAAGTTTCTCAGAATGCTTCCGTGTAGTTCTGGGAAGTTTATCCCGTTTCCAACGAAATCCTCACAGAAGTCCAAATATCCACTTGCAGATTCTACAGAAAGTGGGTTTGGAAACTGCTCCATCTAAAGGAATGTTCAGCTCTGTTAGTTTAATGCAATGATCACTAAGAATTGTCTGTGAATGCTTCCGTTTGGTTTTTAGATGAAGTTATTTCCTCTACTACAGTAGGCCTCAAAGTAGTCCAAATCTCCAATCGCAGATTCTACAAAAAGATTGTTTACAACCTGCTCTATCTATAGGAATGTTCAACTCTGTGAGTCGAATGCAATCATCGACAAAGTGAGTTTCTGAGAATGCTTCCATCTAGTTTTTATGGGAAGATTTTCCTTTTCCACCACAGGCCTCAAAGCCCTCCAAATGTCCACTTGCAGATTCTAGAAAAAGAGGGTTTCAGAGCTGCTCTGTCAAGAGGAAAGTTCAATTCTTGAAGTGGAACACAAACATCACAAAGCAGTTTCTGAGAATGCTCCTGTTTAGTTTTTCTGTGAAGATGAACCCGTTTCCAACGAAATCTTCACAGAGGTCCACATATCCACTTGCAGAATCCAAAGAAAGAGAGTTTCAAAACTGCTCCATCAGCAGGATTGTTCACCTCTGTGAGTTGAATGCAGTCATCACAGGAAACATTCTGAGAATGCTTCTGTCTAGGTTTGATGTTTAGATATACCCGTTTCGAAGGAAGGCCACAAAGTGGTCCAAATATCCACTTGCAGATCCTACAAAAAGAGTGTTTGAAAGCTGAACTATAAAAGCAAGGTTCAACTCTGTGAGTTGAATGCAAACATCACAAAGAATTTTCTCAGAATGCTTCCGTGTAGTTCTGGGAAGTTTATCCCGTTTCCAACGAAATCCTCAGAGAGGTCCAAATATCCACTTGCAGATTCTACAGAAAGTGTGTTTGGAAACTGCTCCATCTAAAGGAATGTTCAGCTCTCTTAGTTCAATCCAATGATCACTAAGAATTGTCTGTGAATGCTTCCGTTTGGTTTTTAGATGAAGTTATTTCCTTTACTACAGTAGGCCTCAAAGCAGTCCAAATCTCCAATCGCAGATTCTACAAAAAGATTGTTTACAACCTGCTCTATCTATAGGAATGTTCAACTCTGTGAGTCGAATGCAATCATCACAAAGTAGTTTCTGAGAATGCTTCCATCTAGTTTTTATGTGAAGATTTACCTTTTCCACCACAGGCCTCAAAGCCCTCCAAATGTCCACTTGCAGATTCTAGAAAAAGAGGGTTTCAGAGCTGCTCTGTCAAGAGGAAAGTTCAATTCTTGAAGTGGAACACAAACATCACAAAGCAGTTTCTGAGAATGCTCCTGTTTAGTTTTTCTGTGAAGATGAACCCGTTTCCAACGAAATCTTCACAGAGGTCCACATATCCACTTGCAGAATCCAAAGAAAGAGAGTTTCAAAACTGCTCCATCAGCAGGATTGTTCACCTCTGTGAGTTGAATGCAGTCATCACAGGAAACATTCTGAGAATGCTTCTGTCTAGGTTTGATGTGAAGATATACCCGTTTCGAAGGAAGGCCACAAAGTGGTCCAAATATCCACTTGCAGATTCTACAAAAAGAGTGTTTGAAAGCTGAACTATGAAAGCACGGTTCAACTCTGTGAGTTGAATGCAAACATCACAAACAAGTTTCTCACAATGCTTCCGTGTAGTTCTGGGAAGTTTATCCCGTTTCCAACGAAATCCTCAGAGAAGTCCAAATATCCACTTGCAGATTCTACAGAAAGTGTGTTTGGAAACTGCGCCATCTAAAGGAATGTTCAGCTCTGTTAGTTCAATGCAATGATCACTAAGAATTGTCTGTGAATGCTTCCGTTTGGTTTTTAGATGAAGTTATTTCCTTTACTACAGTAGGCCTCAAAGCAGTCCAAATCTCCAATCGCAGATTCTACAAAAAGATTGTTTACAACCTGCTCTATCTATAGGAATGTTCAACTCTGTGAGTCGAATGCAATCATCACAAAGTAGTTTCTGAGAATGCTTCCATCTAGTTTTTATGTGAAGATTTTCCTTTTCCACCACAGGCCTCAAAGCCCTCCAAATGTCCACTTGCAGATTCTAGAAAAAGAGGGTGTCAGAGCTGCTCTGTCAAGAGGAAAGTTCAATTCTTGAAGTGTAACACAAACATCACAAAGCAGTTTCTGAGAATGCTTTCTGTTTAGTTTTTCTGTGAAGATGAACCCGTTTCCAACGAAATCTTCACAGAGGTCCACATATCCACTTGCAGAATCCAAAGAAAGAGAGTTTCAAAACTGCTCCATCAACAGGATTGTTCACCTCTGTGAGTTGAATGCAGTCATCACAGGAAACATTCTGAGAATGCTTCTGTCTAGGTTTGATGTGAAGATATACCCCTTTCGAAGGAAGGCCACAAAGTGGTCCAAATATCCACTTGCAGATTCTACAAAAAGAGTGTTTGAAAGCTGAACTATGAAAGCAAGGTTCAACTCTGTGAGTTGAATGCAAACATCACAAAGAAGTTTCTCACAATGCTTCCGTGTAGTTCTGGGAAGTTTATCCCGTTTCCAACGAAATCCTCAGAGAGGTCCAAATATCCACTTGCAGATTGTACAGAAAGTGTGTTTGGAAACTGCGCCATCTAAAGGAATGTTCAGCTCTGTTAGCTCAATGCAATGATCACTAAGAATTGTCTGTGAATGCTTCCGTTTGGTTTTTAGATGAAGTGATTTCCTTTACTACAGTAGGCCTCAAAGCAGTCCAAATCTCCAATCGCAGATTCTACAAAAAGATTGTTTACAACCTGCTCTATCTATAGGAATGTTCAACTCTGTGAGTCGAATGCAATCATCACAAAGTAGTTTCTGAGAATGCTTCCATCTAGTTTTTATGTGAAGATTTTCCTTTTCCACCACAGGCCTCAAAGCCCTCCAAATGTCCACTTGCAGATTCTAGAAAAAGAGGGTTTCAGAGCTGCTCTGTCAAGAGGAAAGTTCAATTCCTGAAGTGGAACACAAACATCACAAAGCAGTTTCTGAGAATGCTTCTGTTTAGTTTTTCTGTGAAGATGAACCCGTTTCCAACGAAATCTTCACAGAGGTCCACATATCCACTTGCAGAATCCAAAGAAAGAGAGTTTCAAAACTGCTCCATCAACAGGATTGTTCACCTCTGTGAGTTGAATGCAGTCATCACAGGAAACATTCTGAGAATGCTTCTGTCTAGGTTTGATGTGAAGATATACCCGTTTCGAAGGAAGGCCACAAAGTGGTCCAAATATACACTTGCAGATTCTACAAAAAGAGTGTTTGAAAGCTGAACTATGAAAGCAAGGTTCAACTCTGTGAGTTGAATGCAAACATCACAAAGAAGTTTCCCAGAATGCTTCCGTGTAGTTCTGGGAAGTTTATCCCGTTTCCAACGAAATCCTCAGAGAGGTCCAAATATCCACTGGCAGATTCTACAGAAAGTGTGTTTGGAAACTGCGCCATCTAAAGGAATGTTCAGCTCTGTTAGTTCAATCCAATGATCACTAAGAATTGTCTGTGAATGCTTCCGTTTGGTTTTTAGATGAAGTTATTTCCTTTACTACAGTAGGCCTCAAAGCAGTCCAAATCTCCAATCGCAGATTCTACAAAAAGATTGTTTTCAACCTGCTGTATCTATAGGAATGTTCAACTCTGTGAGTCGAATGCAATCATCACAAAGTAGTTTCTGAGAATGCTTCCATCTAGTTTTTATGTGAAGATTTTCCTTTTCCACCACCGGCCTCAAAGCCCTCCAAATGTCCACTTGCAGATTCTAGAAAAAGAGGGTTTCAGAGCTGCTCTATCAAGAGGAAAGTTCAATTTCTGAAGTGGAACACAAACATCACTAAGCAGTTTCTGAGAATGCTTCTGTTTAGTTTTTCTGTGAAGATGAACCCGTTTCCAACGAAATCTTCACAGAGGTCCACATATCCACTTTCAGAATCCAAAGAAAGAGAGTTTCAAAACTGCTCCATCGCAGGATTGTTCACCTCTGTGAGTTTAATGCAGTCATCACAGGAAACATTCTGAGAATGCTTCTGTCTAGGTTTGATGTGAAGATATACCCGTTTCGAAGGAAGGCCACAAAGTGGTCCAAATATCCACTTGCAGATTCTACAAAAAGAGTGTTTGAAAGCTGAACTATGAAAGCAAGGTTCAACTCTGTGAGTTGAATGCAAACATCACAAAGAAGTTTCTCACAATGCTTCCGTGTAGTTCTGGGAAGTTTATCCCGTTTCCAACGAAATCCTCAGAGAAGTCCAAATATCCACTTGCAGATTCTACAGAAAGTGGGTTTGGAAACTGCTCCATCTAAAGGAATGTTCAGCTCTGTTAGTTCAATCCAATGATCACTAAGAATTGTCTGTGAATGCTTCCGTTTGGTTTTTAGATGAAGTTATTTCCTTTACTACAGTAGGCCTCAAAGCAGTCCAAATCTCTAATCGCAGATTCTACAAAAAGATTGTTTACAACCTGCTCTCCCTATAGGAATGTTGTACACTGTGAGTCGAATGCAATCATCACAAAGTAGTTTCTGAGAATGCTTCCATCTAGTTTTTATGTGAAGATTTTCCTTTTCCACCACAGGCCTCAAAGCCCTCCAAATGTCCACTTGCAGATTCTAGAAAAAGACGGTTTCAGAGCTGCTCTGTCAAGAGGAAAGTTCAATTCTTGAAGTGGAACACAAACATCACAAAGCAGTTTCTGAGAATGCTCCTGTTTAGTTTTTCTGTGAAGATGAACCCGTTTCCAACGAAATCTACACAGAGGTCCACATATCCACTTGCAGAATCCAAAGAAAGAGAGTTTCAAAACTGCTCCATCAGCAGGATTGTTCACCTCTGTGAGTTGAATGCAGTCATCACAGGAAACATTCTGAGAGATGCTTCTGTCTAGGTTTGATGTGAAGATATACCCGTTTCGAAGGAAGGCCACAAAGTGGTCCAAATATCCACTTGCAGATTCTACAAAAAGAGTGTTTGAAAGCTGAACTATGAAAGCAAGGTGCAACTCTGTTAGTTGAATGCAAACATCACAAAGAAGTTTCTCACAATGCTTCCCTGTAGTTCTGGGAAGTTTATCCCGTTTCCAACGAAATCCTCAGAGAAGTCCAAATATCCACTTGCAGATTCTACAGAAAGTGTGTTTGGAAACTGCTCCATCTAAAGGAATGTTCAGCTCTGTTAGTTCAATGCAATGATCACTAATAATTGTCTGTGAATGCTTCCGTTTGGTTTTTAGATGAAGTTATTTCCTTTACTACAGTAGGCCTCAAAGCAGTCCAAATCTCCAATCGCAGATTCTACAAAAAGCTTGTTTACAACCTGCTCTATCTATACGAATGTTCAACTCTGTGAGTCGAATGCAATCATCCCAAAGTAGTTTCTGAGAATGCTTCCATCTAGTTTTTATGTGAAGATTTTCCTTTTCCACCACAGGCCTCAAAGCCCTCCAAATGTCCACTTGCAGATTCTAGAATAAGAGGGTTTCAGAGCTGGTCTGTCAAGAGGAAAGTTCAATTCCCGAAGTGGAACACAAACATCACAAAGCAGTTTCTGAGAATGCTCCTGTTATTTTTTCTGTGAAGATGAACCCGTTTCCAACGAAATCTTCACAGAGGTCCACATATCCACTTGCAGAATCCAAAGAAAGAGAGTTTCAAAAGTGCTCCATCAGCAGGATTGTTCACCTCTGTGAGTTCAATGCAGTCATCACAGGAAACATTCTGAGAATGCTTCTGTCTAGGCTTGATGTGAAGATATACCCCTTTCGAAGGAAGGCCACAAAGTGGTGCAAATATCCACTTGCAGATTCTACAAAAAGAGTGTTTGAAAGCTGAACTATGAAAGCAAGGTTCAACTCTGTGAGTTGAATGCAAACATCACAAAGAAGTTTCTCAGAATGCTTCCGTGTAGTTCTGGGAAGTTTATCCCGTTTCCAACGAAATCCTCAGAGAAGTCCAAATATCCACTTGCAGATTCTACAGAAAGTGTGTTTGGAAACTGCGCCATCTAAAGGAATGTTCAGCTCTGTTAGTTCAATGCAATGATCACTAAGAATTGTCTGTGAATGCTTCCGTTTGGTTTTTAGATGAAGTTATTTCCTTTACTACAGTAGGCCTCAAAGCAGTCCAAATCTCCAATCGCAGATTCTACAAAAAGATTGTTTACAACCTGCTCTATCTATAGGAATGTTCAACTCTGTGAGTCGAATGCAATCATCACAAAGTAGTTTCTGAGAATGCTTCCATTTAGTTTTTATGTGAAGAGTTTCCTTTTCCACCACAGGCCTCAAAGCCCTCCAAATGTCCACTTGCAGATTCTAGAAAAAGAGGGTTTCAGAGCTGCTCTGTCAAGAGAAAAGTTCAATTCTTGAAGTGGAACACAAACATCACAAAGCAGTTTCCGAGAATGCTTCTGTTTAGTTTTTCTGTGAAGATGAACCCGTTTCCAACGAAATCTTCACAGAGGTCCACATATCCACTTGCAGAATCCAAAGAAAGAGAGTTTCAAAACTGCTCCATCAGCAGGATTGTTCACCTCTGTGAGTTGAATGCAGTCATCACAGGAAACATTCTGAGAATGCTTCTGTCTAGGTTTGATGTGAAGATATACCCGTTTCGAAGGAAGGCCCCAAAGTGGTCCAAATATCCACTTGCAGATTCTACAAAAAGAGTGTTTGAAAGCTGAACTATGAAAGCAAGGTTCAACTCTGTGAGTTGAATGCAAACATCACAAAGAAGTTTCTCACAATGCTTCCGTGTAGTTCTGGGAAGTTTATCCCGTTTCCAACGAAATCCTCAGAGAGGTCCAAATATCCACTTGCAGATCCTACAGAAAGTGTGTTTGGAAACTGCTCCATCTAAAGGAATGTTCAGCTCTGTTAGTTCAATCCAATGATCACTAAGAATTGTCTGTGAATGCTTCCGTTTGGTTTTTAGATGAAGTTATTTCCTTTACTACAGTAGGCCTCAAAGCAGTCCAAATCTCCAATCGCAGATTCTACAAAAAGATTGTTTACAACCTGCTCTATCTATAGGAATGTTCAACTCTGTGAGTCGAATGCAATCATCACAAAGTAGTTTCTGAGAATGCTTCCATCTAGTTTTTATGTGAAGATTTTCCTTTTCCACCACAGGCCTCAAAGCCTTCCAAATGTCCACTTGCAGATTCTAGAAAAAGAGGGTTTCAGAGCTGCTCTGTCAAGAGGAAATTTCAATTCTTGAAGTGGAACACAAACATCACAAAGCAGTTTCTGAGAATGCTTCTGTTTAGTTTTTCTGTGAAGATGAACCCGTTTCCAACGAAATCTTCACAGAGGTCCGCATATCCACTTGCAGAATCCAAAGAAAGAGAGTTTCAAAACTGCTCCATCAGACAGGATTGTTCACCTCTGTGAGTTGAATGCGGTCATCACAGGAAACATTCTGAGAATGCTTCTGTCTAGGTTTGATGTGAAGATATACCCGTTTCGAAGGAAGGCCAGAAAGTGGTCCAAATATCCACTTGCAGATTCTACAAAAAGAGTGTTTGAAAGCTGAACTATGAAAGCAAGGTTCAACTCTGTGAGTTGAATGCAAACATCACAAAGAAGTTTCTCAGAATGCTTCCGTGTAGTTCTGGGAAGTTTATCCCGTTTCCAACGAAATCCTCAGAGAGGTCCAAATATCCACTTGCAGATTCTACAGAAAGTGTGTTTGGAAACTGCGCCATCTAAAGGAATGTTCAGCTCTGTTAGTTCAATGCAATGATCACTAAGAATTGTATGTGAATGCTTCCATTTGGTTTTTAGATGAAGTTATTTCCTTTACTACAGTAGGCCTCAAAGCAGTCCAAATCTCCAATCGCAGATTCTACAAAAAGATTGTTTACAACCTGCTCTATCTATAGGAATGTTCAACTCTGTGAGTCGAATGCAATCATCACAAAGTAGTTTCTGAGAATGCTTCCATCTAGTTTTTATGTGAAGATTTTCCTTTTCCACCACAGGCCTCAAAGCCCTCCAAATGTCCACTTGCAGATTCTACAAAAAGAGGGTTTCAGAGCTGCTCTGTCAAGAGGAAAGTTCAATTCCTGAAGTGGAACACAAACATCACAAAGCAGTTTCTGAGAATGTTTCTGTTTAGTTTTTCTGTGAAGATGAACCCGTTTCCAACGAAATCTTCACAGAGGTCCACATATCCACTTGCAGAATCCAAAGAAAGAGAGTTTCAAAACTGCTCCATCAGCAGGATTGTTCACCTCTGTGAGTTGAATGCAGTCATCACAGGAAACATTCTGAGAATGCTTCTGTCTAGGTTTGATGTGAAGATATACCCGTTTCGAAGGAAGGCCACAAAGTGGTCCAAATATCCACTTGCAGATCCTACAAAAAGAGTGTTTGAAAGCTGAACTATGAAAGCAAGGTTCAACTCTGTGAGTTGAATGCAAACATCACAAAGAAGTTTCTCAGAATGCTTCCGTGTAGTTCTGGGAAGTTTTTCCCTTTTCCAACGAAATCCTCAGAGAGGTCCAAATATCCACTTGCAGATTCTACAGAAAGTGTGTTTGGAAACTGCGCCATCTAAAGGAATGTTCAGCTCTGTTAGTTCAATCCAATGATAACTAAGAATTGTCTGTGAATGCTTCCGTTTGGTTTTTAGATGAAGTTATTTCCTTTACTACAGTAGGCCTCAAAGCAGTCCAAATCTCCAATCGCAGATTCTACAAAAAGATTGTTTACAACCTGCTCTATCTATAGGAATGTTCAACTCTGTGAGTCGAATGCAATCATCACAAAGTAGTTTCTGAGAATGCTTCCATCTAGTTTGTATGTGAAGATTTTCCTTTTCCACCACAGGCCTCAAAGCCCTCCAAATGTCCACTTGCAGATTCTAGAAAAAGAGGGTTACAGAGCTGCTCTGTCAAGAGGAAAGTTCAATTCCTGAAGTGGAACACAAACATCACAAAGCAGTTTCTGAGAATGCTTCTCTTTAGTTTTTCTGTGAAGATGAACACGTTTCCAACGAAATTTTCAAAGAGGTCCGCACATCCACTTGCATATTCCAAAGAAAGAGACTTTCAAAACTGCTCCATCAACAGGATTGTTCACCTCTGTGCGTTGAATCCAGTCATCACAGGAAACATTCTGAGAATCCTTCTGTCTGGGTTTGATGTGAAGATATACCAGTTTCGAAAGAAGGCAAAAAAGTGGTCCAAATATCAACTTCCAGATTCTACAAAAACAGTGTTTGAAAGCTGAATTATGAAAGCACGGTTCAACTCTGTGATTTGAATGCAAACATCACAAAGAAGTTTCTGAGAATGCTTCCCTGTAGTTCTGGGAAGCATATCCCGTTTCCAACGAAATCCTCAGAGAAGTCCAAATATCCACTTGCAGATTCTACAGAAAGTGGGTTTGGAAACTGCTCCATCTAAAGGAATGTTCAGCTCTGTTAGTTCAATCCAGTGATCACTAAGAATTGTCTGTGAATGCTTCCGTTTGGTTTTTAGATGAAGTTATTTCCTTTACTACAGTAGGCCTCAAAGCAGTCCAAATCTCCAATCGCAGATTCTACAAAAAGATTGTTTACAACCTGCTCTATCTATAGGAATGTTCAACTCTGTGAGTCGAATGCAATCATCACAAAGTAGTTTCTGAGAATGCTTCCATCTAGTTTTTATGTGAAGATTTTCCTTTTCCACCACAGGCCTCAAAGCCCTCCAAATGTCCACTTGCAGATTCTAGAATAAGAGGGTTTCAGAGCTGCTCTGTCAAGAGGAAAGTTCAGTTCCTGAAGTGGAACACAAACATCACAAAGCAGTTTCTGAGAATGCTTCTGTTTAGTTTTTCTGTGAAGATGAACCCGTTTCCAACGAAATCTTCACAGAGGTCCACATATCCACTTGCAGAATCCAAACAAAGAGAGTTTCAAAACTGCTCCATCAGCAGGATTGTTCACCTCTGTGAGTTGAATGCAGTCATCACAGGAAACATTCTGAGAATGCTTCTGTCTAGGTTTGATGTGAAGATATACCCGTTTCGAAGGAAGGCCACAAAGTGGTCCAAATATCCACTTGCAGATTCTACAAAAAGAGTGTTTGAAAGCTGAACTATGAAAGCAAGGTTCAACTCTGTGAGTTGAATGCAAACATCACAAAGAAGTTTCTCACAATGCTTCCGTGTATTTCTGGGAAGTTTATCCCGTTTCCAACGAAATCCTCAGAGAGGTCCAAATATCCACTTGCAGATTCTACAGAAAGTGTGTTTGGAAACTGCGCCATCTAAAGGAATGTTCAGCTCTGTTAGTTCAATCCAATGATCACTAAGAATTGTCTGTGAATGCTTCCGTTTGGTTTTTAGATGAAGTTATTTCCTTTACTACAGTAGGCCTCAAAGCAGTCCAAATCTCCAATCGCAGATTCTACAAAAACATTGTTTACAACCTGCTCTATCTATAGGAATGTTCAACTCTGTGAGTCGAATGCAATCATCACAAAGTAGTTTCTGAGAATGCTTCCATCTAGTTTTTATGTGAAGATTTTCCTTTTCCACCACAGGCCTCAAAGCCCTCCAAATGTCCACTTGCAGATTCTAGAATAAGAGGGTTTCAGAGCTGCTCTGTCAAGAGGAAAGTTCAATTCCTGAAGTGGAACACAAACATCACAAAGCAGTTTCTGAGAATGCTTCTGTTTAGTTTTTCTGTGAAGATGAACCCGTTTCCAACGAAATCTTCACAGAGGTCCACATATCCACTTGTAGAATCCAAAGAAGGAGAGTTTCAAAACTGCTCCATCAGCAGGATTGTTCACCTCTGTGAGTTGAATGCAGTCATCACAGGAAACATTCTGAGAATGCTTCTGTCTAGGTTTGATGTGAAGATATACCCGTTTCGAAGGAAGGCCTCAAAGTGGTCCAAATATCCACTTGCAGATTCTACAAAAAGAGTGTTTGAAAGCTGAACTATGAAAGCAAGGTTCAACTCTGTGAGTTGAATGTAAACATCACAAAGATGTTTCTCACAATGCTTCCATGTAGTTCTAGGAAGTTTATCCCGTTTCCAACGAAATCCTAAGAGAAGTCCAAATATCCACTTGCAGATTCTACAGAAAGTGTGTTTGGAAACTGCTCCATCTCAAGGAATGTTCAGCTCTGTTAGTTCAATCCAATGATCACTAAGAATTGTCTGTGAATGCTTCCGTTTGGTTTTCAGATGAAGTTATTTCCTTTACTACAGTAGGCCTCAAAGCAGTCCAAATCTCCAATCGCAGATTCTACAAAAAGATTGTTTACAACCTGCTCTATCTATAGGAATGTTCAACTCTGTGAGTCGAATGCAATCATCACAAAGTAGTTTCTGAGAATGCTTCCATCTAGTTTTTATGTGAAGATTTTCCTTTTCCACCACAGGCCTCAAAGCCCTCCAAATGTCCACTTGCAGATTCTAGAATAAGAGGGTTTCAGAGCTGCTCTGTCAAGAGGAAAGTTCAATTCCTGAAGTGGAACACAAACATCACAAAGCAGTTTCTGAGAATGCTTCTGTTTAGTTTTTCTGTGAAGATGAACCCGTTTCCAACGAAATCTTCACAGAGGTCCACATATCCACTTGCAGAATCCAAAGAAAGAGAGTTTCAAAACTGCTCCATCAGCAGGATTGTTCACCTCTGTGAGTTGAATGCAGTCATCACAGGAAACATTCTGAGAATGCTTCGGTCTAGGTTTGATGTGAAGATATACCCGTTTCGAAGGAAGGCCACAAAGTGGTCCAAATATCCACTTGCAGATTCTACAAAAAGAGTGTTTGAAAGCTGAACTATGAAAGCAAGTTTCAACTCTGTGAGTTGAATGCAAACATCACAAAGAAGTTTCTCAGAATACTTCCGTGTAGTTCTGGGAAGTTTATCCCGTTTCCAACGAAATCCTCAGAGAAGTCCAAATATCCACTTGCAGATTCTACAGAAAGTGGGTTTGGAAACTGCTCCATCTAAAGGAATGTTCAGCTCTGTTAGTTCAATCCAATGATCACTAAGAATTGTCTGTGAATGCTTCCGTTTGGTTTTTAGATGAAGTTATTTCCTTTACTACAGTAGGCCTCAAAGCAGTCCAAATCTCCAATCGCAGATTCTACAAAAACATTGTTTACAACCTGCTCTATCTATAGGAATGTTCAACTCTGTGAGTCGAATGCAATCATCACAAAGTAGTTTCTGAGAATGCTTCCATCTAGTTTTTATGTGAAGATTTTCCTTTTCCACCACAGGCCTCAAAGCCCTCCAAATGTCCACTTGCAGATTCTAGAATAAGAGGGTTTCAGAGCTGCTCTGTCAAGAGGAAAGTTCAATTCCTGAAGTGGAACACAAACATCACAAAGCAGTTTCTGAGAATGCTCCTGTTTAGTTTTTCTGTGAAGATGAACCCGTTTCCAACGAAATCTTCACAGAGGTCCACATATCCACTTGCAGAATCCAAAGAAAGAGAGATTCAAAACTGCTCCATCAACAGGATTGTTCACCTCTGTGAGTTGAATGCAGTCATCACAGGAAACATTCTGAGAATGCTTCTGTCTAGGTTTGATGTGAAGATATACCCGTTTCGAAGGAAGGCCACAAAGTGGTCCAAATATCCACTTGCAGATTCTACAAAAAGAGTGTTTGAAAGCTGAACTATGAAAGCAAGGTTCAACTCTGTGAGTTGAATGAAAACATCACAAAGAAGTTTCTCAGAATACTTCCGTGTAGTTCTGGGAAGTTTATCCCGTTTCCAACGAAATCCTCAGAGAGGTCCAAATATCCACTTGCAGATTCTACAGAAAGTGTGTTTGGAAACTGCTCCATCTAAAGGAATGTTCAGCTCTGTTAGTTCAATCCAATGATCACTAAGAATTGTCTGTGAATGCTTCCGTTTGGTTTTTAGATGAAGTTCTTTCCTTTACTACAGTAGGCCTCAAAGCAGTCCAAATCTCCAATCGCAGATTCTACAAAAAGATTGTTTACAACCTGCACTATCTATAGGAATGTTCAACTCTGTGAGTCGAATGCAATCATCACAAAGTAGTTTCTGAGAATGCTTCCATCTAGTTTTTATGTGAAGATTTTCGTTTTCCACCACAGGCCTCAAAGCCCTCCAAATGTCCACTTGCAGATTCTAGAAAAAGAGGGTTTCAGAGCTGCTCTGTCAAGAGAAAAGTTCAATTCTTGAAGTGGAACACAAACATCACAAAGCAGTTTCTGAGAATGCTTCTGTTTAGTTTTTCTGTGAGGATGAACCCGTTTCCAACGAAATCTTCACAGAGTTCCACATATCAACTTGCAGAATCCAAAGAAAGAGAGTTTCAAAAGTGCTCCATCAGCAGGATTGTTCACCTCTGTGAGTTGAATGCAGTCATCACAGGAAACATTCTGAGAATGCTTCTGTCTAGGTTTGATGTGAAGATATACCCGTTTCGAAGGAAGGCCACAAAGTGGTCCAAATATCCACTTGCAGATTCTACAAAAAGAGTGTTTGAAAGCTGAACTATGAAAGCAAGGTTCAACTCTGTGAGTTGAATGCAAACATTACAAAGAAGTTTCTCAGAATGCTTCCGTGTAGTTCTAGGAAGTTTATCCCGTTTCCAACGAAATCCTCAGAGAAGTCCAAATATCCACTTGCAGATTCTACAGAAAGTGGGTTTGGAAACTGCGCCATCTAAAGGAATGTTCAGCTCTGTTAGTTCAATCCAATAGATCACTAAGAATTGTCTGTGAATGCTTCCGTTTGGTTTTTAGATGAAGTTATTTCCTTTACTACAGTAGGCCTCAAAGCAGTCCAAATCTCCAATCGCAGATTCTACAAAAAGATTGTTTACAACCTGCTCTATCTATAGGAATGTTCAACTCTGTGAGTCGAATGCAATCATCACAAAGTAGTTTCTGAGAATGCTTCCGTCTAGTTTTTATGTGAAGATTTTCCTTTTCCACCACAGGCCTCAAAGCCCTCCAAATGTCCACTTGCAGATTCTAGAATAAGAGGGTATCAGAGCTGCTCTGTCAAGAGGAAAGTTCAATTCCTGAAGTGGAACACAAACATCACAAAGCAGTTTCTGAGAATGCTTCTGTTTAGTTTTTCTGTGAAGATGAACCCGTTTCCAACGAAATCTTCACAGAGGTCCACATATCCACTTGCAGAATCGAAAGAAAGAGAGTTTCAAAACTGCTCTATCAGAAGGATTGTTCACCTCTGTGAGTTGAATGCAGTCATCACAGGAAACATCCTGAGAATGCTTCTGTCTAGGTTTGATGTGAAGATATACCCGTTTCGAAGGAAGGCCACAAAGTGGTCCAAATATCCACTTGCAGATTCTACAAAAAGAGTGTTTGAAAGCTGAACTATGAAAGCAAGGTTCAACTCTGTGAGTTGAATGCAAACATCACAAAGAAGTTTCTCACAATGCTTCCGTGTAGTTCTGGGAAGTTTAGTCCGTTTCCAACGAAATCCTCAGAGAGGTCCAAATATCCACTTGCAGATTCTACAGAAAGTGTGTTTGGAAACTGCTCCATCTAAAGGAATGTTCAGCTCTGTTAGTTCAATCCAATGATCACTAAGAATTGTCTGTGAATGCTTCCGTTTGGTTTTTAGATGAAGTTATTTCCTTTACTACAGTAGGCCTCAAAGCAGTCCAAATCTCCAATCGCAGATTCTACAAAAACATTGTTTACAACCTGCTCTATCTATAGGAATGTTCAACTCTGTGAGTCGAATGCAATCATCACAAAGTAGTTTCTGAGAATGCTTCCATCTAGTTTTTATGTGAAGATTTTCCTTTTCCACCACAGGCCTGAAAGCCCTCCAAATGTCCACTTGCAGATTCTAGAATAAGAGGGTTTCAGAGCTGCTCTGTCAAGAGGAAAGTTCAATTCTTGAAGTGGAACACAAACATCACAAAGCAGTTTCTGAGAATGCTCCTGTTTAGTTTTTCTGTGAAGATGTACCCGTTTCCAACGAAATCTTCACAGAGGTCCACATATCCACTTGCAGAATCCAAAGAAAGAGAGTTTCAAAACTGCTCCAACAGCAGGATTGTTCACCTCTGTGAGTTGAATGCAGTCATCACAGGAAACATTCTGAGAATGCTTCTGTCTAGGTTTGATGTGAAGATATACCCGTTTCCAAGGAAGGCCACAAAGTGGTCCAAATATCCACTTGCAGAATCTACAAAAGGAGTGTTTGAAAGCTGAACTACGAAAGCAAGGTTCAACTCTGTGAGTTGAATGCAAACATCACAAAGAAGGTTCTCACAATGCTTCCGTGTAGTTCTGGGAAGTTTAGCCCTTTTCCAACGAAATCGTCAGAGAGGTCCAAATATCCACTTGCAGATTCTACAGAAAGTGTGTTTGGAAACTGCGCCATCTAAAGGAATGTTCAGCTCTGTTAGTTCAATGCAATGATCACTAAGAATTGTCTGTGAATGCTTCCGTTTGGTTTTTAGATGAAGTTATTTCCTTTACTACAGTAGGCCTCAAAGCAGTCCAAATCTCCAATCGCAGATTCTACAAAAAGATTGTTTACAACCTGCTCTATCTATACGAATGTTCAACTCTGTGAGTCGAATGCAATCATCACAAAGTAGTTTCTGAGAATGCTTCCATCTAGTTTTTATGGGAAGATTTTCCTTTTCCACCACAGGCCTCAAAGCCCTCCAAATGTCCACTTGCAGATTCTAGAAAAAGAGGGTTTCAGAGCTGCTCTGTCAAGAGGAAAGTTCAATTCTTGAAGTGGAACACAAACATCACAAAGCAGTTTCTGAGAATGCTTCTGTTTAGTTTTTCTGTGAAGATGAACCCGTTTCCAACGAAATCTTCACAGAGGTCCACATATCAACTTGCAGAATCCAAAGAAAGAGAGTTTCAAAACTGCTCCATCAACAGGATTGTTCACCTCTGTGAGTTGAAAGCAGTCATCACAGGAAACATTCTGAGAATGCTTCTGTCTAGGTTTGATGTGAAGATATACCCGTTTCGAAGGAAGGCCACAAAGTGGTCCAAATATCCAATTGCAGATTCTACAAAAAGAGTGTTTGAAAGCTGAACTATGAAAGCAAGGTTCAACTCTGTGAGTTGAATGCAAACATCACAAAGAAGTTTCTCAGAATACTTCCGTGTAGTTCTGGGAAGTTTATCTCGTTTCCAACGAAATCCTCAGAGAAGTCAAAATATCCACTTGCAGATTCTACAGAAAGTGGGTTTGGAAACTGCGCCATCTAAAGGAATGTTCAGCTCTGTTAGTTCAATCCAATAGGTCACTAAGAATTGTCTGTGAATGCTTCCGTTTGGTTTTTAGATGAAGTTATTTCCTTTACTACAGTAGGCCTCAAAGCAGTCCAAATCTCCAATCGCAGATTCTACAAAAAGATTGTTTACAACCTGCTCTATCTATAGGAATGTTCAACTCTGTGAGTCGAATGCAATCATCACAAAGTAGTTTCTGAGAATGCTTCCATCTAGTTTTTATGTGAAGATTTTCCTTTTCCACCACAGGCCTCAAAGCCCTCCAAATGTCCACTTGCAGATTCTAGAATAAGAGGGTTTCAGAGCTGCTCGGTCAAGAGGACAGTTCAATTCTTGAAGTGGAACACAAACATCACAAAGCAGTTTCTGAGAATGCTCCTGTTTAGTTTTTCTGTGAAGATGAACCCGTTTCCAACGAAATCTTCACAGAGGTCCACATATCCACTTGCAGAATCCAAAGAAAGAGAGTTTCAAAACTGCTCCATCAGCAGGATTGTTCACCTCTGTGAGTTGAATGCAGTCATCACAGGAAACATTCTGAGAATGCTTCTGTCTAGGTTTGATGTGAAGATATACCCGTTTCGAAGGAAGGCCACAAAGTGGTCCAAATATCCACTTGCAGATTCTACAAAAAGAGTGTTTGAAAGCTGAACTATGAAAGCAACGTTCAACTCTGTGAGTTGAATGCAAACATCACAAAGAAGTTTCTCAGAATGCTTCCGTGTAGTTCTGGGAAGTTTATCCCGTTTCCAACGAAATCCTCAGAGAGGTCCAAATATCCACTTGCAGATTCTACAGAAAGTGTGTTTGGAAACTGCTCCATCTAAAGGAATGTTCAGCTCTGTTAGTTCAATCCAATGATCACTAAGAATTGTCTGTGAATGCTTCCGTTTGGTTTTTAGATGAAGTTATTTCCTTTACTACAGTAGGCCTCAAAGCAGTCCAAATCTCCAATCGCAGATTCTACAAAAAGATTGTTTACAACCTGCTCTATCTATAGGAATGTTCAACTCTGTGAGTCGAATGCAATCATCACAAAGTAGTTTCTGAGAATGCTTCCATCTAGTTTTTATGGGAAGATTTTCCTTTTCCACCACAGGCCTCAAAGCCCTCCAAATGTCCACTTGCAGATTCTAGAAAAAGAGGGTTTCAGAGCTGCTCTGTCAAGAGGAAAGTTCAATTCTTGAAGTGGAACACAAACATCACAAAGCAGTTTCTGAGAATGCTCCTGTTTAGTTTTTCTGTGAAGATGAACCCGTTTCCAACGAAATCTTCACAGAGGTCCACATATCCACTTGCAGAATCCAAAGAAAGAGAGTTTCAAAACTGCTCCAACAGCAGGATTGTTCACCTCTGTGAGTTGAATGCAGTCATCACAGGAAACATTCTGAGAATGCTTCTGTCTAGGTTTGATGTGAAGATATACCCGTTTCGAAGGAAGGCCACAAAGTGGTCCAAATATCCACTTGCAGATTCTACAAAAAGAGTGTTTGAAAGCTGAACTATGAAAGCAAGGTTCAACTCTGTGAGTTGAATGCAAACATCACAAAGAAGTTTCTCACAATGCTTCCCTGTAGTTCTGGGAAGTTTATCCCGTTTCCAACGAAATCCTCAGAGAAGTCCAAATATCCACTTGCAGATTCTACAGAAAGTGTGTTTGGAAACTGCTCCATCTAAAGGAAGGTTCAGCTCTGTTAGTTCAATCCAATGATCACTAAGAATTGTCTGTGAATGCTTTCCGTTTGGTTTTTAGATGAAGTTATTTCCTTTACTACAGTAGGCCTCAAAGCAGTCCAAATTTCCAATCGCAGATTCTACAAAAAGATTGTTTGCAACCTGCTCTATCTATAGGAATGTTCAACTCTGTGAGTCGAATGCAATCATCACAAAGCAGTTTCTGAGAATGCTTCCATCTAGTTTTTATGTGAAGATTTTCCTTTTCCACCACAGACCTCAAAGCCCTCCAAATGTCCACTTGCAGATTCTAGAATAAGAGGGTTTCAGAGCTGCTCTGTCAAGAGGAAATTTCAATTCTTGAAGTGGAACACAAACATAACAAAGCAGTTTCTGAGAATGCTTCTGTTTAGTTTTTCTGTGAAAATGAACCCGTTTCCAACGAAATCTTCACAGAGGTCCACATATCCACTTTCAGAATCCAAAGAAAGAGAGTTTCAAAACTGCTCCATCAGCAGGACTGTTCACCTCTGTGAGTTGAATGCAGTCATCACAGGAAACATTCTGAGAATGCTTCTGTCTAGGTTTGATGTGAAGATATACCCGTTTCGAAGGAAGGCAACAAAGTGGTCCAAATATCCACTTGCAGATTCTACAAAAAGAGTGTTTGAAAGCTGAACTATGAAAGCAAGGTTCAACTCTGTGAGTTGAATGGAAACATCACAAAGAAGTTTCTCACAATGCTTCCGTGTAGTTCTGGGAAGTTTATCCCGTTTCCAACGAAATCCTCAGAGAAGTCCAAATATCCACTTGCAGATTCTACAGAAAGTGTGTTTGGAAACTGCTCCATCTAAAGGAATGTTCAGCTCTGTTAGTTCAATGCAATGATCACTAATAATTGTCTGTGAATGCTTCCGTTTGGTTTTTAGATGAAGTTATTTCCTTTACTACAGTAGGCCTCAAAGCAGTCCAAATCTCCAATCGCAGATTCTACAAAAACATTGTTTACAACCTGCTCTATCTATAGGAATGTTCAACTCTGTGAGTCGAATGCAATCATCACAAAGTAGTTTCTGAGAATGCTTCCATCTAGTTTTTATGGGAAGATTTTCCTTTTCCACCACAGGCCTCAAAGCCCTCCAAATGTCCACTTGCAGATTCTAGAAAAAGAGGGTTTCAGAGCTGCTCTGTCAAGAGGAAAGTTCAATTCTTGAAGTGGAACACAAACATCACAAAGCAGTTTCTGAGAATGCTCCTGTTTAGTTTTTCTGTGAAGATGAACCCGTTTCCAACGAAATCTTCACAGAGGTCCACATATCCACTTGCAGAATCCAAAGAAAGAGAGTTTCAAAACTGCTCCATCAAAAGGATTGTTCACCTTCTGTGAGTTGAATGCAGTCATCACAGGAAACATTCTGGGAATGCTTCTGTCTAGGTTTGATGTGAAGATATACCCGTTTCGAAGGAAGGCCACAAAGTGGTCCAAATATCCACTTGCAGATTCTACAAAAAGAGTGTTTGAAAGCTGAAGTATGAAAGCAAGGTTCAACTCTGTGAGTTGAATGCAAACATCACAAAGAAGTTTCTCAGAATGCTTCCCTGTAGTTCTGGGAAGTTTATCCCGTTTCCAACGAAATCCTCAGAGAAGTCCAAATATCCACTTGCAGATTCTACAGAAAGTGGGTTTGGAAACTGCTCCATCTAAAGGAATGTTCAGCTCTGTTAGTTCAATGCAATGATCACTAAGAATTGTCTGTGAATGCTTCCGTTTGGTTTTTAGATGAAGTTATTTCCTTTACTACAGTAGGCCTCAAAGCAGTCCAAATCTCCAATCGCAGATTCTACAAAAAGATTGTTTACAACCTGCTCTATCTATAGGAATATTCAACTCTGTGAGTCGAATGCAATCATCACAAAGTAGTTTCTGAGAATGCTTCCATCTAGTTTTTATGGGAAGATTTTCCTTTTCCACCACAGGCCTCAAAGCCCTCCAAATGTCCACTTGCAGATTCTAGAAAAAGAGGGTTTCAGAGCTGCTCTGTCAAGAGGAAAGTTCAATTCTTGAAGTGGAACACAAACATCACAAAGCAGTTTCTGAGAATGCTTCTGTTTAGTTTTTCTGTGAAGATGAACCCGTTTCCAACGAAATCTTCAAAGAGGTCCACATATCCACTTGCAGATTCCAAAGAAAGACAGTTTCAAAACTGCTCCATCAGCAGGATTGTTCACCTCTGTGAGTTGAATGCAGTCATCACAGGAAACATTCTGAGAATGCTTCTGTCTAGGTTTGATGTGAAGATATACCCGTTTCGAAGGAAGGCCACAAAGTGGTCCAAATATCCACTTGCAGATTCTACAAAAAGAGTGTTTGAAAGCTGAACTATGAAAGCAAGGTTCAACTCTGTGAGTTGAATGCAAACATCACAAAGAAGTTTCTCACAATGCTTCCCTGTAGTTCTGGGAAGTTTATCCCGTTTCCAACGAAATCCTCAGAGAGGTCCAAATATCCACTTGCAGATTCTACAGAAAGTGTGTTTGGAAACTGCGCCATCTAAAGGAATGTTCAGCTCTGTTAGTTCAATCCAATGTTCACTAAGAATTGTCTGTGAATGCTTCCGTTTGGTTTTTAGATGAAGTTATTTCCTTTACTACAGTAGGCCTCAAAGCAGTCCAAATCTCCAATCGCAGATACTACAAAAAGTTTGTTTACAACCTGCTCTGTCTATAGGAATGTTCAACTCTGTGAGTCGAATGCAATCATCACAAAGTAGTTTCTGAGAATGCTTCCATCTAGTTTTTATGTGAAGATTTTCCTTTTCCACCACAGGCCTCAAAGCCCTCCAAATGTCCACTTGCAGATTCTAGAATAAGAGGGTTTCAGAGCTGCTCTGTCAAGAGGAAAGTTCAATTCCTGAAGTGGAACACAAACATCACAAAGCAGTTTCTGAGAATGCTTCTGTTTAGTTTTTCTGTGAAGATGAACCCGTTTCCAACGAAATCTTCACAGAGGTCCACATATCCACTTGCAGAATCCACGGAAAGGGAGTTTCAAAACTGCTCCATCAGCAGGATTGTTTACCTCTGTGAGTTGAATGCAGTCATCACAGGAAACATTCTGAGAATGCTTCTGTCTAGGTTTGATGTGAAGATATACCCGTTTCGAAGGAAGGCCACAAAGTGGTCCAAATATCCACTTGCAGATTCTACAAAAAGAGTGTTTGAAAGCTGAACTATGAAAGCAAGGTTCAACTCTGTGAGTTGAATGCAAACATCACAAAGAAGTTTCTCACAATGCTTCCCTGTAGTTCTGGGAAGTTTATCCCGTTTCCAACGAAATCCTCAGAGAAGTCCAAATATCCACTTGCAGATTCTACAGAAAGTGGGTTTGGAAACTGCTCCATCTAAAGGAATGTTCAGCTCTGTTAGTTCAATCCAATGATCACTAAGAATTGTCTGTGAATGCTTCCGTTTGGTTTTTAGATGAAGTTATTTCCTTTACTACAGTAGGCCTCAAAGCAGTCCAAATCTCCAATCGCAGATTCTACAAAAAGATTGTTTACAACCTGCTCTATCTATAGGAATGTTCAACTCTGTGAGTCGAATGCAATCATCACAAAGTAGTTTCTGAGAATGCTTCCATCTAGTTTTTAAGTGAAGATTTTCCTTTTCCACCACAGGCCTCAAAGCCCTCCAAATGTCCACTTGCAGATTCTAGAATAAGAGGGTTTCAGAGCTGCTCTGTCAAGAGGAAAGTTCAATTCCTGAAGTGGAACACAAACATCACAAAGCAGTTTCTGAGAATGCTTCTGTTTAGTTTTTCTGTGAAGATGAACCCGTTTCCAACGAAATCTTCACAGAGGTCCACATATCAACTTGCAGAATCCAAAGAAAGAGAGTTTCAAAAGTGCTCCATCAACAGGATTGTTCACCTCTGTGAGTTGAATGCAGTCATCACAGGAAACATTCTGAGAATGCTTCTGTCTAGGTTTGATGTGAAGATATACCCGTTTCGAAGGAAGGCCACAAAGTGGTCCAAATATCCACTTGCAGATTCTACAAAAAGAGTGTTTGAAAGCTGAACTATGAAAGCAAGGTTCAACTCTGTGAGTGGAATGCAAACATCACAAAGAAGTTTCTCAGCATGCTTCCGTGTAGTTCTGGGAAGTTTATCCCTTTTCCAACGAAATCCTCAGAGAAGTCCAAATATCCACTTGCAGATTCTACAGAAAGTGTGTTTGGAAACTGCTCCATCTAAAGGAATGTTCAGCTCTGTCAGTTCAATGCAATGATCACTAAGAATTGTCTGTGAATGCTTCCGTTTGGTTTTTAGATGAAGTTATTTCCTTTACTACAGTAGGCCTCAAAGCAGTCCAAATCTCCAATCGCAGATTCTACAAAAAGATTGTTTACAACCTGCTCTATCTATAGGAATGTTCAACTCTGTGAGTCGAATGCAATCATCACAAAGTAGTTTCTGAGAATGCTTCCATCTAGTTTTTATGTGAAGATTTTCCTTTTCCACCACAGGCCTCAAAGCCCTCCGAATGTCCACTTGCAGATTCTAGAATAAGAGGGTTTCAGAGCTGCTCTGTCAAGAGGAAAGTTCAATTCCTGAAGTGGAACACAAACTTCACAAAGCAGTTTCTGAGAATGTTTCTTTTTAGTTTTTCTGGGAAGATGAACCCGTTTCCAACCAAATCTTCACAGAGGTCCACATATCCACTTGCAGAATCCAAAGAAAGAGAGTTTCAAAACTGCTCCATCAGCAGGATTGTTCACCTCTGTGAGTTGAATGCAGTCATCACAGGAAACATTCTGAGAATGCTTCTGTCTAGGTTTGATGTGAAGATATACCCGTTTCGAAGGAAGGCCACAAAGTGGTCCAAATATCCACTTTCTGTAGATTCTACAAAAAGAGTGTTTGAAAGCTGAACTATGAAAGCAAGGTTCAACTCTGTGAGTTGAATGCAAACATCACAAAGAAGTTTCTCAGAATGCTTCCGTGTAGTTCTGGGAAGTTTATCCCGTTTCCAACGAAATCCTCAGAGAAGTCCAAATATCCACTTGCACATTCTACAGAAAGTGTGTTTGGAAACTGCTCCATCTAAAGGAATGTTCAGCTCTGTTAGTTCAATGCAATGATCACTAAGAATTGTCTGTGAATGCTTCCGTTTGGTTTTTAGATGATGTTATTTCCTTTACTACAGTAGGCCTCAAAACAGTCCAAATCTCCAATCGCAGATTCTACAAAAAGATTGTTTACAACCTGCTCTATCTATAGGAATGTTCAACTCTGTGAGTCGAATGCAATCATCACAAAGTAGTTTCTGAGAATGCTTCCATCTAGTTTTTATGTGAAGATTTTCCTTTTCCACCACAGGCCTCAAAGCCCTCCAAATGTCCACTTGCAGATTCTAGAATAAGAGGGTTTCAGAGCTGCTCTGTCAAGAGGAAAGTTCAATTCCTGAAGTGGAACACAAACATCACAAAGCAGTTTCCGAGAATGCTTCTGTTTAGATTTTCTGTGAAGATGAACCCGTTTCCAACGAAATCTTCACAGAGGTCCACATATCCACTTGCAGAATCCAAAGAAAGAGAGTTTCAAAACTGCTCCATCAGCAGGATTGTTCACCTCTGTGGGTTGAATGCAGTCATCACAGGAAACATTCTGAGAATGCTTCTGTCTAGGTTTGATGTGAAGATATACCCGTTTCGAAGGAAGGCCACAAAGTGGTCCAAATATCCACTTGCAGATTCTACAAAAAGAGTGTTTGAAAGCTGAACTATGAAAGCAAGTTTCAACTCTGTTAGTTGAATGCAAACATCACAAAGAAGTTTCTCAGAATGCTTCCGTGTAGTTCTGGGAAGTTTTCCCGTTTCCAACGAAATCCTCAGAGAAGTCCAAATATCCACTTGCAGATTCTACAGAAAGTGTGTTTGGAAACTGCTCCATCTAAAGGAATGTTCAGCTCTGTTAGTTCAATCCAATGATCACTAAGAATCGTCTGTGAATGCTTCCGTTTGGTTTTTAGATGAAGTTATTTCCTTTACTACAGTAGGCCTCAAAGCAGTCCAAATCTCCAATCGCAGATTCTACAAAAAGATTGTTTACAACCTGCTCTATCTATAGGAATGTTCAACTCTGTGAGTCGAATGCAATCATCACAAAGTAGTTTCTGAGAATGCTTCCATCTAGTTTTTATGTGAAGATTTTCCTTTTCCACCACAGGCCTCAAAGCCCTCCAAATGTCCACTTGCAGATTCTAGAAAAAGAGGGTTTCAGAGCTGCTCTGTCAAGAGGAAAGTTCAATTCCTGAAGTGGAACACAAACATCACAAAGCAGTTTCTGAGAATGCTTCTGTTTAGTTTTTCTGTGAAGATGAACCCGTTTCCAACGAAATCTTCACAGAGGTCCACATATCCACTTGCAGAATCCAAAGAAAGAGAGATTCAAAACTGCTCCATCAGCAGGATTGTTCACCTCTGTGAGTTGAATGCAGTCATCACAGGAAACATTCTGAGAATGCTTCTGTCTAGGTTTGATGTGAAGATATACCCGTTTCGAAGGAAGGCCAGAAAGTGGTCCAAATATCCACTTGCAGATTCTACAAAAAGAGTGTTTGAAAGCTGAACTATGAAAGCAAGGTTCAACTCTGTGAGTTGAATGTAAACATCACAAAGAAGTTTCTCAGAATGCTTCCGTGTAGTTCTGGGAAGTTTATCCCGTTTCCAACGAAATCCTCAGAGAGGTCCAAATATCCACTTGCAGATTCTACAGAAAGTGTGTTTGGAAACTGCGCCATCTAAGGGAATGTTCAGCTCTGTTAGTTGAATCCAATGATCACTAAGAATGGTCTGTGAATGGTTCCGTTTGGTTTTTAGATGAAGTTATTTCCTTTACTACAGTAGGCCTCAAAGCAGTCCAAATCTCCAATCGCAGATTCTACAAAAAGATTGTTTACAACCTGCTCTATCTATAGGAATGTTCAACTCTGTGAGTCGAATGCAATCATCACAAAGTAGTTTCTGAGAATGCTTCCATCTAGTTTTTATGTGAAGATTTTCCTTTTCCACCACAGGCCTCAAAGCCCTCCAAATGTCCACTTGCAGATTCTAGAATAAGAGGGTTTCAGAGCTGCTCTGTCAAGAGGAAAGTTCAATTCCTGAAGTGGAACACAAACATCACAAAGCAGTTTCTGAGAATGCTCCTGTTTAGTTTTTCTGTGAATATGAACCCGTTTCCAACGAAATCTTCACAGAGGTCCACATATCCACTTGCAGAATCCAAAGAAAGAGAGTTTCAAAACTGCTCCATCAGCAGGATTGTTCACCTCTGTGAGTTGAATGCAGTCATCACAGGAAACATTCTGAGAATGCTTCTGTCTAGGTTTGATGTGAAGATATACCCGTTTCGAAGGAAGGCCACAAAGTGGTCCAAATATCCACTTGCAGATTCTACAAAAAGAGTGTTTGAAAGCTGAACTATGAAAGCAAGGTTCAACTCTGTGAGTTGAATGCAAACATCCCAAAGAAGTTTGTCAGAATACTTCCGTGTAGTTCTAGGAAGTTTATCCCGTTTCCAACGAAATCCTCAGAGAGGTCCAAATATCCACTTGCAGATTCTACAGAAAGTGTGTTTGGAAACTGCTCCATCTAAAGGAATGTTCAGCTCTGTTAGTTCAATCCAATGATCACTAAGAATTGTCTGTGAATGCTTCCGTTTGGTTTTTAGATGAAGTTATTTCCTTTACTACAGTAGGCCTCAAAGCAGTCCAAATCTCCAATCGCAGATTCTACAAAAAGATTGTTTACAACCTGCTCTATCTATAGGAATGTTCAACTCTGTGAGTCGAATGCAATCATCACGAAGTAGTTTCTGAGAATGCTTCCATCTAGTTTTTATGGGAAGATTTTCCTTTTCCACCACAGGCCTCAAAGCCCGCCAAATGTCCACTTGCAGATTCTAGAAAAAGAGGGTTTCAGAGCTGCTCTGTCAAGAGGAAAGTTCAATTCTTGAAGTGGAACACAAACATCACAAAGCAGTTTCTGAGAATGCTCCTGTTTAGTTTTTCTGTGAAGATGAACCCGTTTCCAACGAAATCTTCACAGAGGTCCACATATCCACCTGCAGAATCCAAAGAAAGAGAGTTTCAAAACTGCTCCATCATCAGGATTGTTCACCTCTGTGAGTTGAATGCAGTCATCACAGGAAACATTCTGAGAATGCTTCTGTCTAGGTTTGATGTGAAGATATACCCGTTTCGAAGGAAGGCCACAAAGTGGTCCAAATATCCACTTGCAGATTCTACAAAAAGAGTGTTTGAAAGCTGAACTATGAAAGCAAGGTTCAACTCTGTGAGTTGAATGCAAACATCACAAAGAAGATTCTCAGAATACTTCCGTGTAGTTCTGGGAAGTTTATCCTGTTTCCAACGAAATCCTCAGAGAGGTCCAAATATCCACTTGCAGATTCTACAGAAAGAGTGTTTGGAATCTCCTCCATCTAAAGGAATGTTCAGCTCTGTTAGTTCAAACCAATGATCACTAAGAATTGTCTGTGAATGCTTCCGTTTGGTTTTTAGATGAAGTTATTTCCTTTACTACAGTAGGCCTCAAAGCAGTCCAAATCTCCAATCGCAGATTCTACAAAAAGATTGTTTACAACCTGCTCTATCTATAGGAATGTTCAACTCTGTGAGTCGAATGCAATCATCACAAAGTTGTTTCTGAGAATGCTTCTATCTAGTTTTTATATGCAGATATTTACGTTTCCGCCACAGGCCTCAAAGCCCTTCAAATGTCCACCTGCAGATTCAAGAAAAGCAATGTTTCATAGCTGCTCTGTCAAGAGGAAATTTCAACTCTGCAAGTTGAACACAAACATCACAACGTAGTTTCTGAGAATGCTTCTCTTTAGTTTTTCTGTGAAGATTAACACGTTTCCAACGAAATCTTCAAAGAGGTCCGCACATCCACTTGCAGATTCCAAAGAAAGAGAGTTTCAAAACTGCTCCATCAACAGGATTGTTCACCTCTGTGCGTTGAATGCAGTCATCACAGGAAACATTCTGAGAATGCTTCTGTCTAGGTTTGATGTGAAGATATACCCGTTTCGAAGGAAGGCCACAAAGTGGTCCAAATATCCACTTGCAGATTCTACAAAAAGAGTGTTTGAAAGCTGAACTATGAAAGCAAGGTTCAACTCTGTGAGTTGAATGCAAACATCACAAAGAAGTTTCTCCCAATGCTTCCGTGTAGTTCTGGGAAGTTTATCCCGTTTCCAACGAAATCCTCAGAGAAGTCCAAATATCCACTCGCAGATTCTACAGAAAGTGTGTTTGGAAACTGCTCCATCTAAAGGAATGTTCAGCTCTGTTAGTTCAATCCAATGATCACTAAGAATTGTCTGTGAATGCTTCCGTTTGGTTTTTAGATGAAGTTATTTCCTTTACTACAGTAGGCCTCAAAGCAGTCCAAATCTCCAATCGCAGATTCTACAAAAAGATTGTTTACAACCTGCTCTATCTATAGGAATGTTCAACTCTGTGAGTCGAATGCAATCATCCCAAAGTAGTTTCTGAGAATGCTTCCATCTAGTTTTTATGTGAAGATTTTCCTTTTCCACCACAGGCCTCAAAGCCCTCCAAATGTCCACTTGCAGATTCTAGAATAAGAGGGTTTCAGAGCTGCTCTGTCAAGAGGAAAGTTCAATTCCTGAAGTGGAACACAAACATCACAAAGCAGTTTCTGAGAATGCTTCTGTTTAGTTTTTCTGTGAAGATGAACCCGTTTCCAAGGAAATCTTCACAGAGGTCCACATATCCACTTGCAGAATCCAAAGAAAGAGAGTTTCAAAACTGCTCCATTAGCAGGATTGTTCACCTGTGTGAGTTGAATGCAGTCATCACAGGAAACATTCTGAGAATGCTTCTGTCTAGGTTTGATGTGAAGATATACCCGTTTCGAAGGTATGCCACAAAGTGGTCCAAATATCCACTTGCAGATTCTACAAAAAGAGTGTTTGAAAGCTGAACTAAGAAAGCAAGGTTCAACTCTGTGAGTTGAATGCAAACATCACAAAGAAGTTTCTCACAATGCTTCCGTGTAGTTCTGGGAAGTTTATCCCGTTTCCAACGAAATCCTCAGAGAAGTCCAAATATCCACTTGCAGATTCTACAGAAAGTGTGTTTGGAAACTGCGCCATCTAAAGGAATGTTCAGCTCTGTTAGTTCAATGCAATGATCACTAAGAATTGTCTGTGAATGCTTCCGTTTGGTTTTTAGATGAAGTTATTTCCTTTACTACAGTAGGCCTCAAAGCAGTCCAAATCTCCAATCGCAGATTCTACAAAAAGATTGTTTACAACCTGCTCTATGTATAGGAATGTTCAACTCTGTGAGTCGAATGCAATCATCACAAAGTAGTTTCTGAGAATGCTTCCATCTAGTTTTTATGTGAAGATTTTCCTTTTCCACCACAGGCCTCAAAGCCCTCCAAATGTCCACTTGCAGATTCTAGAATAAGAGGGTTTCAGAGCTGCTCTGTCAAGAGGAAAGTTCAATTCCTGAAGTGGAACACAAACATCACAAAGCAGTTTCTGAGAATGCTTCTGTTTAGATTTTCTGTGAAGATGAACCCGTTTCCAACGAAATCTTCACAGAGGTCCACATATCCACTTGCAGAATCCAAAGAAGGAGAGTTTCAAAACTGCTCCATCAGCAGGATTGTTCACCTCTGTGAGTTGAATGCAGTCATCACAGGAAACATTCTGAGAATGCTTCTGTCTAGGTTTGATGTGAAGATATACCCGTTTCGAAGGAAGGCCACAAAGTGGTCCAAATATCCACTTGCAGATTCTACAAAAAGAGTGTTTGAAAGCTGAACTATGAAAGCAAGGTTCAACTCTGTGAGTTGAATGCAAACATCACAAAGAAGTTTCTCACAATGCTTCCGTGCAGTTCTGGGAAGTTTATCCCGTTTCCAACGAAATCCTCAGAGATGTCCAAATATCCACTTGCAGATTCTACAGAAAGTGTGTTTGGAAACTGCGCCATCTAAAGGAATGTTCAGCTCTGTTAGTTCAATCCAATGATCACTAAGAATTGTCTGTGAATGCTTCCGTTTGGTTTTTAGATGAAGTTATTTCCTTTACTACAGTAGGCCTCAAAGCAGTCCAAATCTCCAATCGCAGATTCTACAAAAAGATTGTTTACAACCTGCACTATCTATAGGAATGTTCAACTCTGTGAGTCGAATGCAATCATCACAAAGTAGTTTCTGAGAATGCTTCCATCTAGTTTTTATGTGAAGATTTTCCTTTTCCACCACAGGCCTCAAAGCCCTCCAAATGTCCACTTGCAGATTCTAGAAAAAGAGGGTTTCAGAGCTGCTCTGTCAAGAGGAAAGTTCAATTCCTGAAGTGGAACACAAACATCACAAAGCAGTTTCTGAGAATGCTTCTGTTTAATTTTTATGTGAAAATGAACCCGTTTCCAACGAAATCTTCACAGAGGTCCACATATCCACTTGCAGAATCCAAAGAAAGAGAGTTTCAAAACTGCTCCATCAGCAGGATTGTTCACCTCTGTGAGTTGAATGCAGTCATCACAGGAAACATTCTGAGAATGCTTCTGTCTAGGTTTGATGTGAAGATATACCCGTTTCGAAGGAAGGCCACAAAGTGGTCCAAATATCCACTTGCAGAATCTACAAAAAGAGTGTTTGAAAGCTGAACTATGAAAGCAAGGTTCAACTCTGTGAGTTGAATGCAAACATCACAAAGAAGTTTCTCAGAATGCTTCCGTGTAGTTCTGGGAAGTTTATCCCGTTTCCAACGAAATCCTCAGAGAAGTCCAAATATCCACTTGCAGATTCTACAGAAAGTGTGTTTGGAAACTGCGCCATCTAAAGGAATGTTCAGCTCTGTTAGTTCAATGCAATGATCACTAAGAATTGTCTGTGAATGCTTCCGTTTGTTTTTTAGATGAAGTTATTTCCTTTACTACAGTAGGCCTCAAAGCAGTCCAAATCTCCAATCGCAGATTCTACAAAAAGATTGTTTACAACCTGCTCTATCTATAGGAATGTTCAACTCTGTGAGTCGAATACAATCATCACAAAGTAGTTTCTGAGAATGCTTCCATCTAGTTTTTATGTGAAGATTTTCCTTTTCCACCACAGGCCTCAAAGCCCTCCAAATGTCCACTTGCAGATTCTAGAATAAGAGGGTTTCAGAGCTGCTCTGTCAAGAGGAAAGTTCAATTCTTGAAGTGGAACACAAACATCACAAAGCAGTTTCTGAGAATGCTCCTGTTTAGTTTTTATGTGAACATGAACCCGTTTCCAACGAAATCTTCAAAGAGGTCCACATATCCACTTGCAGATCCCAAAGAAAGGGAGTTTCAAAACTGCTCCATCAACAGGATTGTTCAACTCTGTGAGTTGAATGCAGTCATCACAGGAAACCTTCTGAGAATGCTTCTGTCTAGGTTTGATGTGAAGATATACCCGTTTCGAAGGAAGGCCACAAAGTGGTCCAAATATCCACTTGCAGATTCTACAAAAAGAGGGTTTGAAAGCTGAACTATGAAAGCAAGGTTCAACTCTGTGAGTTGAATGCAAACATCACAAAGAAGTTTCTCAGAATGCTTCCGTGTAGTTCTGGGAAGTTTTACCCGTTTCCAACGAAATCCTCAGAGAGGTCCAAATATCCACTTGCAGATTCTACAGAAAGTGTGTTTGGAAACTGCGCCAACTAAAGGAATGGTCAGCTCTGTTAGTTCAATCCAATGATCACTAAGAATTGTCTGTGAATGCTTCCGTTTGGTTTTTAGATGAAGTTATTTCCTTTACTACAGTAGGCCTCAAAGCAGTCCAAATCTCCAATCGCAGATTCTACAAAAAGATTGTTTACAACCTGCTCTATCTATAGGAATGTTCAACTCTGTGAGTCGAATGCAATCATCACAAAGTAGTTTCTGAGAATGCTTCCATCTAGTTTTTATGTGAAGATTTTCCTTTTCCACCACAGGCCCCAAAGCCCTCCAAATGTCCACTTGCAGATTCTAGAAAAAGAGGGTTTCAGAGCTGCTCTGTCAAGAGGAAAGTTCAATTCCTGAAGTGGAACACAAACATCACAAAGCAGTTTCTGAGAATGCT